>NC_000023.11:77007996-77311026 GCF_000001405.40 Homo sapiens | reverse complement strand
CCTGGGTTCAAGTGATTCTCCTGCCTCAGCCTCCTGAGTAGCTGGGATCACAGGTGCCCACTACCAAACCAAGCTAATTTTTGCACTTTTTGTAGAGATGGGGTTTCACTATTTTGGCAAGGCTCGTCTTGATCTCCAGACCTCAAGTGATCTGCCTGCCTTGGCCTCCTAAAGTACTGGGATTATAGGCATGAGCCACCATGCCTGGCCCTGATGGGGATTATATGTGACCTGATGGTTTTCTCTTTTATTTTTTTGGAATTCTCTCTTTGTCTTTGACTTTTGATAGTTTGGATATATTGTACTTTGATGAAAACATTTTTTAAGTTTAATCTATTTGGGGATTTTTGAGCTTCCTGTATCTGGAGATCTGTATCTCTTGCAAGACTTTGAAGTTGTTAGTTATTATTTTATTTTATTTTTATTTTTTTAATTAATTAATTATTTTATTTATACTTTAAGTTCTAGGGTACATGTGCACAACGTGCAGATTTGTTACATATGTATACATGTGCCATGCTGGTGTGCTGCACCCATTAACTCGTCATTTAGCATTAGGTATGTCTCCTAATGCGTTCCCTCCCTCATCCCCCAACCCACGACAGGCCCCAGTGTGAGATGCTCCCCTTCCTGTGTCCAAGGGTTCTCATTGTTCAATTCCCACCTGTGAGTGAGAACATACGGTGCTTGGTTTTTTGTCCTTGCGATAGTTTGCTGAGAATGATGGTTTCCAGCTTCATCCATGTCCCTACAAAAGACATGAACTCATCCTTTTTTATGGCTGCATGGTATTCCATGGTGTATATGTGCCACATTTTCTTAATCCAGTCTATCATTGTTGGACATTTGGGTTGGTTCCCAGTCTTTGCTATTGTGAATAGTGCTGCAATAAACATACGTGTGCATGTGTCTTTATAGCATCATGATTTATAATCCTTTGGGTATACACCCAGTAACGGGATGGCTGGGTCAAATGGTATTTCTAGTTCTAGATCCCTGAGGAATCGCCACACTGACTTCCACAATGGTTGAACTAGTTTACAGTTCCACCAACAGTGTAAAAGTGTTCCTATTTCTCCACATCCTCTCCAGCACCTGTTGTTTCCTGACTTTTTAATGATTGCCATTCTAACTGGCGAGAGATGGTATCTCACTGTGGTTTTGATTTTCATTTGTCTGATGGCCAGTGATGATGAGCATTTTTTCATGTGTCTCTTGGCTGCATAAACGTCTTCTTTTGAGAAGTGTCTGTTCATATCATTTGCCTACTTTTTGATGGGGTTGTTTGTTTTTTTCTTGTAAATTTGTTTGAGTTCATTGTAGATTCTGGATATTAGCCCTTTGTCAGATGAGTAGGTTGCAAAAATTTTCTCCCATTCTGTAGGTTTCCTGTTCACTCTGATGGTGGTTTCTTTTGTTGTGCAGAAGCTGTTTACTTTAATTAGATCCCATTTATCAATTTTGGCTTTTGTTGCCATTGCTTTTGGTGTTCTAGACATGAAGTCCTTGACCATGCCTATTTCCTGAATGGTATTGCCTAGGTTTTCTTCTAGGGTTTTTATGGTTTTAGGTCTAACATTTAAGTCTTTAATCCATCTTGAATTAATTTTTGTGTAAGGTGTAAGGAAGGGATCCAGTTTCATCTTCCTACATGTGGCTAGCCAGTTTTCCCAGCACTATTTATTAAATAGGGAATCCTTTTCCCATTGCTTGTTTTTGTCAGGTTTGTCAAAGATCAGATGGTTGTAGATGTGCAGTGTTACTTCTGAGGGCTCTGTTCTGTTCCATTGGTCTATATTTCTGATTTGGTAACAGTACCATGCTGTTTTGGTTATTGTAGCTTGCAGTATAGTTTGAAATCAGGTAGCATGATGCCTCCAGCTTTGTTTTTTTGGCTTAGGACTGTCTTGGAAATGTGGGCTTTTTTTTGGTTCCATATGAACTTTAAAGTAGTTTTTTCCAATTCTATGAAGAAAGTCATTGGCAGCTTGATGGGGATGACATTGAATGTATAAATTACCTTGGGCAGTATGGCCATTTTCATGATATTGATTCTTCCTACCCATGAGCATGGAATGTTCTTCCATTTGTTTGTGTTCTCTTTTATTTCGTTGAGCAGTGGTTTGTAGTTCTCCTTGAAGAGGTCCTTCACATCCCTTGTAAGTTGGATTCCTAGGTATTTTATTCTCTTTGAAGCAATTGTGAATGGGAGTTCACTCATGATTTGGCTCTGCTTGTCTGTTGTTGGCGTATAAAAATGCTTGTGATTTTTGCACATTGATTTTGTATCCGGAGACTTTGCTTAAGTTGCTTATTAGCTTAAGGAGATTTTGGGCTGAGACAATGGGGTTTTCTAAATATACAGTCATGTCATCTGCAAACAGGGACAATTTGACTTCCTCTTTTCCTAATTGGATACCTTTATTTCTTTCTCCTGCCTCATTGCCCTTGCCAGAACTTCCAACACTATGTTGAATAGGAGTGGTGAGAGAGGGCATCCCTGCTTTGTGCCCGTTTTCAAAGGGAATGCTTCCAGTTTTTGTCCGTTCAGTATAATATTGGCTGTGGGTTTTCATAAATAGCTCTTACTATTTTGAGATGCATCCCATCAATACCTAATTTACTGACAGTTTTTAGCATGAAGGGCTGTTGAATTTTGTTAAAGGCCTTTTCTGCATCTATTGAGATACTCATGTGGTTTTTGTCTTTGGTTCTGTTTATATGCTGGATTATGTTTATTGATTTGCATATGTTGAACCAGCCTTGCATCCCAGGGATGAAGCCCACTTGATCATGGTGGATAAGGCTTTTGATGTGCTGCTGCGTTTGGTTTGCCAGTATTTTACTGAGGATTTTTGGATCAATGTTCTTCAGGGATATTGGTCTAAAATTCGTTTTTTTGGTTTGTCTTTGTCAGGCTTTGGTATCAGGATGATGCTGTTCTCATAATACGAGATAGGGAGGATTCCCTCTTTTTCTATTGATTGGAATAGTTTCAGAAGGAATGGTACCAGCTCCACCTTGTACCTCTGGTAGAATTTGGCTGTGAATCCGTCTCGTCCTGGACTTTTTTTGGTAGGTAAGCTATTAATTATTGCCTTAATTTCAGAGCCTGTTATTGGTCTATTCAGAGATTCAACTTCTTCCTGGTTTAGTCTTGGGAGGATGTATGTGTCGAGGAATTTATCCATTTCTTCCAGATTTTCTAGTTTATTTGCGTAGAGGTTTTTATGGTATTCTCTGATGGTAGTTTGTATTTCTGTGGGATCAGTGGTGATATCCCTTTTGTCATTTTTTATTGCGTCTATTTGGTTCTTCTCTCTTTTCTTCTTTATTAGTCTTGCTAGCAGTCTACTAATTTTGTTGATCTTTTCAGAAAACCAGCTCCTGGATTCATTGATTTTTTGAAGGATTTTTTGTGTCTCTATCTCCTCCACTTCTGCTCTGATCTTAGTTATTTCTTGCTTTCTGCCAGCTTTTGAATGTGTTTGTTCTTGCTTCTCTAGTTCTTTTAATTGTGATGTTATGGTGTCAATTTTCAATCTTTCCTGCTTTCTCTTGTGGGCATTTAGTGCTATAAATTTCCCTCTACACACTGCTTTAAATGTTTCCCAGAGATTGTGGTATGTTGTGTCTTTGTTCTCATTGGGTTCAAAGAACATCTTTATTTCTGCCTTCATTTTATTATGTACCCAGTAGTAATTCCAGAGCAGGTTGTTCAGTTTCCATGTAGTTGTGCAGTTTTGAGTAAGTTTCTTAATCCTGAGTTTTAGTTTGATTACACTGTGGTCTGCGAGACAGTTTGTTATAATTTCTGTTCTTTTACATTTGCTGAGGAGTGCTTTACTTCCAACTATGTGGTCAATTTTGGAATAAGTGCGATGAGGTGCTGAGAAGAATGTATATTGTGTTGATTTGGGCTGGAGAGTTCTGTAGATGTCTATTAGGTCCGCTTGTTGCAAAGCTGAGTTCAGTTCCTGGATATCCTTGTTAACTTTCTGTCTCGTTGACCTGTCTAATGTTGACAGTGGGGTGTTAAAGTCTCCCATTATTATTGTGTGGGAGTCTAAGTCTCTTTGTAGGTCTCTAAGGACTTGCTTTATGAAGCTGGGTGCTCCTGTATTGGGTGCATATATATTTAGGATAGTTAGCTCTTCTTGTTGAATTGATCCCTTTACCATTATGTAATGGCCTTCTTTGTCTCTTTTGATCTTTGTTGGTTTAAAGTCTGTTTTATCAGAGACTAGGATTGCAACCCTGCCTTTTTTTGTTTTCCATTTGCTTGGTAGGTCTCCTTCTATCCATTTATTTTGATCCTATGTGTGTCTCTGCACATGAGATGGGTCTCCTGAATACAGCACCCTGATGGGTCTTGACTCTTTATCCAATTTGCCAGTCTGTGTCTTTTAATTGGAGCGTTTAGCCCATTTACATTTAAGGTTAATATTTTTATGTGTGAATTTGATCCTGTCATTATGATGTTAGCTGGTTATTTTGCTCATTGGTTGATGCTGTTTCTTCCTAGCATCGATGGTCTTTACAATTTGGCATGTTTTTGCAGTGGCTGGTACCAGTTTTTCCTTTCCATGTTTAGTGCTTCCTTCAGGAGCTCTTTTAGGGCAGGCCCAGTGGTGACAATATCTCTCAGCATTTGCTTGTCTGTAAAGTATTTGATTTCTCCTTCACTTATGAAGCTTATTTTGGGTGGATATAAAATTCTGGGTTGAAAATTCTTTTCTTTATGAATGTTGAATATTGGCCCCCACTCTCTTCTGACTTGTGGAATTTCTGCTGAGAGATCCACTGTTAGTCTAATGGGCTTCCTTTTGTGGGTAACCCGACCTTTCTCTCTGGCTCCTCTAAACATTTTTTCCTTCATTTCAACTTTTGTGAATCTGACAGTTATGTGTCTTGGAGTTGCTCTTCTCAAGGAGTATCTTTGTGGTGTTCTCTATATTTCCCGAATTTGAATGTTGGCCTGCCTTGCTAGATTGGGGAAGTTCTCCTGGATAATATCCTGCAGAGTGTTTTCCAACTTGTTCCATTCTCCCTGTCACTTTCAGGTACACCAATCAGATGTAGATTTGGTCTTTTCACATAGTCCCATATTTCTTGGAGGCTTTGTTCATTTCTTTTTACTCTTTTTTCTGTAAACTTCTCACTTCATTTCATTCATTTGATCTTCAATCACTGATCCTCTTTCTTCCAGTTGATCAAATCAGCTACTGAAGCTTGTGCATTCATTACGTAGTTCTCGTGCCATGGTTTTCAGCTCCATCAGGTCATTTAAGGACTTCTCTAGACTGGTTATTCTAGTTAGCAATTCGTCTAATCTTTTTTCAAGGTTTTTAGCTTCTTTGCGATTTGTCCAAACTTCTTCCTTTAGCTCGGAGAGGTTTGATTGTCTGAAACCTTCTTTTCTCAACTCATCAAAGTCATTCTCCATCCAGCTTTGTTTGATAGGTGGTGGGGGGCTGCGTTTCTTTGGAGGGGGAGAGACACTCTGATTTTTAGAATTTTCAGCTTTTCTGCTCTGTTTTTTCCCCATCTTTATGGTTTTATCTACCTTTGGTCTTTGATGATGGTGACGTACATATGGGGTTTTGGTGTGTATTTCCTTTCTGTTTGTTAGTTTTCCTTCTAACAGTCAGTACCCTCGGCTGCAAGTCTGTTGGAGTTTGCTGGAGGTCCACTCCAGACCCTGTTTGCCTGGGTATCTGCAGCGGAGCTGCGGTATATCAAATATTGCTGAACAGCAAATGTTGCTGCCTGATCGTTCCTCTGGAAAGTTCAGCTCAGAGGGGTGCCTGGCCGTTTGAGGTGTCATTCTGCCCCTACTTGTGGGTGCCTCCCAGTTAGGCACCTCAGGCATCAGGGACCCACTTGAGGAGGCAGTCTGTCCGTTGTCAGATCTCAAACTCCATGCTGGGAGAACTACTACTGTCTTCCAAACTGTCAGAGAGGGACATTTAAGTATGCAGAGGGATATAATCTCCTGGTGTGCCATTTACTAAGACCATTGGAAAAGCGCAGTATTAGGGTGGGAGTGACCTGATTTTCCAGGTGCTGTCTGTCACCGCTTCCCTTGGCTAGGAAAGGGAATCCCCTGACCCCTTGCACTTCCCGGGTGAGGCGATGCCTCGCCCTCCTTTGGCTCTCACTCTGTGGGCTGCACCCACTGTCTGACAAGCCCCAGTGAGATGAACCTGGTACCTCAGTTGGAAATGCAGAAATCATCCATCTTCTGTGTCACTCACGTTGGGAGCTGTAGACTGGAGCTATTCCTATTCAGCCATCTTGGAACTGCCCCAGGACTCCAGTTATTATTTTATTAAACAATTCATTTTCATTTGCTCTTTTTGTTTTGGAACTCCCATAATTCAAATATTTGGCCATTTTATGGTGTCTGATTTTTCAAATAGGATTTCTTCATTATTTTTATTATTTTTTATTTTTTGTTTGATAGGGTTATTTGAAAAGATCTGTTATGTTCAGAAATTATTTCTTCTGCATGACCTAGTCTACTGTGAAAGCCCTCAATTGTATTTTTTATTTCTTTCTTTGACTTCTTCACTTCCATGATTTCTCTTTGGTTTCTTTACATCTATCTCTTTGTGGAATTTCTCATTCAAATCCTGATTTGTTTTCCTTATTTCTTTGTGTAGTTTATCTGTTTTCTCTTATATCTCATTGAGTTTCTTTAATATTATTATTTTGAATTTCTTTCAGACATTTTATAAATGTTTTTTGGATCTTTTACTTGAGAGTTATTGTGCTCCTTTAGAAATGCCATGTTTCCTTGTTTTCTCATGTTTCTTATGTTCTTAAGTTGGTATCTGTGTATTTGGTGTGACAGTTGCTTCTCCTAGGTTTTTGGATTGGCTTTTGTAGGGAGAGGCTTTTTCCTGTAGATATAGCTGTAGTGTTAGTTGCATAGAGTACTTTGGTTTTGATCCAAGGTGGGCACAGTATTATAGGCCCCATAGGATTTCTCCTGCTGTAAACAGTGTGAGTGGTGTCTGTGAGCTCCTCAGTGGCTTAACAACTAGGGGCTGTGGCAATGCTTTGCTGTGGATGGAGACACTAGGCAGGCCAGTCCTTGCGTACCAGTAATGACAGTGGCAGGCAGAGTGGGCCTGTCCTTAGGTCCCTGAAGGTGTGCATGGGTGCCAGTGATGACCGGTGGGGCAGATCAATACCTAAGCCTCCAAATGGTACACTTGGGCCCCTTGAGAGTGGCAGTTGATGAGGAGAATATTTCCTCAGTTCACTAGACAACTTACGTGGGCACCAGTATTGGTGGTGGTGGGCAGGGTGGGCCTGTTCTTCATCCCCTGGATGGCACACATAGGCTTTGTTGGTGGTGGTCCAGGCCTCTGGACATGTGTGAGCACCAGCAGCAGCACCACGTGGGACAGGGCTGTCCTCAGGCTCCTCAATGTTGTTCATGGGCACCAGGGAAATGGGTGGGGCAAGTAAATCCCTAGGACCCTAGATGACATACATGATCACTGGTGTTGGTGGTGGCAGTTGGGGTGGGCCTCTCCTCAGGCCTCCTGTTGGTGTTTGTGGGTGCCAGTCATGGTAGGTGGAGTGGCTCATTTCCCAGGGCCCTGGATAACAACTTCACTTTTTTACATTGTATATGTCTTTATATTTAGAGTGGGTTCCTTATAGAGAACATATAATTGCATCTTTTTTCTGATCTTCATTTGACATTTTTAATTTTTTTATTGCTTTCTATTTTGACTTTTAGGTTCAGGGGTACATGTACAGGTTTGTTACATGGGTAGATTTTATGTCACTGAGGTTTGGCATATAAATGATCCCATCATCCATATAGTGAGCATAGTGCCCAATAAGTAGTTTTTCAGCCCATTCTGCTATCCCACCCTCCTCCATCTAGTAGTCCCCATTGCCTATTGTTGCCATTATTACATCCATGTGCACCCAATGTTTAGCTAACACTTATAAATGACCTCATGCAGAATTTGGTTTTCTTTACCTGCATTAATTTGCTTAGGATAATGGCTTTCAGCTGCATCCATGTTGCTGCAAAAGGTATCATTTTGTTCATTTTTTATGACTGTGTGGTATTCCATGGTGTGTATGCCCCACATTTTCCTTACACAATTCACGACTGATGGGCATCTAAGTTGATTCCATGTCTTTTCCATTGTGAATAGTGTTGTGATGAACATATGAATGCATGTGTCTTTTTGGTAGAATGATGCATTTTCCTTTGAGTATATACCCAGTAGTGGTATAGGTTCTTTCACACATCGTTTTTTTTTTCATTATACTTAAGTTCTGGAATACATGTGCAGAATGTGCAGGTTTGTTACATAGTTTTACATGCTTTCACACATCTTGAAAGTGCTTTCCATAGTGGCTGAACTAATTTACATTCTCACCAGCTGCATATTGTAGCAGGAGGAATCATAGACAAAATCCCTCAGACACTGGATTGTGGAAGGAAAGAGTTTTATTTAGAAGGGAGCATTGGCAGACTTACGTCCTAGAAACTATGCTCCTCGAATAAGTAATTTCTGTCCCTTTTAAGGGCTCACTACTCTAAAGTGGCTGTGTGTTGGGGGATCATGATCGATTGAGCAAGTGAGGGGTATGTGACTGGGGGCTGCAAGCACCAGTAATCAGAACGAAACAGAACAGAACAGGGAGTTTCATAATGCTTTTTCATACAATGTTTGGAATCTATAGATACCACAAGCGGTGAGGTCAGGGGTTGAATTTTAACTACCAGGCCCGAAATGTGGCACCTGGTTGTCTGACTATGGTTTTCACTTCTGCCTATTTTTTTTAACTTTTTCTTTTCCAGTAAACAAGAAATTAAGTATAAGACAATATGAGGAGTGGTCTCCTCACTCTCCCCCCCCTTTGAGAACCTCACTCTATAGTGGGAGTTCTTACTTTTATTTTTACTACCTATGTTTTCCTGCAAGACAGATCAATAGTGATTCATATAGTATACTTGTGCTGAAGGATTTTGGTGAACTAAGGTAGCAACAGAGCTTTTTATCATTTGAAGGAGTACAGGTAGCAAACAAGGTAGTAGTAGGCAGGTTTTTATTACTACTATAATTTTTATTATAAGAGTTTTAAATTCTCTTATTGCTGGGAACCGTTTTTCAAACATAGTCCCAGGATTGAATCCTTGCCACACTTGCATGGGCACATGTGCCAGCTTTGTTATGTCTCTAACTATGTCTTTGACTACTTGCCCTTAATCATCTATGTATAGGCAGCAATTAGTAAGGTTGAATTTTTTACAGACTCCTTCTTCAGCTGCCAGCAAGTCATCAAGAGCCAATTTATTTTGGTAGATAGCATTTTTTATCTGAGTTTTTTGTTGGGCCAGTAAAGTCAAGGGTTGGCCGATTTTATTAATGATGATTTTTAAGACAACTTGCATCCGTATGATTTGGTTGAGCATGTAAATGGGGGTCTGGTATCACCATGAGCCATCTTGTGTCCAAGTAGCAGGCCCCTAGTACTGTATAATTTTTAGGGGGTCATTTATTGTCTTTTAAATTACCTATGGCTATGTTTTTTCTTTCGCAGGAAGTGTAGACAGGGAAGCCTAGAAGTTCATCTCTTTTTATGGGCAGTAGGAAGAAAGATGATTTAGTAGTACCAATAACACAAGTGCCTGTCCATTGGTCAGGCAGCTTAGCATAGGCTCTATGCCCACATATCCAGTATACTCTAGTGGGAGCCGTCCAATCCCGATGGGATTCCAGGTGGGTCCACACGGTTGGCAACTTTGGAAATTTACCAAATGGATTTTTTTTTTTTAGTGTAGTTTGAACTCCACCAAATGGCTGTTTTGGTAGTACTATTATATAGCTTCTGTCCAAGACAGCTGAGACATTCTACAGGGTGGGTAATTTTTTTCTTTTTTAGCTATGTAATACTGCCCAATAATTGAGGCTTTTAGGACCCAGAAGTTGTCGAGATGATTCTTTTGAGCCAGGAATTCATTGGGAACTGGGTCTGTAGGCATTAATTCTCAGGATTCCCATGGGCACTGATCTCCCATCACAGTTCCTTTACAAACGTTACATGAAATGACATTAACAGACTGAGCTACATGCTTGGCTGATTGCAAAAACAAATTCCTAGTTTTTCCTGGAATTTCTGGTACCGGCACATTTAGTTCATCATAGAAAGTTTGAAATACTGGTTGGGGAGAGCGTTTTTGGACTTCTCCTTGTATTAAGATATGGACTCCAGGATCAAGACTGGTCCCATCAATTCCTAGGGTTACATATTTTCCTGTTTTTCAGCAGGGATCTGGTGGGTTAGTAATTATCAGTTCTAATGGGTTGTAATTTCGACTAGTGCAAGAAGAGTTACTTTTTCCTTTCTGGAGACTGACAGGGTCTTTGTCATTTTTTTTCCAAGTAGCCCAAATGACGTAAGATCAGTAGAAGCAACATCCACAATTTTTTAGTTCATGACATATATACTTATTTTCTGAAGTATAGCTTTTTTTTTTTTTCCAATTGAGGGATCCACATCCACATTCTTAGCCTATTGTTAGTAATGACTGCACAAGCATCAAACTTTAAAATAATCTTTTTGGGAACTTCTCTTTTTTCACTTTAGTTAGTACTTTACTTGTATCTCTTAGGAAGGGACCAGTTCTTAACCTTATTTTAAAAACTGTGGTCTTGGGAGGCTCAGAGGGGTTATAGCACACTTCTGGCTGTTCATTTCCTGGGCTACACAATTTGTACTCAGTGTTGTTATGCAAACATGTTCCTTTTAAGGTTCCCAAGCATTTATAATAACTATAGAACAGAAAGATAGTTTTAGTTTTTTGCCCTACCTCTGTAACTTGATGGAGGCACTGGGAGCAATTTTCCATTTGAGGAAAATCAATTGAGGATTTTATTATACAAGTCCAAATTTTTAGAAAAATGAGTCCCACGATGAGTTTCCTCATGCTTCAGCCATACGTAGACAAGTCAGCTTCTGGGTGTGACTGGAGCAGGTCTTGTCGTCCTCCTCAGAGTTACTTTGCAGGGATTGTTCAGGCTCGGTTTTGTCTCCCAGGTCTCAGCGGCCACAGGTTTTACACGGCTCTGATGGATCTAAGCTGGGATTCCCTCTACCTTTACGGCAGTAGGAGTGGTTAGGATGATGGTCTGGGGTCCCTTACACCACGGCTGTAAAGGGGCTATATTCCAGTCCTTGATCCACACACGATCACCTGGAGAGAAAGGGTGAACTGGGGAGAATAAGCTGATGGGGCACTTTTTATTTACCCTGCTGAAATTGTCTATGTAACTTTTTCTAAGGCCCATAGCTGTCACTGTAACTTAATTTCACCTAACTCTCGGAGTGGGGAGGGGGGTGCCTGGGAGTCCCTGGGGTATGGGAGGAGGCCTATGATATAATATTTTATAAGGAGAATATCCTGTTTTCTTTGAAGGGGTGTATTTAATTTTGAACAGTACCAAGGGGAGGGCCTGTATCCACTTTAATCCTGTTTTCTGACATATTTTTTCTGAACTATTTTTGATAGTCCGACGTATTTGCTTCACCTTTCTGAAACTCTGTGGTCAGTAGGTGGCATGCAGTTTCCATGTGATCCCCAATATCTTTGCTGTTTTCTGCACCAAGTCAGCCACAAACGCCGGCCCATTGTCCAAGCCGATCCATAAGGGTAGTCCAAACCTAGGAATGAGATCTCGAAGGAGCACATGGGTTACTTCACGAGCCTTTTTAGTTTGTGTTGGATAAGCTTTTACCTACCCAGAGTAAGTACACACAAGGACCAACAAATACTTTTTACCTCCACATTTGGGCATTTCTGTGAAGTCTACCTGAAGATCTTCGAAGGGGGCATCTCCATAGGCTTGTGTGCCAGGCAGAACAGTGGGGCTTTGCCTCGCATTATGTTGTCAGCAGGAAACACACAGTTGCGTTACCACTTTGGCAAGGTCTGGCAAGTGTGAGATGTAGAAGTACCAGCCTAACAACTTTTCAAGCGACTCTTGACCTAAATGAGTGGTGTCATGAACAGCCAGCACAACTGCAGCTCCCAGCATCTGTGGCACAGCCACCTTCCCATCTGGTAACCTGATCCATCCCTCTTTTATTTTTAGTCGCCCTTCTGCATGGAAAAAGGCTTTTTCTCCCCTGGAATAAGTAGAAACTAGGTCAGGTACTTGAGGGAGTAAGAGGGCTGTAATTGATGCCCGGTAAAGAGTGGATGCTGCTTTCTTAGTCTTTGAGTCAGCTTGGGAATTTCCTAAAGTGACCGTGTTGGAGGATCGCTGGTGTCCTCTGCAGTGTATGACTGTCACCCTCTGGGGTTTTTATGCTGTCTCTAATAGTTGTAAAATTTCTTGTTGATACTCTATGCCCTTTTCCTCAGAGTTTAATAAACCATTTTCTTTGTAGAGTGCTCCATGCACTTGGAGGGTTAGGAAGGTGTATCGTGAGTCAGTGTAAATGTTCACAGTGTTATCTTTACTGAGCTCTAAAGCTCAGATTAGAGCAATGAGCTCAGCTTTTTGGGCTGAGGTGCCTTGAGGCAGAGGCCTGGCTTCAATGACCGTGTCCAGGGTTACCAGTGCATACGCTGCTTGCCTTTTTTCTTGTGGGTTTATGTAGCTGTTCCTGTTCACATATAACTCCCAGTCTGCCAATGTCCACGGCTGGTCCTGGAGATCAGGTCTGCTAGAATAAACCGAGTCTAACACTTTTATACAGTTATGCTCAACAGAGCTTTCTGGTGCTGGGATCAAGGTGGCTGGATTCAGGGTGTTACAAACTTTAATGGTTATGTGGGGATTTTCACAGAGCAAGCTTCGGTACTTAGTCAATCTTGCATTTGTTAGCCAGTGATGTCCCTTGGTGTTTATTAAGGTTACTACAGTATGAGGGGCCTTTATGTTCAGGTTTTGTCCTAGTGTTAGTTTATCTGCCTCTCGTGCTAACACAGCAGTTGCTGCCAAGGCCCATAGACATGGCGGCCAGCCTTTGGAAACCCCACCTAGTTGTTTTAAGGGATAGGCCACTGGCCTTGGCCAGGGCCCTACAGTCTGAGCTAATTTTCTGCCATTTTCTTTTTTTCGATACATACAGTGTGAAAGGTTTTGTTAGATCAGGTAGCCCTAATGCTGGGGCCGACAAAAACTTTTTATTTAACTTATGGAAGGCTTGCTGCTGCTGTGTCCCCCATTCAAAAGTCTCTGTGTCCCCCCGCTTTGTAACTTGGTATAGAGGTTTGGCCAGTACTGCAAAGTTGGAGATCCATAGTGTGCAGAACCCTATAGCCCCCAAGAATTCCCTTACCTGTCTTCTAGTTTGGGGCTCTGGTAGGCTGCAGATAACCTGCTTTCTTTCTGGCCCTAGGCTGTGCTCCCCCTGTCAAATAGTGAAACCCAGGTAGCATACCTGCTGTCTGCAGATCTGGGCCTTCTTCTTGGACACCTTATACCCACAGTCCTCCAGGTGCTGAAGCAGGGCATCCATTTATTTTGTGCACCTGGCTGCCATGGGGTGTCCCAGCAGAAGGTCCCCAACATACTGGAGCTAGACGTAGCCTAGGTCTTTAGCAGGAAGCTTTTGATGGTCTCGAGCCAATGCTTTCCTGAAGATTGTGGGGGAGTTCTTGAATCCCTGGGGAAGCCAGTCCAAGTGTACTGAGTAATGACACCTGACCCCAGATCTTCCCATTGAAAGGCAAACAACTTCTGGCTCTCAGGAGCTAGTCAGATGCCAAAAAGGCATCTTTTAAGTCCAGGCAGGTAAACCAGCTGTCCTCAGCTGGCAGCAACCCTACCAATGTGTAAAGGTTAGGAACTGCTGGATGCAGAGTCACTGTGGCTTGTTTGACCAAGCACATGTTCTGTACTGGCCGGTAATTCTTAATCCCTGGCTTAGGACAGGCAGGAGGAGGGTGTTCCATGGAGACTGACAAGGCACTATAATTTTAAAAGTCTTTAGGCACTTGAGATGGACCTGGATACCTTCCAGAGCTTTTCTAGGGACTGGATACTGCTTCTGTCTGACTGGATGGGCCCCTGGCTTAACTTCTATGAATACTGGGGCTTGATTGATTGCCAGTCCGGGAGTATTGTTTTCTGCCCAGACTTTTGGCCACCGTTGAGCTAAAGCCAGCCCTATTTCCTTGCCTGGTTCAGTTAGAAAAAGCCTCCATTTTTCTTCTTGGGGGACAGTAAAGGGGATGTCAACTCCTGTTTCCGGCAACTCTAGCTGTAAAGAACTCCTCTTTGTAAAGGAAATAGTGGTTGTTAGCTTACTAAACAAGTCTCTTCTCAGCAAAGGCAAGGGGCAATCAGGCATATACAGAAACTGGTTAATTATTTTATGTCCTCCCACTGAGCAGGTTCGCAGCAGACAGAAAGCCTGCTTGGTGGAGACTCCTGTTGCTCCAAAGATATCAATAGTTTTCTTGGATAAAGGGGCGACCAGGATGGTTACCACTGAGTGCTCAGTATCGACCAGAAACTTAATATCCTTGCCCCCCACTGTCATTCTGACCATGGACTCCTTGGGGGCATTTGAGCCCGGTCCCCTTAAGTCCAGCAACCCTTCAGCTAAATTGAACAAGGCTCCTTCATCCTTATCTGAGGCTTTTTGCTCCAAACCTCCTTGCTTTTTTGTTTTTTTAACTGGGGGCACTTATCTTTCCAATGCCCTATTTTCTTTTCTTTTTTTTTACATTTATTGGTATCTTTTTTTTTCTTTTTTTTTTTTTATTATACTTTAAGTTTTAGGGTACATGTGCACATTGTGCAGGTTAGTTACATATGTATACATGTGCCATGCTGGTGCGCTGCACCCACTAACTCGTCATCTAGCATTAGGTATATCTCCCAGTGCTATCCCTCCCCCCTCCCCCCACCCCACCACAGTCCCCAGAGTGTGATATTCCCCTTCCTGTGTCCATGTGATCTCATTGTTCAATTCCCACCTATGAGTGAGAATATGCGGTGTTTGGTTTCAATAGGCACACTGGTTACGTTTTAACTGTGGGCGGTTGGGCTGGGTGTTTTTCCCAGAATCCCCCTTTTCCTGCCTTTTTGGCGGGATTCCTCTAATAGCAAGTTGGTGTTTCACCGGGACTGGCAATTGCCTTCTTTACGGCTTCTCCTGCAGCTGGTTGCATCTCTGTTCACAAACACTTGATTAGCTATTTCCAGTAACTGTGATGTATTCATATCCACAAATCCAGCTTGTTTCTGTAATTTTCTCCTAATATCTTCTGCACTTTGGGTAACTAGGGCTTTGTTAATCATGCGCTGATTTTCAGGGCTGGCTGGGTCAAAGGGGGTGTACATACGGTAAGTCTCACACAGTCTCTCATAGAATTGTCCCAGACTTTTCTCTTTTCCTTGGATACCTTTAGAAACTTTATTCACGTTTATAGCCTTTTGAGCCCCTTTCTTTAGGCCTTCTAATAATGCCACTCTGTACCACTTTAACCTTTCCATATCTGGCCCATCATTCATGTCCCACTGGGGGTCTGTTCCTGGAAGCTGAATTTTTACATATTTTTGAGGGTTTTGGAAATCGGCTGGTACATGTTTTTCCAGCCACTTGGTTGCTGCCTGGAGTACCCTTCACCTCTCATCAGTATTAAAGAGGTACAGGAGCAGCTGGTGACAATCAGCCCAAGTGGGATTGTGAGTCTGTATAATGATTTGGAGCAGATCAATTAAGGCCTGGGGTTTCTCAGTATAAGAGGGTGTATTGTTTTTCCAAGTTGGGAGATTGGCAGAAGTGAAAGGCTGATACACAAAGGCACGTCTTTCCACCTTGTGCCTGTCCTCATCTACCCCAGTATATTGCTGCTCCCTCAGGGGTATTTGGATTCCAGTCTTAGGTCATAAGCGGGCTGCCAAGGGAGGAGTTTCTCCTGTAGCTTCTCTTTCCTTTTTGTCTACTCTGGGTGGTCTAGGGGTGTGGATGTCTTGCGAGGGTGTAGGTGCTGTGGGCTCAAGAGTGGGGAGTCTTTCTCCTTGGTAAGGGGGGACTGTCAGTGCCATGTCCTGCCAGGAGTCATCAGGCATTGGATCAGATAGGACTTTATGTACCGACTTCCCTTTGCAGGTGGAGTGAGAACCTTCCTTAACTGACCATCCCTTTGCTACTAGTACTGCTGCCACCTGCCCTCTTAACCACTGAGGGGGGTCCAAAACTAGCTGTAACTAGGAATCTATATAGGGGAACTGGTCTGGGTGACCTGGCTTACAGGTTACCTTGTGCCATACCTTCGAGTTAAGGGACCTGTCCAGGCTTCCTTCTGATGGCCAATTCACCTCTAAGGCTGGCCAGTCTATCTCACACAAACTTTTAAATTTCCCTAGTGTCATAGTGACTCTACAATCTCCTTTAAATCCCTTTTTGAAATTCTTTAGCATAGTTCCTAATGGAGTGGGCTTACTTTGTGCCTGACCCATGTTTTTTTTCTCACACTCTCACCACACACACACACCTCACACAAAAAGAACAAGAAAGAGGGTACACACACACAACTAATAATTAAAACCAAAATCTGAGTATCAAGAAATCTGAGCCAAGTCAAAACCAAAACCAGAACCAAATACCAAGCAATTTAAGTTAAAACCAAAACCAAAGTACTGACATGGGCACATCATGGGTGATCAGGCCACACTTGCACTCAAATGGAGTGGGCAAATTCCAGAGACTAGTCTTACCAAGTTTCAGACGTCTGGACCCCACGTGCCAGTTCCTTCCTGGTGTTCAGTCACTGCATGTTTCCTCTGTGGGGGCCTGCCACATGCTGCTCTGGTGAGGCATTCCACTGGGGTAATTGCCTACCCAGGAGCACTCTGGGTCTGCATCGCTCAGGCTGGTCAGTGTCCCCCACAGGAATTTTCCACAGGACAGGCCAAAGCCAACTAAGGGGCTGCCTCAACCCTCTGCCAATTACCTCACTTCCCAGTCAGGGAACCAAGAAACGTAGCAGCAAGAGTCATAGACAAAATCCCTCAGACACCAGATTGTGGAAATAAACAGCTTTATTCAGCTGGGAGCATTGGCAGACTCACATCATATAAACCGAGCTCCCCAAATAAGTAATTCTTGTCCCTTTTAAGGGCTCACAACTCTAAAGGGGCTGTGTGAGGGGGAGGTCGTGATTGAATGAGCAAGCGAGGGGTATGTGACTGGGGGCTGCATGCACCAGTAATCAGAATGAAACAGAACAGAACAGGGAGTTTCATAATGCTTTTTCATACAATGTCTCGAATCTATAGATACCACAAGTGGTGAGGTCAGGGGTTGAATTTTAACTACCAGGCCCAAAATGTGGCACTTGGTTGTCTGACTATGATTTTCACTTCTGCCTATTTTTTAAACTTTTACTTTTTCAGTAAACAAAAAATTAAGTATAAGACAATATGAGGAGTGATCTCCTCTCTCAATATAAGCATTTCCTTTTCCCTGTAACCTCACCAACACCTGTTATTTTTTGACTTTTTAACAATAGCCCCCCTGACTGGTATGAGACAGTATCTCATTGTTGTTTTGATTTGCATTTCTCTAGTGATTAGTAATGTTGAACATTTTTCCATATATTTGTTGTTCACATGTATGTCTTCTTTTGAAAAGTGTCTGTTCATATTACCTGCCAATTTTCTAATGTGGTGTTTGGTTTTTGCTTGTTGAATTGGTTAAGTTGCTCATAGATTCTGGATGTTACACATTTGTCAGATGCATAGTGTGTGAATATTTTCTCCCATCCTATAGGTTGTATGTTTACTTTGTTGATCATGTGTGCCCAATGCTTAGCTCCCTCTTGCAGGTGAGAACATGTGGTATTTGGTACTCTGTTCGTGCATTAGTTTGCTTAGGATAATGGCCTCCAGCTCTATCTATGTTACTGCAAATGACATGATTTCATTTATTTTTATTGCTGTGTAGTATTCCGTGGTGTATGTGTACCATAAGTATTTTTTAAATCCAGTCTACCACTGATGGACTGTTAGGTTGATTCCATGTGTTTGTTATTGTGAATAGTGCTGCAATGAACATATGCATATATGTGTCCTTATGGTAGAATGGTTTGTATTCCTTTGGGTATAAACCCAATAAGAGGATTGCTGGGTCAAATGGGAATTGTGTTTTAAGTTTTCTGAGAAATCACCACACTCTTTTCACAATGGCTGAACAAATTTACATTACCACCAGCAGTGTATAAGCACTCTCTTTTCTCAGCAACCTTGCTGGCATCTGTTATTTTTTGAATTTTTAATAATATCTATCTTGACTAGTTTGAGACGGTATGTCATTGTCATTTTGATTTGCATTTCCTTAAAGATTAATGATATTCAGCATTATTTTCATAGGCTTTTTGGCCACATGTATGCCTTCTTTTAAAAAGTGTCTGTTGGAAAGTTGACAAGGATATCCAGGAATTGAACCCAGCTGTGCACCAAGCAGACCTAATAGACATCTACAGAACTCTCCACCCCAAATCAACAGAATATACATTCGTTTCAGCACCACACCACTCCTATTCCAAAACTGACCACATAGTTGGAAGTAAAGCATTCCTCAGCAAATGTAAAAGAACAGAAATTATAACAAACTGTCTCGCAGACCACAGTGCAATCAAACTAAAACTCAGGATTAAGAAACTTACTCAAAACTGCACAACTACATGGAAACTGAACAACCTGCTCTGGAATTACTACTGGGTACATAATAAAATGAAGGCAGAAATAAAGATGTTCTTTGAACCCAATGAGAACAAAGACACAACATACCACAATCTCTGGGAAACATTTAAAGCAGTGTGTAGAGGGAAATTTATAGCACTAAATGCCCACAAGAGAAAGCAGGAAAGATTGAAAATTGACACCATAACATCACAATTAAAAGAACTAGAGAAGCAAGAACAAACACATTCAAAAGCTGGCAGAAAGCAAGAAATAACTAAGATCAGAGCAGAAGTGGAGGAGATAGAGACACAAAAAATCCTTCAAAAAATCAATGAATCCAGGAGCTGGTTTTTTGAAAAGATCAACAAAATTGATAGACGGCTACCAAGACTAATAAAGAAGAAAAGAAAGAAGAATCAAATAGACATGATAAAAAATGACAAAGGGGATATCACCACTGATCCCACAGAAATACAAACTACCATCAGAGAATACTATAAACACCTCTATGCAAATAAACTAGAAAATCTAGAAGAAATGGATAAATTCCTCGACACATACACCCTCCCAAGACTAAACCAGGAAGAAGCTGAATCTCTGAATAGACCAATAACAGGCTCTGAAGTTGAGGCAATAATTAATAGCTTACCAACCAAAAAGAGTCCAGGACCAGATGGATTCACAGCCGAATTCTACCAGAGGTACAAGGAGGAGCTGCTACCATTCCTTCTGAAACTATTCCAATTGATAGAAAAACAGGCAGTCCTCCCTAACTCATTTTATGAGGCCAGCATTATCCTGATACCAAAGCCTGACAGAGATACAACAAAAAAAGAGAATTTTAGACCAATATCCTTGATGAACATTGATGCAAAAATCCTCAATAAAATACTGGCAAACCGAATCCAGCAGCACATCAAAAAGCTTATCCACCATGATCAAGTGAGCTTCATCCCTGGTATGCAAGGCTGGTTCAACATACACAAATCAATAAACGTAATCCAGCATATAAACAGAACCAAGAACCAAAACCACATGATTATTTCCATAGATGCAGAAAAGGCCTTTGACAAAATTCAACAACCCTTCATGCTAAAAACTCTCAATAAATTAGGTATTGATGGGAAGTATCTCAAAATAATAAGAGCTATTTATGACAAACCCACAGCCAATATCATACTGAATGGACAAAAACGGGAAGCATTCCCTTTGAAAACTGGCACAAGACAGGGATGCCCTCTCTCACCACTCCTATTCAACGTAGTGTTGGAAGTTCTGGCCAGGGCAATCAGGCAGGAGAAGGAAATAAAGGGCATTCAATTAGGAAAAGAGGAAGTCAAGTTGTGCCTGTGTGCAGATGACATGATTGTGTATCTAGAAAACCCCATCGTCTCAGCCCAAAATCTCCTTAAACTGATAAGCAACTTCAGCAAAGTCTCAGGATACAAAATCAATGTGCAAAAATCACAAGCATTGTTATACACCAATAACAGACAAACAGAGAGCCAAATCATGAGTGCACTCGCATTTACAATTGCTTCAAAGAGGATAAAATACCTAGGAATCCAACTTACAGGGATGTGAAGGACCTCTTCAAGGAGAACTACAAACCACTGCTCAATGAAATCAAAGAGGATACAAACAAATGGAAGAACATTCCATGCTCATGGGTAGGAAGAATCAATATCATGAAAATGGCCATACTGCCCAAGGTAATTTATAGATTTAATGCCATCCCCATCAAGCTACCAATGACTTTCTTCACAGAATTGGAAAAAACTACTTTAAAGTTCTTATGGAACCAAAAAAGAGCCCACATTGCCAAGTCAATCCTAAGCCGAAAGAACAAAGCTGGAGGCATCACGCTACCTGACTTCAAACTATACTACAAACCTACAGTAAGCAAAACAGCATGGTACTGGTACCAAAACAGAGATATAGACCAATGGAACAGAACAGAGCCCTCAGAAATAATGCCACATATCTACAACTATCTGATCTTTAACAAATCTGACAAAAACAAGCAGTGGGGAAAGGATTCCCTATTTAATAAATGGTGCTGGGAAAACTGGCTAGCCATATGGAGAAAGCTGAAACTGGATCCCTTCCTTACACCTTATACAAAAATTAATTCAAGATGGATTAAGGACTTACATGTTAGACCTAAAACCATAAAATTTCTAGAAGAAAACCTAGGCAATACCATTCAACACATAGGCATGTGCAAGGACTTCATGTCTAAAACACCAAAAGCAATGGCAACAAAAGCCAAAATTGACAAATGGGATCTAGTTAAACTAAAGAGCTTCTGCACAGCAAAAGAAACTACCATCAGAGTGAAGAGGCAACCTACAGAATGGGAGAAAATTTTTGCTGCCTACTCATCTGACAAAGGGCTAATATCCAGAATCTACAGTGAACTCAAACAAATTTACAAGAAAAAAACAAACAACCCCATCAAAAAGTAGGTGAAGAATATGAACAGACGCTTCTCAAAAGAAGCCATTTATGCAGCCAAAAAACACATGAAAAAATGCTCATCATCACTGGCCATCAGAGAAATGCAAATGAAAACCACAATTAGATACCATCTCACACCAGTTAGAATGGTGATCATTAAAAAGTCAGGAAACAACAGGTGCTGGAGAGGATGTGGAGAAATAGGAACACTTTTACACTGTTGGTGCGACTGTAAACTAGTTCAACCATTGTGGAAGTCAGTGTGGCGATTCCTCAGGGATCTAGAACTAGAAATATCATTTGACCCAGCCATCCCATTACTGGGTATATACCCAAAGGATTATAAATCATGCTGCTATAAAGACACATGCACACGTATGTTTATTGTGGCACTATTCACAATAGCAAAGACTTGGAACCAACCCAAATGTCCAACAATGATAGACTGGATTAAGAAAATGTGGCACATATACACCATGGAATACTATGGAGCCATAAAAAAGGATGAGTTCATGTCTTTTATAGGGACATGGATGAAGCTGGAAACCATCATTCTCAGCAAACTATTGCAAGGACAAAAAGCCAAACACTGCATGTTCTCAGTCATAGGTGGGAATTGAACAGTGAGAACTCATGGACACAGGAAGGGGAACATCACACACTGGGGACTGTTATGGGGTGGCGGGAGGGGGGAGGGATAGAATTAGGTGATATAACTAATGCTAAATGACGAGTTAATGGGTGCAGCACACCAGCATGGCATGTGTATACATATGTCACAAACCTGCACGTTTTGCACATGTACCCTAAGACTTAAAGTATAACAGTAATAATAATAATAATAATAATAATAATAATAAAAGTGCCTGCTCATGTCCTTTGCTTAATGTTTTTTTAGGAGCAAAATTTAGATGAGATGTTTATTCTGGCCATATATATATATTTTTCTTTTTTTTTTCTTAATTTCTTCTAAAGAAAAAACTGGACACACATGCAAAACGTGCAGGTTTGTTACATAGGTATACATATGCCATGGTGGTTTGCTACACCTATTGACCCGTCCTCTAAGTTCTGTCCCCTCACCCTCCACCTCCCAACAGACCGTGGTGTGTGTTGTTCCCGTTTCTCTGTTCATGAGTTCTCAATGTTCAACTCCCAGTTATGAGTGAGACCATGCGCTGTTTAGTTTCCTGTTCCTGTGTTAGCTTCCTGAGGATGATGATTTCCAGCTTAATCTATGTCCCTGCAAAGGACATAATCTCATTCTTTTTCTTTCTCATACTATCACTGCATAGTATTCCATGGTGTATATGTACCGCATTTTTTGAAAATCCAGTCTATTATTGGTGGGCATTTGGGTTGGTTCCATGTCTTTGCTATTGTAAATAGTGCTGCAATAAACAAGTTTATTGGAATAAACATACGTTAATGGATTTGCTGGGTCGAATGTTATTTCTGGTTCTAGATCCTTGAGGAATTGCCACACAGTCTTCCACAATGGTTGAACTAATTTACATTCCCACCAACAGTGTAAAAATATTCCTATTTCTCCACAGTGTCACCAGCATCTATTGTTTCCTGACTTTTTAATAATCACCATTTTGACTGGTGTGAGATGGTAGCTCATTGTGGTTTTTATTTGCATTTCTCTGATGATCAGTGATGTTGAGCTTTTTTCATATATTTGTTGACCATCTAAATGTCTTCTTTTG
Organism: Homo sapiens; assembly: GCF_000001405.40. Taxonomy (NCBI): domain Eukaryota; kingdom Metazoa; phylum Chordata; class Mammalia; order Primates; family Hominidae; genus Homo; species Homo sapiens. The sequence goes on along the minus strand of NC_000023.11, from coordinate 77,288,165 downwards.
ATAAGTGTCTGTTCATATCCTTTGCCCACTTTTTGATGGGGTTGTTTGTTTTTTCCTTGTAAATATGTTTATGTTCCTTGTAAATTCTGGATATTAGACCTTTGTTAGATGGGTAGCTTGCAAAAATTTTCTCCCATTCTGTAGGTTGCATGTTCACTCTGATGATAGTTTCTTTTACTGTCCAGAAGCTCTTTAGTTTAGTTAGATCCCATTTGTCAACTTTGGCTTTTGTTGCCATCGCTTTTGGTGTTTTAGTCATGAAGTCTTTTCTCATGCCTATGTCCTGAATGGTATTGCCTAGGTTTTCTTTTAGGGTTTTATGGTTTTGGGGTGTATATTTAAGTCTTCAGTCCATCTTGAGTTAATTTTTGTATAAGATGTAAGGAAGGGGTCCAGTTTCAGTTTTCTGCATATGGCTAGCCAGTTTTACCAGCACCATTTGTTGAACAGGAGATCCTTCCCCATTGCTTGTTTTTGTCATGTTTGTCAAAGATCAGACGGTGTAGATGTGTGGTGTTATTTCTGAGGTCTCTATTTTATTCCATTGATCTATGTGTAGCCTTGTAATATAGTTTGAAGTCATGTAGCGTGATGCCTCCAGCTTTGTTCTTTTGGTGAGGATTGTCTTGGCTATACGAGATTTTCTTTGATCCATATGAAATTTAAATTTTTCTTTGATCCATATGAAATTTAAATTTTTTCTAATTCTGTGAAGAATGTCAATGGTAGTTTGATGGGAATAGCATTGAATCTATGAATTACTTTGGGCAGTATGGCTATTTTCATGACATTGATTTTTCCTGTCGATGAGGATGGAATGTTTTTCCATTTGTTTGTCTCCTATTTCCTTGAGCAGTAGTTTGTTGTTCTTGAAGAAGTCCTTCACATCATTTGTTAGCTGTATTCCTAGGCATTTTATTCTTTTTATAGTAATTGTGAATGGGAGTTCATTCATGATTTGGTTCTCTGCTTGCCTATTGTTGTTGTAAAAGTATGCTTGTGATTTTTGCACATTAATTTTGTATGCTGAGATTTTGCTGAAGTTTCTTATTAGCTTAAGAAGTTTTTGGGCTGAGATGATGGTGTTTTCTAAATATACAATCATGTCATCTGCAAACAGAGACAATTTGACTTCCTTTTTTCTATGTGAATACCCTTTATTTCTTTCTCTTGCCTGACTGCCCAGGCCAGAACTTCCAATACTGTGTTGAATAGGAGTGGTGAAGGAGGGTATCCTTGTCATGTGCCGGTTCCCATAGGGAATGCTTCCAGCTTTTGTTCATTCAATATGATATTGGCTGTGGGTTTGTCATAAATAGCTCTTATTATTTTGAGGTATGTTCCAAGAATAGCTAGTTTATTGAGAGTTTTTAATAAAGGGATGTTGAATTTTATCAAAGGTTTTTTCTGCATCTATTGAGATAATCATGTGGTTTTTGTCTTTGGTTCTGTTTACGTGATGGATTATGTTTGTTGATTTGCATATGTTGAACCAGTCTTGCATCATAGGGATGAAGATGACTTGATCGTGGTGGATAAGCTTTTGATGTGCTGCTGGATTCAGTTTGCTAGTATTTTATTGAGAATTTTTGAATCGATGTTCATCTGGGATATTGGCCTGAAATTTTTTTGTTGTGTCTGTCAGGTTTTGGTATCAGGGTAATGCTGGCCTCATAGAATGAGTTAGGGAGGAGTACCTCTTTTTCTATGGTTTGGAATAGTTTCAAAAGAAATGGTGCCAGCTCCTCTCTGCACCTCTGGTATAATGTAGCTGTGAATCCTTCTTGTCCTGGACTTCTTTTGGTTGGTAGGCTATTAATTACTGCCTCACTTTCAGAACTTGTTATTAGTCTATTCAGGGATTTGACTTCTTCCTGGTTTTGTCTTGGGGGGATATATGTGTCCAGGAATTTATCCATTTATTCTAGGTTTTCTAGTTTATTTGCATAGAGGTGTTTATAGTATTCTCTGATGGTAGTTTGTATTTCTATGTGATCAGTGACGATATCCCCTTTATCATTTTTTATTATGTCTATTTGATTCTTCTCTCTTCTTCATTATTCTGGCTAGTGGTCTATTTTGTTGATCATTAAAAAAACAGCTCCTTAATTCATTAATTTTTTGAAGAGTTTTTCATGTCTCTATCTCCTTGTGTTCTTCTCTGATCTTAGTTATTTCCTGTCTTCTGGTAACTTTTGAATTTGTTTTCTACTGCTTCTCTAGTTCTTTTAATTTTGATGTTAGGGTGTCGATTTTAGATCTTTCCTGCTTTCTGATGTGCACATTTAGTGCAATAAGTTTCCATCTAAACACTGCTTTAAATGTGTCCCAGAGATTTTGGTACGTTTTGTCTTTGTTCTCATTGGTTTCAAAGAACATCTTTATTTATGCCTTAATTTAGGAACTTACCCAGTGGTAATTCAGGAGCAGGGTGTTCAGTTTTCATGTAGTTGTTCGGTTTTCAGTGAGTTTCTTAATTTTGTGTTCTAATTTGATGGCACTGTGGTCTGAGAGACTGTTATGATTTCCATTCTTTTACATTTGCTGAGGAGTGTTTTACTTTCAACTATGTGGTCAATTTTAGAATAAGTGTGATGAGGTGCTGAGACGAATATATATTTTTTTAATTTGGAGGTGGAGAGTTTTGTAGATGTCTATTAAGTCGACTTGGTCCAGAGCTGAGTTCAAGTCCTAAGTATCTTTGTTAATTTTCTGTCTTGCTATCTGTCTAATATTGACTGTGACATGTTAAAGTCTCCCATTATTATTATGCAGGAGTCTACATCTCTTTTTAGGTCTCTAAGAACTTGTTTTATGAATCTGGGTGCTCCTGTCTTGGGTGCATATATATGTATATATAGGATAGCTCTCATATATTTAGCTCTTTCTGTTGCATTTATCCCTTTACCATTATATAATGCCCTTCTTTGTGTCTTTTGATCTTTGTTGTTTTAAAGTCTTTTTTAGCAGAGACTAAAATTGCAACCCCTGCTGTTTTTGGCTTTCCATTTGCTTGGTAAATATTCCTCCATCCCTTTGTTTTGAGCATATGTGTGCCTTTGCACGTGAGATGGTTCTCCTGAATATAGCACACCAATGGGTCTTGACTCTTTATCCAATTTGCCAGTCTGCGTCTTTCAACTGGGGCATTTACCCTGTTTACCTTGAAGGTTAATATTGTTATGTGTGAATTTGATCCTGTCATTATGATGCTAGCTGGTTATTTTGCTCATTAGTTGATGCAGTTTCTTGATAGTATTGATGGTCTTCACAATTTGTTATGTTTTTGCAGTGGCCAGTACTGGTGTTTTTCTTCCATGTTTAGTGCTTCCTTCAGGGGCTCTTGTAAGGCTGGTCTGGTAGACGACAAAATGTTTCATCAGTTGCTTGTCTGTAAAGGATTTTATTTCTCCTTCGCTTGTGAAACTTAGTTTCAGTGGATATAAAATTCTGTGTTGAAAATTTTTTCTTTAAGAATGTTGAATATTGTCCCTCACTCTCTTCTGGCTTGTCAGGTTTCTGCAGAGAGATCCACTGTTAGTCTGATGGGCTTCTCTTTGTGGGTAACCTGATCTTTCTCTTTGGCTGCCCTTAACATTTTTTTTTTCAGTTTAACCTTGGTTAATCTGATGATTATGTGTCTTGGGGATGCCCTTCTCTAGGATTATCTTTGTGGTGTTCTCCATATTTCCTGAATTTGAATGTTGGTTGGTCTTACTAGGTTGAGGAAGTTCCCCTGGATAATATCCTGAAGAGTGTTTTCAAACTTGGTTCCATTCTCCCCATCACTTTCAGGTACACCAATGAAACGTGGATTTGGTCTTTTCACAGAATCCCATATTTTTTGGAGGCTTTCTTCATTTCTTTTCATTCCTTTTTCTCTAATCTTGTTTTCTCACTTTATTTCATTAAGTTGATCTTCAATCTCTGATATCTTTTCTTCTGCTTGATTGATTTGGTTATTGATAGTTGTATATTCTTCACAAAGTTCTTGTGCTGTGGTTTTCAGCTCCATCAGGTCATTTATCTTCTTCTCTAAACTGGTTACTCTAGTTAGCAATTCGTCTAACCTTTTCTCAAGGTTCTTAGCTTCTTTGCACTGAGTTAGATCATGCTCTCATGCTCCTTGAGCTTGGAGGAGTTTGTTACTACCCACCTTCTGAAGCCTACTTCTGTCAATTCGTCAAACTCATTCTCCATCCAGTTTTGTTCCCTTGCTGGCGAGGAGTTGGGATCCTTTGAAGGAGAAGATGCGTTCTGATTTTTGGAATTTTCAACTTTTTGCACTGGTTTCTCCCCGTCTTCCTGGATTTATCTGCCTTTGGTGTTTGATGTTGCTGACCTTTGGATGGGGCCTCTGAGTGGCTGTCCTTTTTATTGATGTTGTTGCCATCCCTTTCTGTTTCTTAGTTTTCCTTCCAATAGTCAGGCCCCTCTCCTTCAGGTCTGTTGGAATTTGCTGGAGATTTACTTTAGACAGTTTCCCTGAGTATCAGAAGCGGAGGCTGCAGAGCAGCAAAGATTGCTGCCTGTTTTTTCCCTTGGATGCTTCATCCCAGAGGGGCACCCACCAGATGCCAGCCAGAGCTCCCCTGAATGAGGTGTCTTTCAGGCCCTACTGGTAGTTCTCTCCCATTCAGGATACACGGGAGTCAGGGACCCACTTGAGCAGGCAGTCTGACCCTTAGCAGAGTTTGAAAGCTGTGCTGGGACATCTGCTCCTCTCTTCAGAGCTGTCAGGCAGGGACATTTATGTCTGTTGAAACTGCGCCCACAGCTGCCCCTTCCCCCAGGTGCTCTGTCCCAGAGAGATAGGGTTTTATCTGTAAGCCCCTGACTGGGGCTCCTGCCTTTCTTTCAGAGATGCCCTGTCCAGAGAGGAGGAATCTAGAAAGGCAATCTGGCCACAGTGGCTTTGCTAAGCTGTGGTGTGCTTCAACCAGTTTGAACTTCCCAGCAGCTTTCTTTACACCGTAAGGGGAAAACCACCCACTCTAGCCTCAGCAATGGCAGATGCCTCTCTTCCCACCAAGCTCAAGTGTCCCAGGTTCACCTCAGTCTGCTGTGCTGGCAGTGAGAATTTCAAGCCAGTGTATCTTAGATTGCTGTGCCCTGTGTGGGTGGGTCTTGCTGAGGCAGACCACTTGGATCCCTGGCTTCAGCCCTTTTTCCAGAGGCGTGAATGGTTCTATCTCGCTGGAGTTTCTTGTGCCACTGGGGTATGGAAAAAAGACTCATGGAGCTAGCTCAGTGTCTGACCAAACGGCCACCCAGTTTTTTGCTTGAAACCCAGGGCCCTGGTGATGTAGGCACCTTAGGGAATCTCCTGGTGTGCAGGTTGCAAAGACTCTGGGAAAAGCACAGTGTCTGGGCTGGAGTGCACCATTCCTCACTGCACAGTACCTCATGGCTTCCCTTGGGTAGTGGAGGGAATTCCCCTACCTCTTGTGCTTGCTGGGTGAGGTGATGTTCCACCCTGCTTTGGCTCACCCTCCATGGGCTGCACCCACTGTCCAATCAGTCCCAATGAGATGAGCTGTGTACTTCCTTTGGAAATGCAGAAATCACTCACCTTCTGCATTGATCTTGCTGGGAGCTGTCGACTGGAGCTGTTCCTTTTTGGCCATCTTTGTTCCTGGACTTTTTTGGTCTGGTAGGCTATTAATTACTGCTTCAGTTTTAGACCTTTTTATTGGTCTATTCAGGGATTTGACTTTTTCCTGGTTTAGCCTTGGTAGGGTGTACCCAACCAGGAATTTCTCCATTTCTTCTAGATTTTCTAGTTTATCTGCACAGAGGTGTTTGCAGTATTTGCTGCATGGTAGGTTGTATTTCTGTGAAGTGAGTGGTGATATTCCTTTTATTTTTTGGTTTTATATAAATTATAGTTTCTTTCTAATTCTGGGAATAATGTCATTGCTAATTTGATAGGAATGGCATTGAATCTGTAGATTTCTTTGGGAAGTGTATTAGTCTATTTTCACATTGCTATAAAGAATTGCCCAAGACTGGGTAATTTGTAAAGAAAAGAGGTTTAATTGACTCACAGTTCTAAAGGGCTGGAGAGGCCTCAGGAAACTTACAATCATGACAAAAGATGAAGCAGGCATGTCTTACATGGTGGCAGGTGAGAGAGAGAGAGAGCACACAGGGGAATCCACCACTTGTAAAACCAGATCTTGTGATAACTCACTCACTGTCATGAGAACAACATGGGGGGAACCACCCCCATGATCCGATCAACTCCCACCAGGTCTCTCTTCCAACATGTGGTGGAGTATAATTCAGATTACAATTAGAGATGAAATTTGGGTGGGGACAAAACCAAGCCATATTATTCTGCCCCTGGCCACTCCCAAATCTCATGTCTTTCTCACATTTCAAAACACAATCATGTCTTCTTCTCAACAGTCCCCCAAAGTTTTAGCTCATTCCAGCATTAACCCAAAAGTTTAAATTCAAAGTCCTATCTGAGACAATGCAAGTATCTTTTGCCTAGGAGTCTATAAAGTCAAAAATGAGTTAGTTACTTCCAAAATACAATACAGGTACAGACATTGGGTAAATTTTTCCATTTCAAATGGAATAAATTGGCCAAAGCAAAGGTGCCACAGGCCCCATGCAATCTGAAATCCAGCAGGGGAGTCAATCAACCTTAAAGCTCCAAAAAAACTCCTTTGACTTCATATCTCACATCCAGTGCATGCTGATGCAAATGGTGGGCTCCCAAGACTTTGGACAACTCTGTGGCTTTGCAGGGTTCAGCCCCTGTGGCTGCTCTAATGGTCTGGTGAGTGCCTGCAGCTTTTCCAGGTGCATGGTGAAAGTTATTGATGGATCTACCATTCTGGGGTCTGGAGAACGGTAGCCCTTTTCTCAGCGCTCCACTAGGCAGTACCCCAGTGTAGACTGTGTGGGGGCTTCAACCTCACATTTTCCTTTTGCACTGACCTAGCAGAGGTTCTCCATGAGGGCTCTGCCACTACAGCAGACTTCTGCCTGGACATCCAGGCTTTTCATACATTCTCTGAAATCTAAACAGAAGTTACCAAACCTCAGTTGTTGACTTCTGTGCACCTGCGGGCCCACTAGAGTTCTATCAACCTTATTTATTCTTTCAAATATCCAATTCAAGGATTTATTGATATTTCCTATGTTGTTTTACATTTCAAATTTATTCAGTTCAGCTCTGATTTTGGTTAATTCTCATTCTGCTACCTCTGGGATTGGTTTGCTCTTGTTTCTTGTTCTTCTAGGTGTGATGTTAGGTTGTAAATTTGAGATCTTTCTCACTTTTTGATGTGGGTGTTTAGTGCTGTAAACAATCCTCTTTGCACTGCTTTAGCTGTGTCCCAAAGATTCTGGTATGTTGTATCTTTTTTTCTCATTAGTTTCAATGAATTTATTGATTTCTGCTTTAATTTTGTTTTACCCCAAAATCGTTCAGGAGTAGGTTGTTTAATTTTTATGTCATTGTAAGATTTTGAGCAATTTCCTTAGTATTGATTTTTATTTTTATTAAACTGTAGTCCAAGATTGTGTTTGGCATAATTTCTGTTTCTTTCAAATTTGCTGAAGATTGTTTTATAGCTGATTGTGTGGTCAATTTTACAGTATGTGCCATGTGCTGATGAGATAAATGTACATCCCATTGTTTGGGGGTAAGAGTTCTGTAGATGTTTCTTAGCCCATTTGGTCAAATGCCATCCTCAAGTTCCTGATATCTTTGTTAGTTTAGTGCCTTGATGATCTATTGCAGTCAGTGGGGTGTTGATGCCCCCCCTATTATTGTATAGTTATCTAAATCTCTTCATAGGTCTCTAAGAATTTTTTTTTTGTAACTTTATTTATTTATTTATTTATTTTATTGATCATTCTTGGGTGTTTCTCGCAGAGGGGGATTTGGCAGGGTCATAGGACAATAGTGGAGGGAAGGTCAGCAGATAAACAAGTGAACAAAGGTCTCTGGTTTTCCTAGGCAGAGGACCCTGCGGCCTTCTGCAGTGTTTGTGTCCCTGGGTACTTGAGATTAGGGAGTGGTGATGACTCTTAAGGAGCATGCTGCCTTCAAGCATCTGTTTAACAAAGCACATCTTGCACCACCCTTAACCCATTTAACCCTGAGTGGACACAGCACATGTTTCAGAGAGCACAGGGTTGGGGGTAAGGTCACAGATCAACAGGATCCCAAGGCAGAAGAATTTTTCTTAGTACAGACCAAAATGAAAAGTCTCCCATGTCTACTTCTTTCTACACAGACACAGCAACCATCCGATTTCTCAATCTTTTCCCCACCTTTCCCCCCTTTCTATTCCACAAAACCGCCATTGTCGTCATGGCCCGTTCTCAATGAGCTGTTGGGTACACCTCCCAGACGGGGTGGTGGCCGGGCAGAGGGGCTCCTCACTTCCCAGTAGGGGTGGCCGGGCAGAGGCACCCCTCACCTCCCAGACGGGGTGGCTGGCCGGGTGGGGGGCTGACCCCCCCACCTCCCTCCCAGATGGGGCAGCTGGCCGGGCGGGGGGCTGACCACCCCCACCTCCCTCCCAGACAGGGCAGCTGGCCGGGCGGGGGGCTGACCCCCCCACCTCCCTCCCAGACGGGGCGGCTGGCCGGGCGGGGGGCTGACCCCCCCCACCTCCCTCCCGGACTGGGCAGCTGCCAGGCGGAGAAGCTCCTCACTTCCCAGACGGGGTGGCTGCCAGGCGGAGGGGCTCCTCACTTCTCAGACGGGGCAGCTGCCGGGCGGAGGGGCTCCTCACTTCTCAGACGGGGCAGTTGCCAGGCAGAGGGTCTCCTCACTTCTCAGACGGGGCATCCGGGCAGAGGCGCTCCTCACATCCCAGACGGGGTGGCGGGGCAGAGACCCTCCTCACTTCCTAGATGGGATGGCGGCCAGGAAGAGGCGCTCCTCACTTCCTAGATGGGATGGCGGCCGGGCAGAGACGCTCCTCACTTTCCAGACTGGGCAGCCAGGCAGAGGGGCTCCTCACATCCCAGACGATGGGCAGCCAGGCGGAGACGCTCCTCACTTCTCAAATGGGGTGGTGCCGGGCAGAGGCTGCAATCTCGGTACTTTGGGAGGCCAAGGCAGGCGGCTGGGAGGTGGAGGTTGTAGCGAGCCGAGATCACGCCACTGCACTCCAGCCTGGGCACCACTGAGCACTGAGTGAACGAGACTCCGTCTGCAATCCCGGCACCTCGGGAGGCCGAGGCTGGCGGATCACTCACGGTTAGGAGCTGGAGACCAGCCCGGCCAACACAGTGAAACCCCGTCTCCACCAAAAAAATATGAAAACCAGTCAGGCGTGGCGGCTTGCCTGCAATCGCAGGCACTCGGCAGGCTGAGGCAGGAGAATCAGGCAGGGAGGCTGCAGTGAGCCGAGATGGCAGCAGTACAGTCCAGCTTCGGCTCGGCATCAGAGGGAGACCGTGGAAAGAGAGGGAGAGGGAGACCGTGGGGAGAGGGAGACCGTGGGGAGAGGGAGAGGGAGAGGGAGAGGGAGAGGGAGAGGGAGAGGGAGAGGGAGAGGGAGAGGGAGAGGGAGAGCCTGGTCTCTAAGAATTTATTTTATGAATCTGGATGTTCCTGTGTTTGTGTTTGGTACACATATACTTAGAATAGTTATGCCTTCTTGATTAATTGAAACCTTTATCATTATGTAAAGCCCTTCTTTGTCTTTTTTCATCTTTTTTGGTTTCATGTCTGGTTTGTCTGAAACTATAACAGTGACCTTTGCTTTTTCTGTTTTCCATTTGCATGGTTGATTTTTCCCCATACTTTTACTTTAGGCCTATGGGTGTCATTGCATGTGAGATGGGTCTTTGGAAGACAGCATACAGTTGCCACTCTGTTCCATTTAATTGAGGCATATAGCTGGTTTATTTTCTAAGTTAGTATTGGTATTTGTGGGTTTGCTGCTGTCGTTTTGTTGTTAGCTGGTTATTATGTAGACTTGATTGTGTTATTGCTTTACTGTGTCAAAGGTCTATGTAGTTAAGTATGGTTTTGTGGTAGCTGGTAATGGTCTTTCCTGTCCATATTTAGCACTCCCTTCAGGACCTCTTGTAAGGCAGATCTTGTGGTAATACATTCCTTTAGCATTTGCGTTTCTAAAAATAATCTTATTTCTCCTTCACTTATGAAACTTAGTTTGACTGCATATGAAATTCTTAGTTGGAATTTCTTTGTTTTAAGAATGTTGAATATAGGTTTCCCAATTTCTTCTGACTTGTAGGGTTTCTGCTGAATGGTCCACTGTTAGCTTAATGGGATTCCCTTTGTAGGTGACCTGCCCCTTCTCTATAGCTGCCTTTAATATTTTTTCTTTCATTTTGACCTTGGAAAATCTGATGGCTCTGTGTCTCAGGGATGATCATGTTGTATTGTATCTTGTGGGGATTCCATGCATTTTCTGAATTTGAATGTTGACCTCTCTGGTGAGATTGAGAAAGTTTTTGTGGATAATATCCTCAAACACGTTTTCCAATTTGCTTGCTTTTTATCCTTCTCTTTCGGGGACACTAATGAGTCACAGATTTGGTGTCTTTACATAATCCCATATTTCTCAGAGATTTTCTTTATTCTTCTTTACTGTTTTTTTTCTTTATTTTTGTCTTACTGATTTATTTCAGAGAACCAGTTTTCAAGCTCTGAGATTCTTTCCTCAACTTAGTCAATTTGGCAGTTAATATTTGGGATTGTATCATGGAATTCTTGAAGTAAGTTTTTCAGCTTGATCAGATCTGTTTTGTTCCTTCTAAAAATTGCCATTTTGTCTTCTATCTCCTGAATCTTTTTTTTTTGCATTGGATTCCTTGGATTGGGCTTCAATTCTCTCCTGAATGTTGATGATCTTCATTTCTATCCATTTTCTAACTTCTATATCTGTCATTTCAGCCATTTCAGACTGGTTAAGAATCATTGCTGGGTAACTAGTGCAGTCATCTGAATGTAAGAAGAGAATCTGGCTTTTTGAGTTACCAGAGTCCTTGCACTGGTTCTTTGTTACCTGGATGGGCTGGTGTTCTTTTACTGTGATGTAACTTGAGTGTAGTCAATTGGCTTCATTTCTGCATGTTTTCTAAGGGCTGAGGCTTTGTGCAGGGTCTGTTTTTTTACCTGAATACTTGTCCTTGGTTTCACAGGGTGTATATTAGCAAAATATTTTTGGTGTTGCAGTTTGGGCTGTTAACCAGTAGGTGGTGGTTAAATGTAATGGCCAGTAGGAAGGCTCTTGCTTAACCACGTGTCTCCCCTGTATTTCTTTGCATTTGTAGCTGTGCTTCCTGACAGTGATCTGAGAGTGTAGGCTCCTTTGCCACTTGAGTGCTGGCTACAGATTTTAGCTTTGCACTCCCAGGCTGCACATCAGAGCCCTGGGGCAAGCTCAGATTTTGTCTTTCCTCCTCAACTTGAGAGCAGCAGACACAGGGACCTTGGCAGTAGCAATGACAGAAGGCCTTTTACTTGTCTCTTGGGGATCTGTCTTAGAGAAATGCAGAGTCACTGCCAACTGTAGTGATTGGCTCAGAATGAGGTGGCTGCACTGTGGGCCCAATGCAGAACCCTTTCCTGGTGACAAACAGCAGGGGCAGAGGCTCATTGGGAAGACAGACTGGCGTCTTCTTTTTAGGTGGCTCTGGTGTGCTGGAGGTGTGAGTAAAGCACTCAGATTTTTGTTTTTTTCCCCTAGTCTGAGAATAGCAAGGGCAATGATATTAATTGGCTGTGTGTTCCCACTCAAATTTCATCACAAATTGTAATTCCCACATGTCAAGGGAGGGTCCTGGAGGGAAATAATTTAATCGTGAGGATGGACTTCCCTCTTGCTGTTCTCATGACAGTGAGTGAGTTCTCATGAGATCTGATTGTTTGAAAGTGTGTGGCACTTCCCCTTTAGTTATCTCTCTTTCTTCTGTTCCACCATGGTAAGATGTGCTTGCTTCCCCTTCACCTTCCACCATGACTGTAAGTTTCCTGAAGCCTCCCAGTCATATTTCCTGTTAGGCCTGTGAGACTGTGAGTCAATTAGCCCTCTTTTGTTTATAGATTACCTAGTCTCAGGTAGTTCTTTATAGCAGTGTGAGCATGGACTAATACAGGTGGTACCCCTGGAGTGGCAGTGCCAGTGGCAAAGGGGCTTTCAGTTGTCTCTGGGAGATCCACCTTAGAGAAATGCAGAGCCTCTGCCAATAGGAATGTTCAGCAAGGGGGTGGAGTAACTACACTGTAGGCATGAGCCAGGGGCTCTACTTGGTGAAGAGCAGGGGGCTAGAGGCTCATAGGAAAGAGAGACTGGGCTCCTCTCTGTATGGTGATGGTTGTGTGCTGGAGACAGGAGTAAAACCATTAGGCTCTTCCTTCTTTCCCCAGTCTAAGGGCAGCAAGGGCAAAACTGCTGCTGTGGCAGTGGTGGTGGTGGGGCTGTCATTTGTCACAGGGAGCTTCATCCCAGGGAAACACAATTTCACTGCCAGTGGGAATGCTTAGTCTGGGGTGGGACAGCTGCTCTGTGGTCCTCAGCTGGGGGCCCTGCCTGGTGAAGGGTAGGGAGCAGTGACTCATAAGAAAGATAGTCTGGGCTCCTCCCCTTATAGTGGCTGTGGTGTGCTGGAGGTGCCAGTGACATCACCGGCCAGTGTGTTCCTCCACCAGCTTGAGGACAATAAGGGTGGTAACACTGCAGTTACAATGGAAGAGGGCCTGTGGGTTGTCTCTGGGATTTCCTCCCCAGAGAAACACAGAACCACCAGCAACTGAAGTGTTTGGGTAGTGGCAGGGTGGTTGTGCTGGTGCCCCAGGTTGAGAGGCCCTGCCCAGTGAGGAGTAACGAGTGCAGGGAAATGCGTGAAAAACTGGCCACTTTTCCATAAGGTACCTGAGTTGTGGTGGAGGCTTACATGAGTCTTTAGTCTTTTTGCTTCATCCTGAGCCTCAGGGCAGCAGGCACAGGAGCTGCTGTGCAGCAACTGCCAGGCCTACCTGCTACTACTGGGAACTCCATGCCAGGGAAGTGCATAGCTGCTATCAATCGGAAGGCCCAGATGGGAGTGTGTTGGCTGGGGTCCAAGATTGGGAGACCCTGCCCAGTGAGGAGTAGAAGGGACTATGGAAAATAGTCTGGCCATTTTCCCATGAGGCAGATGTACTGTGCTGACAGATGTACTCTCCTTAATACATTATCTCTTTGCTCCCTCCCGAGCCTGAGGGCAGCAGGAGTGGGGAGCAGTAAAACTGGCAGGCCTACCTGCTACCACTTGGAGCTCCATCTCAGGGAAGTGTGGGGCTGCTACTGTCCCGAGACCTCAGGCAGGGCTGAGGTGGCCGTGCTAGGGACCAAGACCAGTAGGCCTTGTCTGGCAAGGTGCAGTGGTGTTGAGACCTGCAGTCTGTGTGCTTCTCAGCCCCATGGATTCAGCCCATATCCTGGGGGTTTACCAGGGACCCTCGCCTCCCCCATTGTCAGAACTGCAGCTGCTTGTGCCAGGGTGCCCAGGGGTCCAATGCCTCTGGGATTTCATGTGGGCTTGAGTGGCAGCTCTGCCCAGACTGCACACAGCTCTCCATGTCATCTGGATAACCTCGTGGTGGGGGAGAGGAAATCTCCTGGGCTCAGAGTTGGGAAGGCCCATGGCAGCAGTGTGGGTCCCTGAGGGCTCTCACTCACTCACTGTTTCCCCACAGTAGGGAGCCTCTCTTGGCTCCATGCCAAACCTGGTTGGGCATCTGTCCTGTCTCACTTTTCTCTGTCCTCTGTGAGTCGTGTTGCTTCCCTGATGAATCTCAACGTTTCCACCTAGATGATCCAGTTGAAGAGCTAGTGTGCATTTTCCACTCATTCTCCTCTCTGTGAGTGGTGCACACTAGCTACTTCTAATCAGCCCTCTTGGTACTCCTTGATAGTATCTTTTGCTGTGCAGAAGCACTTTAGTTTAATTAGGTCTAACTTGTTAATTTTTATTTTTGTTGCGGTTGCTTTTGGGGATTTAGTGACAAATTCTTTGCTAAGGCCAATGTCAAGAATAATATTTTGTAGCTTTTTTTTTTTTCATTACTATACCTTAAGTTCTAGGGTACAGGTGCACAATGTGCAGGTTTGTTACATAAGTAAACATGCGCCATGTTGGTGTGCTGCACCCATTAACTCGTCATTTAACATTAGGTATATCTCCTAATGCTATCCCTCCCCCCTACCCCCATCCCATGATAGGCCCTGGTGTGTGATGTTCCCCTTCCTGTGTCCATGTGTTCTCATTGTTCAATTCCCACCTATGAGTGAGAACATGTGGTGTTTGGTTTTTTGTCCTTGCAATAGCTTGCTGAGAATGATGGTTTCCAGCTTCATCCATGTCCCTACAAAGACATGAACTCATTCTTTTTTATGGCTGCATAGTATTCCATGGTATGTATGTGCCACATTTTCTTAATCTAGTCTATCATAGATGGACATTTGGGTTGGTTCCAAGTCTTTGCTATTGTGAATAGTGCCACAACAAACATACATGTGCATGTGTCTTTATAGCAGCATGATTTATATTCCTTTGGGTATATACCCAGTAATGGGATGGCTGGGTCAAATGGTATTTCTAGTTCTAGATGCTTGAGGAATCAGCACACTATCTTCCACAATGGTTGAACTAGTTTACACTCCCACCAACAGTGTAAAAGCATTCCTATTTCTCCACATCCTCTCCAGCACCTGTTTTTTCCTGACTTTTTAATGATCGCCATTCTAACTGGTGTGAGATGGTATCTCCTTGTGGTTTTGATTTGCATTTCTCTGATGGCCAGGAAGGTTGAGCATTTTTTCATGTGTCTGTTGGCTGCATAAACCTCTTCTTTTGAGAAGTGTCTGTTCATATCCTTCACCCACTTATTGATGGGATTGTCTGTTTTTTTCTTTTAAATTTGAGTTCATTGTAGATTCTGGATATTAGCCCTTTGTCAGATGAGTAGATTGCAAAATTTTTCTCCCATTCTGTAGGTTGCCTGTTCACTCTGATGGTAGTTTCTTTTGCTGTGCAGAAGCTCTTGAGTTTAATTAGATCCCATTTGTCAATTTTGGCTTTTGTTGCCATTGCTTTTGGTGTTTTAGACATGAAGTCCTTGCACATGCCTATGTCCTGAATGGTATTGCCTAGGTTTTCTTCTAGAAATTTTATGGTTTTAGGTCTAACATGTAAGTCCTTAATCCATCTTGAATTAATTTTTGTATAAGGTGTAAGGAAGGGATCCAGTTTCAGCTTCCTACCTGTGGCTAGCCAGTTTTCCCAGCACCATTTATTAAATAGGGAATCCTTTCCCCATTTCTTGTTTTTGTCAGGTTTGTCAAAGATAAGATGGTTGTAGATGTGTGATGTTATTTCTGAGGGCTCTGCTCTGTTCCATTGGTCTATATCTCTGTTTTGGTACCAGTACCATGCTGTTTTGTTTACTATAGCCTTGTAGTATAGTTTGAAGTCAGGTAGCGTGAGGCTTCCAGCTTTGTTCTTTTGGCTTAGGATTGTCTTGGCAATTTGGGCCCTTTTTTGGTTCCATATGAACTTCAAAGTAGTTTTTTCCAACTCTGTGAAGAAAGTCATTGGTAGCTTGATGGGGAAGGCATTGAATCTATAAATTACTTTGGGTAGTATGGCCATTTTCACGATATTGATTCTTCCTACCCATGAGCATGGAATGTTCTTCCATTTGTTTCTGTCCTCTTTTATTTCGTTGAGCAGTGGTTTGTAGTTCTCACTGAAGAGGTCCTTCACGTCCCTTGTAAGTTGGATTCCTAGGTATTTTATTCTCTTTGAAGCAATTGTGAATGGGAGTTCACTCATGATTTGGCTCTCTGTCTGTTGTTGGTGAATAAGAATGATTGTGATTTTTGTACATTGATTTTGTATCCTGAGACTTTGCTGAAGTTGCTTATCAGCTTAAGGAGATGTTGGGCTGAGATGATGGGGTTTTCTAAATATTCAATCATGTCATCTGCAAACAGGGAAAATTTGACTTCCTCTTTTCCTAATTGAATACCCTTTATTTCTTTCTCCTGCCTGATTGCTCTGGCCAGAATTTCCAACACTATGTTGAATAGGAGTGGTGAGAGAGGGCAACCCTGTCTTGTGCCAGTTTTCAAAGGGAATGCTTCTAGTTTTTGCTCATTCAGTATGATGTTGGCTGTGGGTTTGTCATAAATAGCTCTTTTTATTTTGAGGTATGTCCCATCAATACCTAATTTATTGAGGGTTTTTAGCATGAAGTGCTGTTGAATTTTGTCAAAGGCCTTTTCTGCATCTATTGAGATAATCATGTGCTTTTTGTCTTTGGTTCTGTTTATGTGCTGGATTATGTTTATTGATTTGCATATGTTGAACCAGCCTTGCATCCCAGGGATGAAGCCCACTTGATCATGGTGGATAAGCTTTTTGATATGCTGCTGCATTCTGTTTGCCAGTATTTTATTGAGGATTTTTGCATTGATGTTCATCAGGGATATTGGTCTAAAATTCTCTTTTTTTTGTGTCTCTGTCAGGCTTTGGTATCAGGATGATGCTGGCCTCATAAAATGAGTGAGGGAGGAGTCCTTTCATTTCAAATGAATCCGTCTTGTCCTGGACTTCTTTTGGTTGGTAAGCTATGAATTATTGCCTCAATTTCAGAGCCTGTTATTGGTCTATTCAGAGATTCGACTTCTTCCTAGTTTAGTCTTGGGAGGATGTGTGTGTCGTGGAATTTATCCATTTCTTCTAGATTTTCTAGTTTAGTTGCATAGAGGTGTTTATGGTATTCTCTAATGGTAGTTTGTATTTCTGTGGGATCGGTGGTGATATCCCCTTTATCATTTTTTATTGTGTCTATTTGATTCTCCTCTTTTTTCTTCTTTATTAGTCTTGGTAGCAGTCTATTAATTTTGTTGATCTTTTCAAAAAACCAGCTCCTGGATTCACTGATTTTTTGAAGGGTTTTTTGTGTTTCTTTCTCCTTCAGTTCTGCTCTGATCTTAGTTATTTCTTGCCTTCTGCCAGCTTTTGAATGTGTTTGCTCTTGCTTCTCTAGTTCTTTTATTTGTGATGTTAGGGTGTCAATTTTAGATCTTTCCTGCTTTCTCCTGTGGGCTTTTAGTGCTATAAATTTCCCCCTACACACTGCTTTGATTGTGTCCCAGAGATTCTGGTATATTGTGTCTTTGTTCTCATTGGTTTCAAAGGACATCTTTATTTCTGCCTTCGTTTTTTTATGTACCCAGTAGTCATTCAGGAGCAGATTGTTCAGTTTCCATGTAGTTGAGCAGTTTTGAGTAAGTTTCTTAATCCTGAGTTTTAGTTTTATTGCACTGTGGTCTGAGAGACAGTTTGTTATAACTTCTGTTCTTCTACATTTGCTGAGGAGTGCTTTACTTCCAACTATATGGTCAATTTTGGAATAAGTGCGATGAGGTACTGAAAAGAATGTATATTGTGTTGATTTGTGTTGGAGAGTTCTGTAGATGTCTATTAGGTCTGCTTGGTTCACAGCTGAGTTCAATTCCAGGATATCCTTGTTAACTTTGTGTCTCGTTGATCTGTCTAATGTTGACAGTGGGGTGTTAATGTCTCCCATTATTATTGTGTGGGAGTCTAAGTCTCTTTGTAGGTCACTAAGGACTTGCTTTATGAATCTGTGTGCTCCCATATTGGGTGCATATATGTTAAGGATAGTTAGCTCTTCTTGTTGAATGAACTCTTTACCATTATGTAATGGCCTTCTTTGTCTCTTTTGATCTTTGTTGTTTTAAAGTCTGTTTTATCAGAGACTAGGATTGCAACACCTGCCTTTTTTTGTTTTCCATTGGCTTGGTAGATCTTCCTCCATCCCTTTAGTTTGAGCCTATGTGTTTCTCTGCACGTGAGATGTTTTTCCTGAATACAGCACACTGACGTGTCTTGACTCTATCCAATTTGCCAGTCTGTGTCCTTTAATTGGAGCATTTAGCCTATTTATGTTTAAGTTTAATATTGTTATGTGTGAATTTGATCCTGTCATTATGATGTCAGCTGGTTATTTTGCTCGTTAGTTGATGCAGATTCTTCCTAGCATCAGTGGTGTTTACAATTTGGCATGCTTTTCCAATGGCTGGTACCGGTTGTTCCTTTCCATGTTTAGTGCTTCCTTCAGGAGCTCTTTTAGGGGCAGGCCTGTTGGTGACAAAATCTCTCAGCATTTGCTTGTCTGTAAAATATTTTATTTCTTCTTTACTTATGAAGCTTAGTTTGGCTGGATATGAAATTCTAGGTTGAAAATTCTTTTCTTTAAGAATGTTGAATATTGGCCCCCACTCTCTTCTGGCTTCTAGAGTTTCTGCCAAGATATCAGCTGTTAGTGTGATGGGCTTCCCTTTGTGGGTAACCCGACCTTTCTCTCTGGCTGCTCTTAAGATTTTTTCCTTCATTTCAACTTTGGTGAATCTGACAATTATGTGTCTTGGAGTTGCTCTTCTTGAGGAGTATCTTTGTGGTTTTCTCTGTATTTCCTGAATTTGAATGTTGGCCTGCCTTGCTAGATTGGGGAAGTTCTCCTGGATAATATCCTGCAATGTGTTTTCCAACTCGGTTCCATTCTCCCCATCACTTTCAGGTACACCAATCAGATGTAGATTTTGTCTTTTCAAATAGTCCCATATTTCTTGAAGGCTTTGTTTGTTTCTTTTTCCTCTTTTTTCTCTAAATTTCTCTTCTTGCTTCATTTCATTCATTTGATCTTAAATCACTGATACCCTTTATTCCAGTTGATCAATTGGCTACTGACACTTGTCCATGTGTCATGTAGTTCTCATGCCATTGTTTTCAGCTCCATCAGGCCATTTAAGGACTCCTCTACACTAGTTATTCTAGTTAGCCATTCGTCTACTCTTTTTTCAAGGTTTTTAGCTTCTTTGCGAAGGGTTCAAACTTCCTCCTTTAGCTTGGAGAAGTTTGATCATCTGAAGCCTTCTTCTGTCCACTCGTCAAACTCATTCTCTGTCCAGCTTTGTTCTGTTGCTGGCAAGGAGTTGCATTCCTTTGGAGGGGGAGAGGCACTCTGATTTTTAGAATTTTCAGCTTTTCTGCTTTGTTTTTTCCCCATCTTTGTGGTTTTATCTACCTTTGGTCTTTGATGATGGTGACGTACAGATGGAGTTTTGGTGTGGGTGTCCTTTCTGTTCATTAGTTTTCCTTCTAACAGTCAGGAACCTCAGCTGCAGGTCTGTTGGAGTTTGCTGGATGTCCACTCTGGACCCTGTTTGCCTGGGTATCAGCAGCAGAGCTGCAGAACATCAAATATTGCTGAACAGCAAATGTTGCTGCCTGATCATTCCTCTGGAAACTTCATCTCAGAGAGGTACCCGGCCATTTGAGGTGTCAGTCTGCCCCTACTGGGGGGTCAGGGACCCACTTAAGGAGGCAGTCTGTCCATTGTCAGATCTCAAACTCCATGCTGGGAAAACCACTACTCTCTTCAAAGCTGTCAGATGGGGACATTTAAGTCTGCAGAGGTTTCTGCTGCCTTTTGTTTGGCTACGCCCTGCCCCCAGAGGTGGAGTCTACAGAGGCAGGCAGGCCTCCTTGAGCTGCAGTGGGCTCCTCCTGTTTCGAGCTTCCAGTTTGATCTCAGACTGCTGTGCTAGAAATGAGCATGACTCCATGGGCATGGGAGTATCTGAGCCAGGTGAGGGATAAAATCTCCTGGTGTGCTGTTTGCTAAGACCGTTGGAAAAGCACAGTATTAAGGCGGGAGTGACCTGATTTTCCAGGTGACATCCATCACCACTTCCCTTGACTAGGAAAGGGAATTCCCTGATCCCTTGCTCTTCCCTGGTGAGGTGATGTCTCTCCCTGCTTTGGCTCATGCTTGGTGGGCTGTACCCTCTGTCCTGTCCCCACAGTCTGAGAAGCCCCAGTGAGATGAACCCGGCACCTCTGTTGGAAATGCAGAAATCACCCATCTTCTATGTCGCTCACGCTGGGAGCTGTAGACTGGAGCTGTTCCTATTCGGCAATCTTGGAATGGCCTCAATATTTCATAGCTTTTAAAGGTTTTGTATTTAAGTCTTTGATCTGTCTTGAGTTAAGGGGTCCAGTTTCAATCTTCTGTATATGGCTAGCCAGTTATCCCAGGACCATTTGTTGAATAGAGAATCCTTGCCACATTGCTTGTTACTCTTGACTTTGTCAAAGATCAGATGATTGTAGGTGTGTGGCTTTTTTCTGGGTTCTCTCCTCTCTTCCATTGGTCTTTGTCTGTTTTTTTTCACTGCTAGTGTTAGTGGCAGATGAATCTGTACAGGTCTGCAGCAACCTCAATTCTTGACTCTTTAGAAGAAAGAGTTTAACTGAGAGGCAAAAGGCAGAGTGAGAGACCAAGGCAGGTTTTAGAACAGGAGCGAAACATTATTAAAAAGTATTAGAGTGGAATCAAAGGAAGTATAGTATACTTCAAAGAGGGCCACACGGGTTAGTTGAGAGATAAAGTGCATGGTTTGACCTTTAACTTGGGGTTTCATACCTTGGCATGCTTCTCGGGTGGGAGGGTTGTATCCCTTCTCCCCTGATTCTTCCCTTGGGGTGGGCTTTCTACAGGCACGGTGGCCTGCCAGCACTTGGGAGGTGCTGTGTGGGCAGTGTGTTTACTGAAATTGTGCACATGCTTACTTGAGGCATTCTTCCCTTACCAGTTGAGTGTTTCCAGAGGGAGATCACATACCAGTTAAACTCTGTCATTTTGCCTCTTAATGCACATGCTTCAGCCCACTCACCCAACTCCTGAGATCTTATCAGCAAGCCACTGATCATCAACTTTAGGTGTTTCCTACCTATTGGGAGGCTGCCTTTTCCTGGCTCCAGCTGTGACCAATTATTATTTTAGAGAAACAGTGTAATGACCACCTTAGCATAATTTGATGGTTGCCTGACCCTCTTGATGGTGGGGGAGACCTCTCCTGCCTTGCTCATGTCTGCCTGACTACCTACTGTAACAATACCAGCTATTTTGGTTACTGTAGTTTTGTGGTATAGTTTGAAGTTGAGTAGTGTGATGCTGCCAGCTTCATTCTTCTTGGTTAGCATTGCTTTGGCTATTCCTGCTCTTTTTTTGGTTCCATATGAATTTTAGAATAGTTTTTTTCTAATTCTGTTAAAAATGACTATTGTAGAATGATAGGAACAGCATTGAATCTGTAAGTTGCTTTTGGCCATGTGACCATTTTAACAATATTGATTCTTCCTATCCATCAGCATGGAATGTTTTTCCATTTGCTCATGTCATCTATGATTTCTTTAATCAGTGTTTTGTGATTCTCATTGTAGAGATCTTTAACCTCCCTGGTTAGTGGTATTCCTAGGTATTATATTCTTTTCGTGGCTATTGTAAATGGGATGTAACTTGTGACTTGGCTCTCAGCTTGGATGTTATTAGTGTATACAAATGCTACTGATTTTTGTGCATTGGTTTTGCATCCTGAAAGTTTACTGAAGACATTTATTAGTTCTAGGGGCCTTTTGGAAGAGTTTATATGGCTTTCTAGGTGTAGAATTATATCATCTGTGAAGAAATATAGTTTCACTTTCTCTCTTCCTATTTGGATGCCTTTTTTTTTTCTTGCCTGATTGCTTTGGCTAGGATTTCCAATTTCGTCTTTTAATTAGTGCATTTAGACTACTGATGGTTAAAGAAATTGTTGACATAGTTGGCTTAATGTCTACCATATTTTTTTACTGTTTTGTATTTGTTGCTCCTATTTTTTGTTTCTCTCTTCCACTCTTTCTGCCTTTGATTTTAATTGTGCATTTTTTGAGATTCAATTTTTCTCTTTACTTGGTATATCAATTATACCTTTTTAATTAAAAAAAATGTTTTAAGTTGTTGCCATGAAATTCACTGTATACATTTACAACTAATCCAAATCCACTTTTGAAAAATACTATAGCACTTCAAGGGTGGTGCAAGTAACTTATTACAAAATATTTTGAATTCCTCTCTCTCGTATCTTGCATCATTGCTGACATGCATTTCAAGCTACAATAATAAAATATATTATTGCTATTATTATTTTGCATAAGCTGTTATCTGTTGGATCACTTAGAATAGAAAAAATAAACATTTAATTTTTACATTCATTCATTTTTCCTCTAATGCTCTTTCTTTATGTAGATTTTGGTTTCTGACATTGTGTTATTCTATTCTCACACTGCTATGAAGAACTAACTGAGACTGAGTAATTTATGAACAAAAGAGACTTAATTGACTCACAGTTTCACAGGCTTAACAGGAAGCATGACTGGAGGCCTCAGGAAACTTGCAATCATGGCAGAAGGCAAAGAGGAAGAAAGCATGTCTTACCATGGTGGAGCAGGAGAAGGAGAAGGTGAAGGGTGAAGTGCCACACACTTTCAAACAACCAAAACTCATGAAACCATGAAACTCACTCACTATCATGAGAACAGAAAGGGGGAAGTCTGCCTCCATGATTCAATCCCTTCCCACCAGATCCCTCCACCAACATGTAGAAATTACAATTTGAGATGAAATTTGGGTAGGGACATCTAAACCATATAATTCTGCCCCTGGCACCTACCAAATCTCATGTCCTTTTCACATTTCAAAACACAATCATGTCTTCCCAACAGTCCCCCAAAGTCTTAACTCATTCCAGCATTAACCCAAAAGTTGAAGTCCAAAGTCTCATCTGAAACAAGGCAAGTCCCTTCTGCCTATGAGCCTGCAAAATCAAAAGCAAGTTAGTTACTTCCAAGATACAGTGGGGATACAGGCATTGGGTGAATGCTCCCATTTCAAATGGGAGAAATTGGCCAAAATGAAGGGACCACAGGCCCCTTGCAAGACCAAAACACCGAGGGGCATTCATTAAATCTTAAAGCTCCAAAATAATCTCCTTTGACTCCATTTCTCACATTCAGGTCACATTGATTCAATGTGTGGGCTCCCAATGCCTTGGGCAGCTCTGCCCCTGTGACTCTGCAGGGTACAGACCCCATGGTTGCTTTCATGGGCTGGTGTTGAGTGCTGATGGCTTTTCCAGGTGCATAGTGCAAGCTGTTGGTGGATCTACTGTTCTGGGGTCTGGAGGATGGTGGCCCTCTTCTCACAGCTCCCCTGGTCAGTGCCCCACTGGGGACTTTGTGTGGGGTTCCCAACTCCATATTTTCCTTCTGCATGGCCATAGTAGAGGTTCTTCATGAGGGCTCTGTCTCTACAGCAGACTTCTGCCTAGACATCAAGGCATTTCCATATATTCTCTGAAATCTAAGTGGAGGCTCCCAAACTCTTGCCTTCTGTGTACCCACAGGCCCAATAACATGTGGAAGCCACCAAGGCTTCGGGGTTGCACCCTCTGAAACAGTGGCATGAGCTGTACCTTGTCCCCTTTTAAGGAGCTGGAGCTGGAGTGGCTGGGACACATGGCACCGTGTCTCAAGGCAGCACAGAGCAGTGGGGCCCTGGACCTGGCCCATAAAATCATTTTTTCCTCCTAGGCCTCTGGGCCTGTGATGGGAGGGGCTGCTGTGAAGGTCAGTGGCATGCCCTGGAGATATTTTTCCTATTTTCTTGAATATTCACATTTGACTCTTCTTTACTTATGCAAATTTCTGCAGCCAGCTTGAATTTTTCCTTAGAAATTGGGTTTTTCTTTTTTGCCACATGGCTGGGCTGCAAATTTTTCAAATTTTTCTGCTCTGCTTCTCTTTTAAATATAAACTCTAGTTTCAGATAATCTCTTTGTTCACACACAAGAGTGTACACTTTCAGGAACAGCCAGATTACATCTTGAATGCTTTGCTGCTTAGAATTTTTTTTCACCACATACCCTAAATCATCTCTCTCAATTTCATAGTTCCACAGATCTCTAGGGCAGGGGCACAATGCTGCCAGTCTGTTTGCTAAAGCATAGGAAAAGTGACTTTTACTCCAGTTCCCAATAAGTTCTCATCTTCATCTGAGACCACCTCAGCCTGGACTTCAATGCCCATATCACTCTGCATTTTTGTCAAAACCATTCAACAAGTCTCTAGGAAGTTTCAAACATTCCCACATCTTCCTGTCTTCTTTGGAGCCCTCCAAACTGCTCCAACCTCTGCCCATTATGTGGTTCAAAAGTACCTTCCACATTTTCAAGTATCATTATAGCAGTACCCTACTATTGAACCAATTTTCTGTATTATTCCATTCTCACAGTGCTATGAAGGACTAACTGAGACTAAGTAATTTATGAACAAAAGAGGTTTAATTGACTCACAGTTCCATAGGCTTAGCAGGAATCATGACTGGGGGGCCTTACATTCCAATTATGGTGAAATGTGAAGGGGAAGCAAGCACGTCTTACCATAATGGAGAAACAGAGAGAGAGAGCAAAGGGGGAAATTTACACACTTTCAAACAATTAGATCTCATAAGAACTCACTATCATGAGAACATCAAGGGGGAGGTTGGCCTCCATGATTCAATCACCCCTTACTAGGCCCCTCCCCTCACAAATAGGGATTGACATTTGAGATGAGATTTGGATGGGGACACAGAGCCAAACCATATCAGACCTATATAATCTTCTTTTTTTCTAAAGGAGGTTTTAAAACATTTCTAGCAAGGGCTGAACATAGTGGCTTATGCCTGTAATCCCAGCTCTTTGGGAGGCTGAGACAGGAAGATCACTTGAGCCCAGGAGTTTAAGACCAGCCTGGGCAACATATTGAGACTCCTTCTCCACAAAAAATAAAATTAGCTGGATGTAATATTATGAGCTTGTATCCTCAGCTACTCAGGCGGCTGAAATGGGAGTACTGTTTAAACCCAGGAGGTTGAGGCTGCAGTGAGCCAAAGTTGCACTAGTGCACTCCAGCATGGGCAACAGAGTGAGACCTTGTCTCTAAAAAAATAAAAATATTAAAAAAGCAAAAAGACAACATTTTTAGCAAGGCAGGTCTACTGGTGGCAAATTTTCTTAATAGTTCCTTTGTGTCTGAGAAAATCTTTATTTCTCCTTCACTTTTGAAGGATTATTTTGCTGAATACAGAATTCAAGGTTGGTGTTTTCTTTCTCTTTCCACTTGAAATCTGTCACTCTATTCTTTTCTTGCCTTCATGGTACATGAAAAGAAGTCTAATGTAATTTTTACCCTTGTTTCTCCATAGGTATTTCCCCCCCCTCTGGCTTCTTTTAAGACTTTTTATCTGTTGTTGATTTTCTGTAGTTCCAATATTATATGCATAGGTGTAGATTTTTTTTTCTGGCATTTGTCCTGCTTGGTCACTTAGATTCCTGGATCTGTGATTTGGTGTCTGAGATTAATTTTGAGAAATTCTCAGTCCTTATTGCTTCAAATGTTTCTTATTTTTCTTTTTGTCTTCCTCTTTTTCTGGTATTACCATTAACATGCATCTTACAGATCTTGTGGCTGTTCCACAGTTCTTGGGTACTCTGTTCAGCCTTTTCAGTCTTTTACTCCTTGCTGTTTAATTCTTGGTGTTTGAATTTTCATATCCTAAAGCTCAATGATTCTTCTCTCAGCTCTTTCCAGACTGCTAATAAATCCACTGAAAACATTCTTAATTTATGTTACAGTGTTCTTGATTTCTAGCATTTCTTTTTTGTTCTTTCTTTGAATTTCCATTTCTTTTCTTACATTACTGATCTATCCTTGCAGATGGAATCACATTGACTTCATATCCCTTTGTAAAGGTATATTCCAAGCTACCAGAATGTTCTTTCAATCTGTCAAGGTCTTTCTATCCCCATTTCCACGGTCTTAGTTCAAACCACCATCAGATCACTTTTTTGCATGGACTAGTCAAAAGACACCCAATTTGTCTCTGCAATTTCAGTCTTGCTCCCCTACAATCCAGTCTCCATACTGTAGCCTGAGCAAGACTCTTTATTTCTTTATTTTTTTGTTATACTTTAAGTTCTGGGATACATGTGCAGAACATGCATGTTTGTTACATAGGTATACATGTACCATGGTGGTTTGCTGCACCTATCAACCTGTCATCTAGGTTTTAAGCCCTGCATGCATTAGGTTTTTGTCCTAATGCTCTCTGTCCCCTTGCCCCTCAACCCCTGACAGGCCCTGGTGTGTGATGTCCCCCTCTCTGTGTCAACGTGTTTTCATTGTTCAAAACCCAATTGAGTGGGAACATGAGGTATTTGGTTTTCTGTTTCTGTGTTAGTTTGCTGAGAATGATGGCATCCAGCTTCATCCATGTCCCTGCAAAGGACATAAACTCATTCTTTTTTATGGCCACATAGTATTCCTTTGTGTATATGTGCCACATTTTCTTTATCCAGTTTATCACCGATGGGCATTTCGGTTGGTTCCAAGTCTTTGCTATGGTGAATAGTGCTGCAATAAACATACATGTGCATATATCTCTATAGTAGAATGATTTATAATTCTGTGAGTATATACCCAGTAATGGGATTGCTGGTTCAAATGGTATTTCTGGTTCTAGATCCTTGAGGAATTGCCACACTGTCTTCCACAATGGTTGAACTAATTTACACTCCCACCAACAGTGTAAAAGAGTTCCTATTTCTCCACATTCTCTCCAGCATCTGTTGTGTCCAGACTTTTTAATAATCGCCATTCTAACTGTCATGAGATGGTATCTCATTGTGGTTTTGATTTGCATTTCTCTAATAACCAGTGATGATGAGCTTTTTTTCATATGTTTATTGGCCACATAAATGTCTTTTTTTGAGAAGTGACTGTTCATATCCTTCGCTCACTTTTTGATGGAGTTTTTTTTTTCTTGTAAATTTGTTTAAGTTCTTTGTAGATTCTGGATATTAGCCCTTGTCAGATGGGTAGCTTGCAAAAGTTTTCTCTCACTCTGTAGGTTGCCTGTTCACTCTGATGATAGTTTCTTTTGCTGTGCAGAAGCTCTTTAGTTTAATTAGATCCCATTTGTCAATTTTGGCATTTGTTGCTTTTTTTTGTGTGTTTTGGTCATAAAGTCTTTGCTCATGTCTATATCCTGAGTGGTATTGCCTAGGTTTTCTTATATGGTTTTTATGGTTTTGGGTTTTACATTTAAGTATTTAATCCATCTTGAGTTAATTTTTGTATAAGGTTTAAGGAAGGGGTCCAGTTTCTGTTTTCTGCATATGACTAGCCAGTTTTCCCAGCATAATTTATTAAATATAGAATCCTTTCCCCATTGCTTGTTTTTGTCAGGATTGTGGAAGATCAGACGGTTGTAGACATGTGATGTTATTTCTGAGGTCTCTGCTTCATTCCATTGGTCTATATATCTGTTTTGGTACCAGTACCATGCAGTTTTGGTTACTGTAGTCTTGTAGTATAGTTTGAAGTCAGGTAGCGTGATGCCTCCAGCTTTGTTCTTTTTGCTTAGGATTGTCTTGGCTATATGGGCTCTTTTTTGGTTTCATATGAAATATAAAATAGTTTTTTAAAATTCTGCCATAAAAGTTACTGGTAACTTGATGGGAATAGCATTGAATTTATAAATTACTTTGGGCAGTATGGCCATTTTCACAATATTGATTCTCCCTCTCCATGAGCATGGATTTTTTCCCGTTTGTTTGTTTCTTCTCTTATTTCCTTGAGCAGTGGTTTGTAGTTCTCCTTGAAAAGGTTCTTCACATGCCTTGTAACTTGTATTCCTAGGTATTTTATTCTCTTTGTAGTGATTGTGAATGGGAGTTTATTCATGATTTGGCTGTGAGCTTGTCTATTGTTGGTGTATAGAAATGCTTGTGATTTTTGAACATTGATTTTGTATCCTGAGACTTTGCTGAAGTTGCTTATCAGCTTAAGGAATTTTTAGGCAGAGTTGAAGGGGTTTTCTAAATATACAATCAGGTCATCTGCGAACAAAGACAATTTGACTTCCTCTCTTCCTATTATAATACCCTTTATTTCTTTCTCTTTCCTGATTGCCCTGGCTAGAACTTCCAATGCTATGTTCAATATGAGTGTTGAGAGAGGGCATCCTTGTCTTGTGCCAGTTTTCAAAGGGAATCCTTCCAGCTTTTGCCCATTCAGTATGATATTGGCTATGGGTTTGTCATCAATAGCTCTTACTTTTTTGAGATATGATCCATCAATACCTAGTTTATTGAGAGTTTCTAGGATGAAGGGGTGTTGAATTTCATTGAAGGCCTTTTCTACATCTATCAAGATAATCATGTGGTTTTTGTTATTGGTTCTGTTTATGTGGTGGATTACGTTTATTGATTTGCATATGTTGAAACAGCCTTGCATCCCAGGGATGAAGCTGACTTCATCCTGGTGGATAAGCCTTTTGATGTGCTGCTGGATTCAGTCTGCCAGTATTTTATTAAGGATTTTCACATTGATGTTCATCAGGGATATTGGCCTGAAATTTTCTTTTCGTGTTGTGTCTCTGTCAGGTTTTGGTACCAAAATGATGCTGTCCTCATAGAATTAGTTCAGGAGTAGTCCCTCTTTTTCCGTTATTTGTAATAGTTTCAGAAGGAATTGGTGCTAGCTCCTGTTTGTGCGTCTAGTAGAATTCGGCTGTGAATCCATCTTGTACTAAGCTTTTGTTTGGTTGGTAAGCTATTAGTTACTGCCTCAATTTCAGAACTTGTTGGCCTATTCAGGGATTTGACTTCTTCCTGGTTTAGTCTTGGGAGGGTGTATGTGTCCTGGAGTTTATCCATTTCTTCTAGATATTCTAGTTTACTTGTGAGAGGTGTTTGTAGTATTCTCTGATAATAGATTGTATTTCTGTGGGATCAGTGGATATATCCCCTATATCATTTTAATTGTGTCTGTTGAATTCTTCTCTGTTTTCTTCTTTATTAGTTTAGCTAGTGGTCCATTTATTTTGTTAATATTTTCAAAAAATCAGCTCCTGGATTCCTTAATTTTTTGAAGTGTTTTTCATGTCTCTATCTCCTTCAGTTCTGCTCTGATCTTAGTAATTTCTTGTCTTTTGCTATCTTTTGAGTTTGTTTTCTCTTGCTTCTCTGGTTCTTTTAATTGTGTTGTTAGGGTGTTGATTTTAGATCTTTCTAGCTTTCTGTTGTGGGCATTTAGTGCTATAAGTTTCCCTCTTAACACTGCTTTTGCTGTGTCCCAGAGATTCTGGTATGTTGTCTCTTTGTTCTCATTGATTTTAAAGAACTTATTTATTTCTGCCTTAATTTCGTTATTTACCCAGTAGTCATTCAGGAGGAGGTTGTTTAATTTCCATGTAGTTGTGTAGTTTTGAGTGAATTTCTTAACCCTGAGTTCTAATTTGATTGTAATGTGGTCTGAGAGACTGTTTGTAATAATTTCTGTTCTTTTGCATTTGCTGAGGAGTGTTTTACTTCCAATTATGTCATCAATTTTAGAATGCATGCTATGTGGTGCTGAGAAAAATGTATATTCTGTTGATTTGGAGTGGAGAATTCTGTAGATGTCAATTAGGTTCACTTGGTCCAGAGCTGAGTTCAAGTCCTGAATATCTTTGTTAATTTACTGTTTTGTTGATCTGTCTAATATTGACTATGGGGTGTTATAGTCTCCCACTATTATTGTATGGGAGTCTAATTCTCTTTGTAGGTATTTGAGAACTTGCTTTATGAATCTGAGTGCTCCTGTATTGAGTGCATATAAATTTAGGATAGTTAGTTTCTCTTGTTGCATTGATCCCTTTACCATTATGTAATGCCCTGCTTTGTCTCTTTTGATCTTTGTTGGTTTAAAGTCTGTTTTATCTCTGAGGGCTCTGTTCTGTTCCATTGGTCTATATCTCTGTTTTGGTAACAGTACCATGCTGTTTTGGTTACTGTGGCATTGTAGTATAGTTTGAAGTCAGGTAGCGTGATGCCTCCAGCTTTGTTCTTTTGGCTTAGGATTGTCTTGGCAGTGCGGGCCATTTTTTGGTTCCATATGAACTTTAAAGTAGTTTTTTCCAGTTCTATGAAGAAAGTCATTGATAGCTTGATGGGGATGGCATTGAATCTATAAATTACCATGGGCAGTATGGCCATTTTCACGGTATTGATTCTTCCTATCCATGAGCATGGAATGTTCTTCCATTTGTTAGTATCCTCTTTTATTTCATGGAGCAGTGGTTTGTAATTCTCCTTGAAGAGGTCCTTCAAATCCCTTGTAAGTTGGATTTCTAGGTATTTTATTCTCTTTGAAGCAATTGTGAAAGGGAGTTCACTTATGATTTGGCTCTCTATTTGTGTGTTATTGGTGAATAAGAATGCTTGTGATTCTTGCACATTGATTTTGTATCCTGAGACTTTGCTGAAGTTGCTTATCAGCTTAAGGAGATGTTGGGCTGAGATGATGGGGTTTTCTAAATATACAATTATGTCATCTGAAAACAAGGACAATTTGACTTCCTCTTTTTCTAATTGAATAGCCTTTATTTCTTTCTCCTGCCTGATGGCCCTGGCCTGAACTTCCAACACTATGTTGAATAGGATTGGTGAAAGAGGGCACATCTACAACCATCTGATCTTTGACAAACCTGAGAAAAACAAACAATGGGAAAAGGATTCCCTGTTCAATAAATGGTGCTGGGAAAACTGGCTAGCCATATGGAGAAAGCTGAAACTGGATCCCTTCCTTACACTTTATACAAAAGTTAATTCAAGATGGATTAAAGACTTAAATGGTAGACCTAAAACTATAAAAACCCTAAAAGAAAACTAGGCAATACCATTCAGGACATAGGCATGGGCAAGGACTTCATGTCTAAAACACCAAAAGCAATGGCAACAAAAGCCAAAATTGACAAATGGGATCTAATTCAACTCAAGAGCTTCTGCACAGCAAAAGAAACTACCATCAGAGTGAACAGGCAACCTACAGAATGAGAGAAAAATTTCGCAATCTACTCATCTGACAAAGGGCTAATATTCAGAATCTACAATAAACTCAAACAAATTTACAAGAAAAAACAAACAATCCCATCAAAAAGTGGGCAAAAGATATGAACAGACAGTTCTCAAAAGAAGACATTTATGCAGCCAACAGACACATGAAAAAATGCTCATCATCACTGGCCATCAGAGAAATGCAAATCAAAACCACAATGAGATACCATCTCACACCAGTTAGAATGGCGATCATTAAAAAGTCAGGAAACCACAGGTGCTGGAGACGTTGTGGAGAAATAGGAACACTTTTACACTGTTGGTGGGACTGTAAACTAGTTCAACCATTGTGGAAGACAGTGTGGTGATTCCTCAAGGATCTAGAACTAGAACTACCATTTGACCCAGCCATCCCATTACTGGGTATATACCCAAAGGATTATAAATCATGCTGCTATAAAGACACATACACACTTATGTTTATTGCAGTACTATTCACAATAGCAAAGACTTGGAACCAAGCCAAATGTCCAACAATGATAGACTGGATTAAGAAAATGTGGCACATATACACCTTGGAATACCATGCAGCCATAAAAAAGAATGAATTCATGTCCTTTGTAGGGACATGGATGAAGCTGGAAACCATCATTCTCAGCAAATTATTGCGAGGACAAGAAACCAAACACCACATGTTCTCACTCATAGGTGGGAATTGAACAATGGGAACACTTGAACACAGGAAGGGGAACATCACACACTGGGGCCTGTTGTGGGGTGGGGGGAGGGGGGAGGGAAAGCATTAGGAGATATACTAATGGAAATGATGAGTTAATGGGTGCAGCACACCAACATGGCACATGTATACATATGTAACAAACCTGCATGTTGTGCACATGCACCCTATAACTTAAAGTATAATTAAAAAAAAGAAAAAGAAAAAAAAGTCTGTTTTATCAGAGACTAGGATTGTAACCCCTGCTTTTTCTTGCTTTCATTTTCTTTATAAATATTCATCCATCCCTTTATTTTGACCCTATGTGTGTCTTTGCATGTGAGCTGGGTCTCCTCAATACAGCACACCAATGGGTCTTGACTCTATCCAATTTGCCAGTATGTGTCTTTTAATTGAGGCATGTAGTCCATTTACATTTAAGGGTAATATATTTGTGTGTGAATTTGATCCTGTTATCATGATGCTAGCTGGTTATTTTGCACAATGGTTGATGCAATTTCTTCAGAGTGTCAGTGGTCTTTGTATTTTGGTGTGTTTTTGCAGTGGTTGGGACCAGTTTTTCCTTCTTATATTCATGCTTTCTTTAGGAGCTCTTGTAAGATAGTCCTTGTGGTGGCAAAATCTCTCAGCATTTGCTTGTCTGGAAAGAATTTTATTTATCCTTTGCTGATGATGCTTAGTTTGACTGGATATAAAATTCTGGGTTGAAAATTCTTTTCTTTAAGAATGTTGAATAATGGCCCCCACTCTATTTTGGCTTCAAGTTTTCCTGCAGAGAGATCTGCTGTTAGTTTGATGGGCTTCTTTTTTTGTGACATGTGGTCTTTTTCTCTGGCTGCCCTTAACATTTTTTTCTTTATTTGAACCTTGGGGAATCTGATGATTATGTGTCTTGGGGTTGCTCTTCTTTAGGAGTATCTTAGTGGTGTTCTCTGTATTTTCTGAATTTGAATGCTGGCCTGTCTTGCTAGGTTGGGGTAGTTCTCTTGGATAATATCCTGAAGCGTGGTTTCCAGCTTGGTTTTATTCTCCCCATAAGTTTCAGGTTCACCAATCAATCTTAGGTTTGGTCTTTTCACATAGTACCATATTTCCTGAGGCTTTGTTTGTTCCTTTCTATTATTTTTTCTCTAATCTTGTCTTCACGCCTTATTTCATTAAGTTGATATTCAATCTCTGATATCCTTTCTTCTGCTTGATTGATTCGGCTATTGGTATGGTGTATGTTTTATGAAGTTTTCGTGCAATCTTTTTCAGCTCCATCAAGTCATTTATGTTCTTCTCTAAACTGGTTATTCTAGTTAGCAGTTCCTGTAACCTTTTTCAGGGTCCTTAGCTTCCTTGCATTGGGTTACAACATGCTTTCGTAGCTCAGAGGACTTTGTTATTCACCACCATCTGAAACCTACTTCTGTCAATTCGTCAATCTCATTCTTCATCCAGTTTTGTGCCCTTGCTGGAGAGGAGTTGTGATCATTTGAAGAAGAGACATTCTGGTTTTTGAAATTTTCCACAGTTTTGCACTGGTTTTTCCTCATCTTCATAGATTTATCTACCTTTGATCTTTTATGTTGATGACCCCAGTTCAGACCTCCCAGCCTCCTTAGCACTGTCAGGGAAAAATTGCCTCCTAAAGCCTCAGTAATGGCAGACGCCACTCCCCCGACCAAGCTGGATCATCCCAGGTCGACTTCAGACTACTGTGCGGGCGGTGAGAATTTTTCTCCTTTCTTTCTTTGTTT
Source organism: Homo sapiens (assembly GCF_000001405.40). Taxonomy (NCBI): domain Eukaryota; kingdom Metazoa; phylum Chordata; class Mammalia; order Primates; family Hominidae; genus Homo; species Homo sapiens. The sequence goes on along the minus strand of NC_000023.11, from coordinate 77,254,863 downwards.
CTTTGTTTCTTTGTTTGTTTGTTTGTTTCTTTCTTTCTTTCCTTCTTTCTTTCTTTCTTTTTCTCTCTCTTTCTTTCTTTCTTTTTCTCTCTCTCTTTCTTTTAGAATTTCTTTCTCTCTCTCTTTCTTTCTTTTCTTTCTCTCTTTCTTTTAGAATTTCTTTCTTTCTTTCTCTCTTTCTTTCTTTCTTTGTTTCTCTCTCTGTCTCTCTCCTTCCTTCCTTCCTTCCTTCCTTCCTTCCTTCCTTCCTTCCTTCCTTCCTCCCTTTATGACTTAGTCTCAATCTTTCACCCAGGCTGGAGTACTGTGGCACAGTCTCGGCTCACTGCAACCTCTGTTTCCCAGCTTTGAGCAATTTTTCTGCCTCAGCTTCCCGAGTAGCTGGGATTACAGGCACATGCCACCACACGTGAATAATTTTTGTATTTTTAGTAGAGACAGGGTTTCACCATGTTGGCCAGGCTGGTCTTGAACTCCTGACCTCAGGTAATCCACCAACCTCAGCCTCCCAAAGTGCTGGGATTACCAGCCTGAGCCTCTGTGCCTGCCCAGTAGTGATAATTTGAAGCCACTAGTTCTTAGTTTCTAAGCTTTATGGGTGTGGGACCCACTGAGCAAGACCACTTGGCTCTCTGGCTTCAGCCCCTTTTCCAGGGGAGTGAACGGTTCTGTCTCGCTGGGGTACCAGGTGCCACTGTGGTACAAAAAAAGCTCCTGCAGCTAGCTTAGTGTCTGCCCAAACAGCCACTCAGTTTTGTGCTTGAAACCCAAGGCCCTGGTGGTTTAGGCACACGAGGGAATCTCCTGATCTGCATATTGCAAAAACAGTGGGAAAAGTGTAGTAACTTGGCCATGTAGCACAGTTCTTCAGGGCTTCCTTTGGCTTATGGGAGGGAGGCCCCTGGCCCCTTGCACTTCCAGGGTGAAGCGATGCCCCACTCTGCTTCTGCTTGCCCTCCATTGGTTGGACCCACTGCCTAACCAGTCCAGTGAGATGAACTGGGTACCACAGTTGGGAATGCAGAAATCACCCACCTTCTGCGTTGGTCTTGCTGGTAGGTGCAGACAGAAGCTGTTCCTGTTGGGCCATCTTGGCCCTTCCTTTCTAGTGTGATCTTCTTAATTCATAGATTTGAATAGGCTGTTTGTCTACTTAAAATCTCTTTGGGTTGCCTTTGTTGTGGGATAAAACTTAAGCTCTCAGAATTCAGGACCCTCTATGTCACTTACTTTTCAAGCCTGTATTCCCAACTAGATTGTGAACTCCCCAAGGGCAGGCACTTCCTTGTCTTTTGCATCTTTGTAGCTTCTCTAGCACCTTGCATAATGGTTTATACATAACAGATGCTCAATAAACATTTGTTTTGTTTAGAGTTTCTCAAAAGTGAGTAAGTGCAACAGATCCGGATTATTTAGAAGTTTCAAAAGTCCACCAATCAACAAATAATTATTAGATGACGGGCCTAATGTGACCGTCATTGTGTTAGACATCACAAAGGTAAAATTTAAGGCCCAGTGCATTCTCTAAAGGATTAAACCATCTCATGAAGGCAATATTTATATTTATGAACCAATAAGAGTACAAAACAATTGTGTACATGTACATCAAATAAAATTGGATGATGAATGTGAAATGAGCTTTGTCATAATATGGAAGGTGTCTTGTTATCTCTATTCTCACAGCACCTAACATAGGGCCAGAGTAGTCCCTTGGAAGGTAGTTGTTCAATGAACATGTCATCCTCCTCAACCTAAAGCCTTTAGTAGATACTTCATATTTCTCCTAGAACCTACTAGATATTATTCATCATTGGCCCTGGATCCAGGACCCATTGGGGCCTGAACATAGCTTTTGCTGCTGTTTGTTTATGGGTTGGATTCCTTCATCATAATATCATCCTTAGGCGAGAAGGCCAGATCTCCAAAATAGCTACCTTGTAGCTCTGTGTATTTTGGAGTGCTATGCATTCTGCATGCGGTCTCTAAAGGGCTGGAACTTCCCTGTTTCTAGGGTACCAAAATCTTGAACCGAAATCCACTGGCAGGAGTGGATTTGTACTATACTCCACCATCTCCATTTCCTAAGGACGGATCCCCTTTTGTTCTATTACCAGAATGACCTTGTGTTCTACCTGATGCTTCAGATATATATTTCAATAGCTTTTAGGGGTAAAAGTGGTTTTTGGTTACATGGATGAGCTGTATAGTGGTGAAGCTTGAGATTTTAGTGTACCCATCACTCAAGTAATGTACATTGTACCCGATAGGTAGTTTTTATCTCTCACCACCCCTTCCATCCTCTTCACTTCTGAGTTTCCAGTGTCCATTTTACCATTCTATATGCCTTTGCATACTTATCGCTTAGTTCCCACTTATAAGTGAGAACATATGGTATTTGGTTTTCCACTCATGAGTTACTTCACTTAGAATAGTGGCCTCCACCTCCATCCAAGTTGTTGCAAAAGACATTTCATTCTTTTTTGTCTTTTCACTTTCTTGATAATGCCCTTAAAATCTTTAATGAAGGGAAATTAATTAAAGTGAAAAGACAAAAAGTCTTCAATTTTTTAAAAAAGGTTTCTAATTTTGAAGAAGTCTAATTTATTTATTTTCTTGCTTGTGTTTTTAGTGTCATATCTAAGAATCCAGTAAAAAATCCAAGGTCGTGATGATTTACCTCTACATTTTTTTTTCAAAAAGCTTTATGATTTCAGATCTTATATATCTGGGTTGTTGATTCATTTGAGTCAACTGTTATATCTGGTGTGATGTAGAGTTCAACTTTATTCTTTTGCATGTGGAAATTCAATTTTTCTGGTATCATTTATTTCCCTATTGAATTGACTAGGTACCATTGTTACTAATTAATTGGCCATACATGTATTACTGTTTTTATTATTGTACTTTGCAGTAATTTTTTTTAAAAAATTTTAAGTTCCAGGGTACATGTGCAGTGTGTACAGGTTTGTTACATAGATAAACATGTGTCATGGTAGTTTGCTGCACCTATCAACCCATCACCTAGGTACTAAGCCCAGCATGCATTAGCTATTTTTCCTGATGCTCTTTAGTTTAATTATATTTCATTTGTCAATTTTTGCACTTGTTGCAATTGCTTTTGGTGCTTTCATCATAAAATCTTTGCCTGTGCCTATGTCCTGCATGGTATTGTCTAGATTCTCTTCTAGGATTTTTATAGTTTTGGGTTTTATATTTGCTAATTTTTGCAGTAAGTTTTAAATTGGGAAGTGTGAGTCTTCCAACTGTGTTCTTCTTTTTCAAGATTGTTTTGGCATTTGGGGCTTCTACTTTCATATGAATTTGAGGATTGGCTTTTCCATTTCTGTAAAAGAGGATGTTGGAATGTTGACTGAGATTGTGTAGAAACTGTAGATGACTTTGGGTGGTGTTGATATTTTAACAATATTAAGGCTAATGACTCATAAACATGGAATGTATTTCTATTTATTTAGGTCTTCTTTAATTACTGTCAACAATATTTTCTAATCTTCAGTGTACAAGTCATCCTTAAATTTATTCCTAGATCTTTTATTCTTTTTGATGCTGTTGTAAATGGAATTGCTTTCTTTATTTTCTTTTCATAATTTTTATTACATGTGAATAGAAGCACAACTTTTTTTTTTCTTGGCCTGGATCATGTACCTCGCATCTTTGCTGAATTGTTAATTAGCTGTAGTAGATTTCTTGTGAATTATTTGGATTATATAGGACCATGTCATCCATAAATAAAGATAATTTTCTTTCTTTCTTCCCAATTTGGATGCTTTTATCTCTTTTTCTTGTCTAATTGCTCAGACTATGACTCCCAGCACAATGTTTGGTAGCAGTGGAAAAATTAAGCATTCTTATATTTTTCTGATCTTGGAGTAAGCATTTAGATATTTTTTTTTTTTTTGAGACGGAGTCTTGCTTTGTCGCCCAGGCTGGAGTGCAGTGGCGCGATCTCGGCTCACTGCAAGCTCCACCTCCCAGGTTCATACCATTCTCCTCCCTCAGCCTCCCGAGTAGTTGGGACTACAGTGGCCTGCCACCGTGCCTGGCTAATTATTTTCTATTTTTTAGTAGAGACAGGGATTCACCATGTTAGCCAGGACGGTTTCATCTCCTGACCTTGTGATCTGCCTGCCTCGGCCTCCCAAAGTGCTGGGATTACAGGCATGAGACACCGTGCCTGGACAGCATTCAGTTTTATACCACTGAGTACAGTGTTAGTGGAGGGATTTTTTTTAAATAAATACTTTTTACCATGTTGAGGAAGTTCCCTCCAGTTCCTAGTTTATTTAGTTTTTGAAATACTTTAATTTTAAAAAATTTAATATTTGTGGGCACATAGTAGGTGTATATATTTTTGGGGTATATGAGACGTTTTGATACAGGCATGCAATGTGAAATAAACACATCATAGAGAATGGGGTATCCATCCCCTCAAACATTTATCCTTTGAGTTACAAATAATCCAATTAAACTCTTCAAGTTATCTTAAAATGTACAATTAAGTTATTATTGACTATAGTCACCCTGATGTAATACCAAATTGTAGGTCTTTATTATTATTATTATTATACTTTAAGTTTTAGGGTACATGTGCACATTGTGCAGGTTAGTTACATATGTATACATGTGCCATGCTGGTGCGCTGCACCCACTAACTCGTCATCTAGCATTAGGTATATCTCCCAATGCTATCCCTCCCCCCTCCCCCCACCCCACAGCAGTCCCCAGAGTGTGATGTTCCCCTTCCTGAGTCCATGTGTTCTCATTGTTCAATTCCCACCTGTGAGTGAGAATATGTGGTGTTTGGTTTTTGTTCATGCAATAGTTTACTGAGAATGATGATTTCCAATTTCATCCATGTCTCTACAAAGGACATGAACTCATCATTTTTTATGTCTGCATAGTATTCCATGGTGTATATGTGCCACATTTTCTTAATCCAGTCGATCATTGTTGGACATTTGGGTTGGTTCCAAGTCTTTGCTATTGTGAATAATGCCACAATAAACATACGTGTGCATGTGTCTTTATAGCAGCATGATTTATAGTCCTTTGTGTATATACACAGTAATGGGATGGCTGGGTCAAATGGTATTTCTAGTTCTAGATCCCTGAGGAATCGCCACACTGACTTCCACAATGGTTGAACTAGTTTACAGTCCCACCAACAGTGTAAAAGTGTTCCTATTTCTCCACATCCTCTCCAGCACCTGTTGTTTCCTGACTTTTTAATGATTGCCATTCTAACTGGTGTGAGATGGTATCTCATTGTGGTTTTGATTTGTATTTCTCTGATGGCCAGAGATGGTGAGCATTTTTTCATGTGTTTTTTGGCTGCATAAATGTCTTCTTTTGAGAAGTGTCTGTTCATGTCCTTTGCCCACTTTTTGATGGGGTTGTTTGTTTTTTTCTTGTAAATTTGTTTGAGTTTATTGTAGATTCTGGATATTAGCCCTTTGTCAGATGAGTAGGTTGTGAAAATTTTCTCCCATTCTGTAGGTTGCCTGTTCACTCTGATGGTAGTTTCTTTTGCTGTGCAGAAGCTCTTTAGTTGAATTAGATCCCATTTGTCAATTTTGGCTTTTGTTGCCATTGCTTTTGGTGATTTAGACATGAAGTCCTTGCCCATGCCTATGTCCTGAATGGTAATGCCTAGGTTTTCTTCTAGGGATTTTATGGTTTTAGGTCTAACGTTTAAGTCTTTAATCCATCTTGAATTGATTTTTGTATAAGGTGTAAGAAAGGGATCCAGTTTCAGCTTTGTACCTATGGCTAGCCAGTTTTCCCAGCACCATTTATTAAATAGGGAATCCTTTCCCCATTGCTTGTTTTTGTCAGGTTTGTCAAAGATCAGATAGTTGTAGATATGTGGCATTACTTCTGAGGGCTCTGTTCTGTTCCATTGATCTATGTCTCTGTTTTGGTACCAGTGCCATGCTGTTTTGGTTACTGTAGCCTTGCAGTATAGTTTGAAGTCAGGTAGTGTGATGCCTCCAGCTTTGTTCTTTTGGCTTAGGATTGCCTTGGCGATGCGGGCTCTTTTTTGGTTCCATATGAACTTTAGAGTAGTTTTTTCCAATTCTGTGAAGAAAGTCATTGGTAGCTTGATGGGAATGGCATTGAATCTGTAAATTACCTTGGGCAGTATGGCCATTTTCACGATATTGATTCTTCCTACCCATGAGCATGGAATGTTCTTCCATTTGTTTGTATCCTCTTTTATTTCCTTGAGCAGTGGTTTCTAGTTCTCCTTGAAGAGGTCCTCCACATCCCTTGTAAGTTGGATTCCTAGGTATTTTATTCTCTTTGAAGCAATTGTGAATGGGAGTTCACTCCTGATTTGGCTCTCTGTTTGTCTGTTATTGGTGTATAAGAATGCTTGTGATTTTTGTACATTGATTTTGTATCCTGAGACTTTGCTGAAGTTGCTTATCAGCTTAAGGAGATTTTGTGCTGAGACAATGGGATTTTCTAGATATACAATCATGTCATCTGCAAACAGGGACAATTTGACTTCCTCTTTTCCTAATTGAATACCCTTTATTTCCTTCTCCTGCCTAATTGCCCTGGCCAGAACTTCCAACACTATGTTGAATAGGAGTGGTGAGAGAGGGCATCCCTGTCTTGTGCCAGTTTTCAAAGGGAATGCTTCCAGTTTTTGCCAATTCAGTATGATATTGGCTGTGGGTTTGTCATAGATAGCTCTTATTATTTTGAAATATGTCCCATCAATACCTAATTTATTGAGAGTTTTTAGCATGAAGGGTTGTTGAATTTTGTCAAAGGCTTTTTCTGCATCTATTGAGATAATCATGTGGTTTTTGTCTTTGGCTCTGTTTATATGCTGGATTACATTTATTGATTTGCGTATATTGAACCAGCCTTTCATCCCAGGGATGAAGCCCACTTGATCATGGTGGATAAGCTTTTTGATGTGCTGCTGGATTCGGTTTGCCAGTATTTTATTGAGGATTTTTGCATCAATGTTCATCAAGGATATTGGTCTAAAATTCTCTTTTTTGGTTGTGTCTCTGCCCGGCTTTGGTATCAGAATGATGTTGGCCTCATAAAATGAGGTAGGGAGGATTCCCTCTTTTTCTATTGATTGGAATAATTTCAGAAGGAATGGTACCAGTTCCTCCTTGTACCTCTGATAGAATTCGGCTGTGAATCCATCTGTTCCTGGACTCTTTTTGGTTGGTAAACTATTGATTATTGCCACAATTTCAGCTCCTGTTAATGTTCTATTCAGAGATTCAACTTCTTCCTGGTTTAGTCTTGGGAGGGTGTATGTGTCGAGGAATTTATCCATTTCTTCTAGATTTTCTAGTTTATTTGCATAGAGGTGTTTGTAGTATTCTCTGATGGTAGTTTGTATTTCTGTGGGATTGGTGTTGATATCCCCTTTACCATTTTTTATTGCATCTATTTGATTCTTCTCTCTTTTTTCTTTATTAGTCTTGGTAGCAATCTATCAATTTTGTTGATCCTTTCAAAAATCCAGCTCTTGGATTCATTAATTTTTTGAAGGGTTTTTTGTGTCTGTATTTCCTTCAGTTCTGCTCTGATTTTAGTTATTTCTTGCCTTCTGCTAGCTTTTGAATGTGTTTGCTCTTGCTTTTCTAGTTCTTTTAATTGTGATGTTAGGGTGTCAATTTTGGATCTTTCTTGCTTTCTCCTGTGGGCATTTAGTGCTATAAATTTCCTTCTACACACTGCTTTGAATGCGTCCCAGAGATTCTGGTATGTTGTGTCTTTGTTCTCGTTGGTTTCAAAGAACATCTTTACTTCTGCCTTCATTTCGTTATGTATACAGTAGTCATTCAGGAGCAGGTTGTTCAGTTTCCATGTAGTTGAGCGGTTTTGAGTGAGATTCTTAATCCTGAGTTCTAGTTTGATTCCACTGTGGTCTGAAAGATAGTTTGTTATAATCTATGTTCTTTTACATTTGCTGAGGAGAGCTTTACTTCCAATTATGTGGTCAATTTTAGATTAGGTGTGGTGTAGTGCTGAAAAAAATGTATATTCTGTTGATTTGGGGTGGAGAGTTCTGTAGATGTGTATTAGGTCTGCTTGGTGCAGAGCTGAGTTCAATTCCTGGGTATCCTTGTTGACTTTCTGTCTCGTTGATCTGTCTAATGTTGACAGTGGGGTGTTAAAGTCTCCCATTATTAATGTGTGGGAGTCTAAGTCTCTTTGTAGGTCACTCAGGACTTGCTTTATGAATCTGGGTGCTCCTGCATTGGGTGCATATATATTTAGGATAGTTAGCTCTTCTTGTTGAATTGATCCCTTTACCATTATATAATGGCCTTCTTTGTCTCTTTTGATCTTTGTTGGTTTAAAGTCTGTTTTATCAGAGACTAGGATTGCAACCCCTGCCTTTTTTTGTTTTCCATTTGCTTGGTAGATCTTCCTCCATCCTTTTATTTTGAGCCTATGTGTGTCTCTGCACGTGAGATGGGTTTCCTGAATACAGCACACTGATGGGTCTTGACTCTTTATCCAATTTGCCAGTCTGTGTCTTTTAATTGGAGAATTTAGTCCATTTACATTTAAAGTTAATATTGTTATGTGTGAATTTGATCCTGTCATTATGATGTTAGCTGGTTATTTTGCTCGTTAGTTGATGCAGTTTCTTCCTAGTCTCAATGGTCTTTACATTTTGGCATGATTTTGCAGCAGCTGGTACCGGTTGTTCCTTTCCATGTTTAGTGCTTCCTTCAGGAGCTCTTTTAGGGCAGGCCTGGTGGTGACAAAATCTCTCAGCATTTGCTTTTCAGTAAAGTATTTTATTTCTCCTTCACTTATGAAGCTTAGTTTGGCTGGATATGAAATTCTGGTTGAAAATTCTTTTCTTTAAGAATGTTGAATATTGGCCCCCACTCTCTTCTGGTTTGTAGGGTTTCTGCTGAGAGATCCGCTGTTAGTCTTATGGGCTTCCCTTTGAGGGTAACCCGACCTTTCTCTCTGGCTGCCCTTAACATTTTTTCCGTCATTTCAACTTTGGTGAATCTGACAATTATGTGTCTTGGAGTTGTTCTTCTCGAGGAGTATCTTTGTGGTATTCTCTGTATTTCCTGAATTTGAATGTTGCCCTGCCTTGTTAGACTGGGGAAGTTCTCCTGGATAATATCCTGCAGAATGTTTTCCAGCTTGGTTCCATTCTCCCCGTCACTTTCAGGTACACCAGTCAGACGTAGGTTTGGTCTTTTCACATAGTCCCATATTTCTTGGAGTCTTTGCTCATTTCTTTTTATTCTTTTTTCTCTAAACTTCCCTTCTCACTTCATTTCATTCATTTCATCTTCCATCGCTGATACCCTTTCTTCCAGTTGATCGCATCGGCTCTTGAGGCTTCTGCATTCTTCAGGTAGTTCTCGAGCCTTAGTTTTCAGCTCCATCAGCTCCTTTAAGCACTTCTCTGTATTGGTTATTCTAGTTATCCATTCATCTAAATTTTTTTCAAAATTTTAAACTTCTTTACCTTTGGTTTGAATGTCCTCCCCTAGCTCAGAATAATTTGATCATCTGAAGCCTTCTTCTCTCAGCTTGTCAAAGTCATTATCCATCCAGCTTTTTTCTGTTGCTGGTGAGGAGCTGTGTTCCTTTGGAGGAGGAGAGTCGCTCTGCTTTTTAGAGTTTCCAGTTTTTCTGCTCTGTTTTTTCCCCATCTTTGTGGTTTTATCTACTTTTGGTCTTTGATGTTGGTGATGTACAGATGGGTTTTTGGTGTGGATGTCCTTTCTGTTTTTTAGTTTTCCTCTTAACAGACAGGACCCTCAGCTGCAGGTCTGTTGGAGTACCCGGCCGTGTGAGGTGTCAGTCTGCCCCTGCTGCGGGGTGCCTCCCAGTTAGGCTGCTTGTGGGTCAGGTGTCAGGGACCCACTTGAGGAGGCAGTCTTCCTGTTCTTAGATCTCCAGCTGTGTGCTGGGAGAACCACTGCTCTCTTCAAAGCTATCAGACAGGGACATTTAAGTCTGCAGAAGTTACTGTTGTCTTTTTGTTTGTCTGTGTCCTGCCCCCAGAGGTGGAGCCTACAGAGGCAGGCAGGCCTCCTTGAGCTGTGGTGGGATCCACCCAGTTGGAGCTTTCCGGCTGCTTTGTTTACTTAAGCAAGCCTGGGCAATGGTGGGCGCCCCTCCCCCAGCCTCACTGCCACCTTGCAGTTTGATCTCAGACTGCTGTGCTAGCAGTCAGTGAGACTCCATGGGCATAGGACCCTGCGAGCCAGGTGCGGGATATAATCTCCTGGTGCGCCATTTTTTAAGCCTGTTGGAAAAGTGCAGTATTCGGGTGGGAGTGACCCGATTTTCCAGGTGCTTTCTGTCACCCCTTTCTTTGACGAGGAAAGGGAACTCCCTGACCCTTTGTGCTTCCCGAGTGAGGCAATGCCTCACCCTGCTTCAGCTCACACACGGTGCGTGCACCCACTGACCTGTGCCCACTGTCTGGCACTCCCTAGTGAGATGAACCTGGTACCTCAGATGGAAATGCAGAAATCACCCGTCTTCTGTGTCACTGATGCTGGGAGCTGTAGACTGGAGCTCTTCCCATTCGGCCATCTTGGCTCCTCCCCCAGGAACAGTTTCTTCAGAATTTTTTATTTCTTTTTCACATAGTTAACTGTTAGTGTGTAGAAATGTAACTGATATTTGTTGACTTCATCTATTACAATTGTAATGAATTTGTTGATAAGATTTAATAGCCTTTTTATGGAGTCTTTATGTTTTTCTAAATATAAGAGCATCTCATCTGCAAACCGAGATAATGTTACTTATTCCTTTCCTATTTAAATGCCTGTTATTACTTTTTCTTACCCAATTGCTCTAGCTAAGACTACGGGTACTACGTTGAATAGAAGTGGCAAGAGTGGGCATACTTGTCTCCCTCCTGACCTTAGAAGAAAATCTTGCACCCCAGGGATAAATTCCACACTATCATGGTGTATGATTCTTTTAATGTACTGTAAAATTTGGTTTACTAGTGTTTTATTGAGGAGTATTGCATGTATGTTCATGAAAGATATTGGCCTGTTGTTTTGTTTTCTTGTAGTGTCCTTATCTGTCTTTGGTATTAGGGTAATGCTGGCTTTATCAAATGATTTAGAAGTGTTTCCTCATCATCATTTTTCTGAAAGAGTTTGAGATGGATTTGTATTAGTCCTTTAAATGTTGGTAGAACTCAGCCACATAGTCATCAAGTCCTTGGCTTTTCTTCGTTGGAAGATTTTTGATTATTGATTCAATTTCTGTACTTAGTATTGGTCTGTTTCATTTTTCTTTGTTCATCATTCTGTCTTGGTAGATTATATGTTTCTAGCAATTTATTCATATCTTTTAAGTTATGTGATTTGTTGGTGTATAATTATTTGTAATAGTCTCTTGTGATCCTTTGTATTTCTGTGGTATTAGTTGTAATATCTCCTCTTGTTTCTCTTTCGTTTATGGTTTTATGTATTTATTTCCTCTTTGTTTCTTAGTCTAGAAGATTTGCCAATTTTGCTTATCTTTTCAAAAACCCAACTCTTAGTTTTATTGCTCTTTATTATTTTATTCCCTATTTCATTTATTTCTGATCTAATCTTTATTATTTCCATTATTCTGCAATCTTTTAGCTTAGTTTGCTATGCTTTTCTAGTTTTTTGAGGTGTAAGTTTAGTTTTTTTTGAGACCTTTTAGTTTCATAATGTAGATGTTTTTCATTCACATTTTCCTCCTAGAACTGTTTTTGCTGTATCCTATAAGGTTTGGCGTGTTGTGTTTCCATTGTTTATTTGTATCAAGATATTTTGTATTTCCATTTTGATTTCTTCTTTGACCCTTTGGTTGTTCAGTAGTTTGTTGTTTAATTTCCATATATTAGTGAAATTTTCAGTTTTCTTTTTGTTACTGATTTGTAGCGTCATAGCCTAGTAGTTGGAAAAGATACTTGATATGATTTCAGTCTTCTTGAATTTGTTAAGACTTGCTTTGTGGCCTTACATATGTTGTATACAGATGAATGTTCTGTGTGTGCACGAGAAGAATGTATGTTTCATTGATATTGCATAGAGTGTTATATATATGCCTTTTCAGTCTATTTGATCCATAGTGTTGTCTAATCTGCTGTTTCTTTATTAATTTTCTTCATAGTTAACCTGTCAATTGTTGAGAACGGGGTATTAAAATCTCCTACTATTATTATATTTCTGTTTATTTCTCCTTTAATTAGGTTGGTTTTTGCTCTATATATTTATGTGCTGTAGTGTTTGGTGTATAAATATTTATCATTTTAATATCTTCTTTTTTGATAGTTCAATTTCTAAGCTTGTTTTGAAAATTTTATTTTTAATTTCTTTATACATAATAGATGTATATATTTATGGGATTCATGAGATGTTTTAATACAGGCATGAAATGGGTAATAATGGCAACATAAAGATGGCGTGTTCATCCCCTCAAGCATTTATCCTTTGGGTTACAAACAATTCAATTACACTTGTAATTTTTGTTATTTTAAAATGTACAATTAAATTATTATTGACTATAGTCACCCAGTTGTGCTATCAAACAGGTCTTTTTTATTCTTTCCAACTATTTATTTTTCATATCCAGTAACCATCCCCATCTCTTGTGTACCCTCCCACTATCATTCACAGCTTCTGGTAATCATCCTTCTGCTTTCTATCTCCATGAGTTCAATTGTTTTGACTTTATATCCCACAAATAAGTGAGAACATGCAAAGTTTGCCTTTAGGTGGTTGGCTTATTTCACTTAACGAAATGATCTCCAATTCCATCCATGCATCCATGTTGTTGCAAATGACAGGATCTCATTCTTTTTTATGTCTGTATAGTACCCCATTGTGTATGTGTACCATATTTTCTTTATCCACTAATTTGTTGATGGGTACTAAGGTTATTTCCAAATCATGGCTATTGAGAATAATGCTTCAACAAACATGGAAGTGGAGATATCTCTTCAATATACTGATTTCCTTCTTTAGAGTATATATCCAGCAGTGAGATTGCTGGATCATATGACAGCCAAATTTTTAGTTTTTTGAGGAATCTCCAAACTGTTTTCCATAATGGTTGTACTAAATTACATTCCCACCAAGAGTGTATGAGGGATCCCTTCTCTCCACATCCTCACCAACATTTGTTATTGCCGATCTTTGGGTATAAGCCATTTTAACAGAGGTGACATGATATCTTATTGTAGTTTTGATTTGCATTTCTCTGATGATCAGTGATGTTGAGCAGCTTTTCATATGCCTGTTTACCATTTTATGTCTTCTTTTGAAAACTGTCTATTAAAAATTTTAGCCAATTTTTTGATTGGATTATTAAAGAGTTTTCTCTACAGCTGTTTGAGCTGCTGATATATTCCAGTTATTAATCCCTTGTCAGATAGGTAGTTTGCAAATATTTTCTCCCATTCTGTTGGTTGTCTCTTCACATCATTGATTGTATTATTTGCTGTACAGAAGATTTTTAACTCAATGTGATTCCATTTGTCCATTTTTACTTAAATTGTGGGTGATTACTAAAAAAATTTTTGGACCAGACCAATGATCTGGAGAAGTTTCCCAATGCTTTCTTGTAGTAGTTTCACAGTTTGAGATTTTATATTTCAGTCATCAATCCATTTGGATTTGATTTTTATATATGGTGAGAGACAGGTGTCTGGTTTCATTCTTCTGCATATGAATATACAGTTTTTTTTCAGCATCACTTATTGAAAAGACTGTCTTTTCCCCAGTGTATGTTCTTGGCACCTTTGTACAAAATCAGTTCACTGCAGGTCTGTAGGTTTGTTTTTGGGTTCTCCGTTCTGTTCCATTGGTTTACATGTCTGTTTTTATGCCAGTACCATGCTGTCTTGGTTACTGTAGCTTTGTAGTATAGTTTGAAGTCAGATAATGTGATTTTTCCAGGTTTGTTCTGTTCACTTAGGATAACTTTGGTGACTCTGGGGTTTTTGTGGTTCCATATCAATTTTAGAATTGTTTTTTCTATTAATATTTTTATGAAGAATGACCTCGGTATTTTGATAGGCATTGTATGAAATCTGTAGATTGCTTTGGGTGGTATAAATATCTTAACACTATTGATTTTTTTCCAATATGTGAGCATGGAATATATTATCTTTTTAGTGAACTCTTCAATTTCTTCCATCAGTATTTTATCATTTTTATTATAGATATCATTCACTTCTCTGGTTAATTTCTAGGTATTTTATGTGTGGCTATTGTAAATGGAATTATGTTTCTAAACTCTTTTAAAATTGTTCTCTGCATATAGATATGTTACTGGTTTTTGTATATTGATTTTGTATTTTGCAACTTTACTGAATTTGTTCTAATAGTTTTTTCATGTGAAATCTTTAGGATTTTCCAAATATAGGATGATATTGTGTGCAAACAAGGATAATTTGACTTCTTCCTTTCCAATATGAATGCACTTTATTTCTTTCTTTTGTCTGACTGCTCTAGCTAGGACATCCAGTATTATGTTGACTAACATTCATGGAAATAGGCATTCTTGTCATGTTCCAGTTCTTAGAAGAAAGGCTTTCAGTTTTTTTCCCATTCAGTATGATACTACCTGTCATATATGGCTTTTATAATGTTGAGGTATGTTTCTTTTATCCTCTGTTTTTTGAGGGATTTTTGGTCATGAATGGATGTTGAAAATTATCAAACGCTTTTTCAGCATCAATTTAAATTATCTTTTTTTGTGGGTGGGGGTGGGGGGAAAGATGATCTCCCTCTGTTGCCCAGGCTGGAGTGCAATGGCACAATCTTGGCTCACTGAAACCTCTGTCTCCCAGACTCAAGCAATTCTCATGTCTCAGCCTCCTGAGTAGCTAAGATTACAGGTGTGTACCACTATGCTTAGATAATTTTTGTATTTTTTAGTAGAGATAGAGTTTTGCCATGTTGGCCAGACTGCTTTTGAACTTCTGGCCTCAAGTGATCCTCCTGCCTTGGCCTCCAAAAGTGCTGGGATTAAAGGTGTGAGCCACCAAGCCTGGCCTCATATGCTTTTTGTTCTTCCTTCTGTTTGTTTGATGTGTCATATTGATTGATTTGCATATGTTGAACCATCCTTGCATCCCAGAAATAAATTTCACTTGGGCATGATGATCTTCTTAATGTATTGTTGAATTCGATTTGCTACTATTTTGTTGAGGATTTTTGCATCAGTATTCATCAGTGATATTGGCCTATAGTTTTCTTTCTTTTTTATGGTTTTTTTTTTAAATCTGGTTTTGGTTTCAGCATCATACTGGCCTTGTAGAATGAGTTTGCAGGTATTCCCATCTTTACTATGTTTTGGAATAGTTTGGAATTTGTGGCAGTTTAAAAGAATATTTCATAGAATTCAGTGGTGAAGCCATCAGGTCCTGGACTTTACTGAGAGATTTTTTATTACTGCTTTGATCTTGTTACTGGTTATTGGTCTGTTCAGGTTTTAGTTTTCTTCCTGATTCACTCTTTGTAGGTTGTATCTAGGAATTTGTTCATTTCTTCTAAATTTCTGATTTATTGGGGTATAGTTGCTCATAGTAGGCATTTATGATCCATTCAGTTTCTGTGGTATCAGTTGTAATATCTCCTTTTTATCACTGATTTTCTTTATTTGGATCTTCTCTCTTTCTTAGTCTGGTTAAAGGTTTGTCAATTATGTTTAACTTTCCTAAATACTGACTTTTTGTTTCAATAACGTTTTGCATAATATTCTTTATTTCAAATTTTATTTATTTCTGCTCTGATCTTTATTTTATCTCTTTTTCTTTACTAATTTGGGGTTTCCTTTGCTCTTGCATTTCTATTTCCTTATGGTGTATCATTAAGTTGTTCATTTGAAGTTTTTATTCTTTTTATTTTTAATTTTTATTTTTTGGAGATGGGCTCTCACTCTTTCACCTGGGCTTTAGTGCAGTGGTATGATCTTGCCTCACTGCTACCTTCACCTCCCAGCCTCAAGATACCTTCCCACCTCAGCCTCCTGAGTATTTAAGAGCACAGGTACACACCACCATGCCCAGCTAAGTTTTATCTTATTATTATTATTATTATTATTATTTTGTATTTTTGGTAGAGACAGAGTTTTGCCATGTTGTACAGGTTGGTCTTGCACTTCTGTGCTCAAGCAATCAGGTTGTCTCAGCCTCCCAAGGTGTTGAGATTATGGGCATGAGACACCGTGCCTGGTCAGTTTTCAGCACTTATAACTATAAACTTCCCTCTTACTATTGTTTTTTTCTGTATTCCATATGTTTTGGGATGTTGTACTTTCATTATCTTTTGTTTCAATAAATTTTTCAAATTCCTTCTTAATTTCTTCACTGACTCACTGGATATTCAGGAGCATATTGTTCTATTTCCATATATTGGCATAGTTTCCAAAATTCTTTTTGTCATGGATTTCTAGTTTTATTCCACTGTGGTCTGAGAGGATGCTTGGTATTATTTCCATTTTGTGAATGTTTTAAGACTTCTTTTGTGACCTAGTATACAGTCTATTTTTGAGAATTATCCATGTGCTGAGGTAAAGAATGTGTGTTCTGTAGTCATTGAATAAAATGTTCTCTAAATAATAAATTCGTTTGGTCTCTAGTGCACGTTAATGTTTCTGATGTTTCTTTGTTGACTTTCTGTCTGGATAATCTTTCCAATGCTGAAGGTGGGGTGTTGAATTCTCAGCTATTATTATATTAAGTTCTATCTCTCTCTTTACCTCTAATAATATTAACTGTATATATCTGGGTACTCCACATATATAAGTTGATATATGTTGGGTGCATATATATTTAAAGTTGTTATATCCTCTTGGTGAATTGACCTTATTATCATTATATAGTGACTTTCTTTGTTTCTTCTTATAGTTTTTGTCTTGAAATCTATTTTTTCTTATGTTAGTGTGGCTGCTCCTACTCCTTTCTAGTTTCCATTGGCATGGGCTATCATTTTCAATCCTTTTATCTTTAGTCTATATGTGTCTTAATAGGTGAAGTGTGTTTCTTGTTGGCAACATATCAATGGGTCTTTTTTCTTTAATCAATTCAGCCAGTTTATGTCCTTTTATTGGAGAGTTTAGTCAATTTACAATCAATGTTATTATTGATAAGTGAGGACATACTCCTGCTGTTTTGTTATTTGTTTTCTTGCTCTTTTGTGGCCTTCTCTTCCTTCTTTCCTTCATGTCTTCCTTTTATTAAAGATAATTTTCTTTGGTGATATGATTTAGTTTTTGTTTTTGACTTTTATTTTTTGTGTATCTGTTCTATGTTTTTTGTCTTGAGTTACCATAAAACTTGCAAATACTTATAATCCATTATTTTAAACTGATAACAACTTAACACTTTCCATAAACAAGTAAGAAAGACCAAAACAATAAAAACTCTATGCCTTAACTTTGCCGTCCTTCTTTTAAACTTTTTGTTGTTTCTTTTTTTTTCTTTCTTTCCTTTTTTTTTGTGACAGAGTCAAGCTCTGTCCCAGGCTTGAGTGCAGTGGTGTGATCTCAGCTCACTGCAACCTCCACTTCCCAGGTTCAAGCTATTCTCCTGCCTTAGCCTCCTGAGTAGCTGGGATAACAGGCATGTGCCACCGCTCTTGGCTACTTTTTGTATTTTTAGTAGATACGGGGTTTCACCATGTTGGCCAGGCTGGTCTTGAACTTCTGACCTCATGATCTGCCTGCCTTGGCCTCCCAAAGTGCTAGGATTACAGGCATGAGCCACTGCACCCAGCTGTTGTTTCTATTTATATCTTATTGTACTATGTCCAAAAAAGTTGTAGTTATGTTTTCTTTTTGATTGGTTTCTCATTTAGCCTTTCTATTTAGGATAAGAGTAGGTTACACACCACAGTTACAGTGTTATAATATTTTTTGTTTTTGTGTGTACTTACTATTACCTGTGAGTTTTTTACACTCAAGTGATTACTTAGTGCTCATTAATGTCCTTTCCTGATTGAAGTACTCCCTTTAGCATTTCTTTTAGGATAGGACTGGTGTAGATGAAATCCTTCAACTTTTGTTTTTCTGGGAAATACTTTATTTCTTATTCATGTTTGATGTATACTTTTGCCAGATATACTATTAAAGGTAGGTAAGCTTTTTTTCCTTCAGTACTTTACATATGCCATGCCACTCTCTCTATGCTTGTGAGTTTTCCACTAAAATGTCTGCTGCCAGATGTATTGGAGTTCCATTTTATGTTATTTTATTTTTTATCTATAGCTGTTTTTAGGATCCTTTCTTTATCCTTGACCTTTGGGAGTTTGATTATTAAGTGACTTAAGGTAGTTTTCTTTGGGTTAAATCTGCTTGGTGGTCTATAATCTTCTTGTACTTGGATATTGATATCTTTCTCTATGTTTGGGAAGTTCTCTGTTATTATTCCTTTGGATAAACTTTCTACTCCTATCTTCATCTCTACCTCCTCTTTAAGCCAAATAGCTCTTAAATTTGCCCTTTTGAGGATATTTTCCAGATCCTGTAGGTGTGCTTCATTGTTTTATTTTCTTTCATTTTCTCTCACTGTGTATTTTCGGATCACCTGGCTTCAAGCTCACTGATTCTTTCTTTTGCTTGATTAATTCTGCTACTAAAAGACTCTGTTCAAGGCCAGGCTTGGTGGCTCATGCCTGTAATCTCAGCACTTTGGGATGCCAAGGAGAGCAGATCACCTGAGGTCAGGAGTTTGAGACCAGTTTGGCCAACATGGTGGAACCCCATCTGTACTAAAAATACAAAAATTAACCACGTGTGGTGGTGAGCACCTGTAATCCCAGCTACTTGGGAGGCTGAGGCAGGAGAATTGCTTGAACCCGGCAGGCGGAGGCTGCAGTAAGCCAAGATCATGCCATTGCACTCCAGTCTGGGGGGCAAAGCGAGACTTCATATCAAAAAAAAAAAAAAAGAAAGACTGTTCAATTCTTTAGTATTCCAATTGTATTCTTTAGCTCCAGAGTTTCTGATTGATTTTTTTATCATTTCAATCTCTTTGTGAAATTCATTTGATATAATTCTGAATTCTTTCTCATTGTTTTCTTGAATTTCTTTGAGTTTCCTCAAAACGGTTTGTTTGAATTCTCTATCTGAGAGGTCACACATCTCTATTTCTCTAGGATTTGTCCCTAGTGCTATATATATATATATATAATTTATTTTTTTCTTCAACTTTTATTTTAACTTCAGGGGTACATGTGCAGAATGTGCATGTTTGTTACATAGCTAAACATGCCATGATGGTTTGCTGCACAGATCATCCCAAAACCTAGGTGTTAAGCTCAGCATCCATTAGCTATTCCTCCTGATGCTCTCCCTCCCCCTACCTCCTGTCAGTCCCCAGTGTGTGTTGCTCCTTCTTATATGTCCATGTGTTTTTCTTTCCCCAACTCCTGCAACAGGCCTCGGTGTGTGTTGTTCCACCCATGTGTCCATGTGTTCTCATGATATAGCTCTCATTTGTAAATGAGAATATGTTGTGTTTTGTTGTTTCTGCATTAGTTTGCTGAGAATAATGGCTCCCAACTCCATCCATGTCCCTGCAAAGGACGTAATCTTATTCTTTTTTATGGCTGCATAGTATTCTATGGTGTATTTGTACCACATTTTCTTTATCCAGCCTATCACTGATGGGCATTTCGGTTGATTCCATGTCTTTGCTCTTGTGAATAGTGCTGCAATAAACATATGCATGCATGTATTTTTATAGTAGAATGATTCCTATTCCTTTTGGTACATACCCAGTAATGGGATTGCTGGGTCAGGTGGTATTTCTGGTTCTAGGTCTTTGAGGAATTGCCACACTGTCTTCCATAATGGTTAAACTAATTTACACTTCCATTAACAGTGTAGAAGTGTTCCTTTTTCTCTGCCACCTTGCCAGCATCTGTTATTTTTGACTTTTCAATAATCACCATTCTGACTGCTACAAGATCGTATCTCATTGAGGTTTTGATTTTCATTTCTCTAATGATCAGTGATGTTGAGTTTTTTTCCATATGATTCTTGGCCTCATGTGTGTCTTCTTTTGAGAAGTGTCTGTTCATGTCCTTTGCCCACTTTTTAATGTTTTTTTCCTTGTAAATTTGCTTAAATTCTTTCTAGACCCTGCATATTAGATTTCTGTCAGGTGGATACATTGCAAAATTTTTCTCCCATTCTGTAGGTTATCTGTTAACTCTAAGAATAATGACTTTTTTTTTTTTGCTGTGCAGAAGCTCTTTATTTTAATTGGATCTCATTTGTCAATTCTTGCTTTTGTTGCATTCGCTTTTGGCATTTTGTCATAAAATCTTTGCCATTGCTTATGTCCTGAGTGGTACTGCCTAGTTTTTCTTCTAGGGTTTTTATATTTTTGAGATTTACATTTAAGTGTTTAATCCATCTTGAGTTAATTTTTGTATATAGTGTAAGGAAAGGGTCCTGGTGCCTTACTTAGTTCATTTAGTGAGATTATATTTTTCTTGATTGTCTTCATACTTGTAAATGTTTGTCTGTGTCTGGGCATTGAAGAGTGCGTTATTTATGATAGTCTTTGCAGTGTGGGCTTTTTTGTACTGCTGTCCTTCTGAAGCATTTCCAGATATTCAAAAGGACTTGGGTGTTGTGATCTAAGCTATTGGCTTTAGGGGCACCCCAAGCCCAATAATGCTATGTTTCTTGCACACTCATAGAAGTACCACCTTGATGGTCTTGGAGAAGATTAAGAATTTTCTGGATTTCCAGGTAGAGATTTTTGTTCTCTTTCTCTCCTTTCTGCAAAACAAATGGAGTATTTTTCTCTGTTCTGGGCTACCTGAAGATGGGGCTGGAGTCATACAAGCACCACTGTGTCCATCATCACTATGATTGCACTGGGTCAGACCTTAAGCCAGCACAGCACTGGGTCTTGACCATGGCTTGCTGTACCCATTCCCAGGCTGATGTCTATGCTTATGCAAGGACCTGGCACTCTACAATCAGCAGGTAGCAAAGCCATCCAGGTCTATGCCCTTCTTTTCAGAGATGTGAGTTTCCACAGGCCTCAGAGGTGTTCAGGGGTGCCTTCTGGTATCAATGGACTAAATTAAAAAAACCTTAGAAATTTACCTGGCATTCTAATATATTGCAGCTGAGCTGGCACTTAAACCACAAGATACTGTCCTTCCCACTATTCCCTCCTCTTTTTAAAGGCATAGCAACCCATCCCATTGCCCCTGGCACCACAGACCCACAGGAAATACTGCCGGACTACTGCAGTGTTCCCTTAAAACCCAAGGACCCTTTAGTCAGATCGTGTGAGTGCTTCCTGGCCTGGGACTCACCTTTCAGGGCAATGGGCTCCACTCTGTCCGAGGACAGGTCCAGGAATGCTATCTAAGTGCCAAGTCCTGGAGTCAGAGACCCCAAGAGCCCACTTCTTGCTCTACCCCTCTGGCTGAGCTGGTACCTAAGGTACAAGACAAAGTCCTCTTTATTTTCTCCTAATTTTCTCAAACAGAAGGAGTCTTGCCTCATAATTACCACAGCTGGTAAAGTGCTGACTCTCACCTGAAGTCAGCATGTCTTAGGGTCTTATCTAAGGCCCTCAATGTAGTACCTGGGTATCGCGGCTGATTATTCAGGGCTGAAGGGCTCTTCAGTTAGCAGGTGATGAATGCTGCCAGGACTGTGTTCTTCCTTTCAAGGCAGCAGTTCTCCTTCTGGCCTAGGGAGTGTCTAGAAATCTTTTCTAGGATCTAGGACTGGAAATGGGGCCTCATGAGTCTAAGCCATGCCCCATTCTGGTGTGGCTGAGCTGGTGTCTAAAATGCAAGACAAAGTCCTCTCCATTGTTTTTTCTCTCCTTCTCAAGTGGAAAGACAGGGTCTGTTTTGCAGCCATAAGCTGTGCAGCCTGGGGTTAGGGGAGGGGTGATGACAGCACTCCCTCAGCTGCCTCGGCTAGTTTCTCAGTATGTCGTGTACCACCCTCCACTCACAAAGTTCATTGTCTTTGGGCCCAGTTCAGCACTAAGCCTCATCTAGGAGTTGCAGCCCATGTGGTCTAGAATTCTTTTCAGGTTTATTTAGAGGCCAAGAGCACTTTTGCTTGCTGTGGCAAAGCTTGCAGAAAGTCAACTTCCAACCATGGAATTGGCTTCTCTTTGGCTAGGGTTGGTTTAAATGCTTTCTTCATGGGTGAGCATCAGCTGAGTTTGGTCGGGTTTTGCTTTCTGTTATTATAGGATAGCACTGAGTTCAATGCCTTACAATTGCTGTGCTCCCCCTCCACCAGTGCACAGCAGCTGCACTCTGTAGCATTCTGCCACTGTCACGTGATGGAGCAGGGGTGGCGTCAGTGATTTAAGATTTTTTTTGTTCCTCTTCTGTGCCTCTTTCTGTGATAAGAAATTAACACTAAATAATGTGAATGCTAACCTGTTTTTGTTTTTTATGAAGGTGCTTTTTTGTGTAAATAGTTGTTAAATTGGTGTCCTTGACAGGGGACAATCAGTAGAGCCTTCTATTCCATCAACTTGTTCCATCTCTTCCCTTTTTAAGCATCTGCTATGTATGTCTTTTTGATAAAATGACTTCTTTATCAAGATATAATAACCTTCTTGGCACGTGTGAGAGCTTTTGACTTAGAGTCTATATTTTCTTGTATAAGTATAGCCACTCCTGTTCTCTTTGGGTTATCATTTTCCTGAGGTGTCTTTTTCTATTCCTTCACTTTCTGCCTATGTGTGTTGTTAAAGGTAAAGTCTCTTGTAGGCAGTATATAGTTAGCTCTTTTTTTTCACAAATATATTCAGCACTGTATGTCTTCTAATTAGAGGATTTAAACCACTTATATACAAAGTTATATAGACAGGTGAGGACTTACTATTGTCATTTTTTATTGTCCTCTGACTCTTGTAGTTTTTCTGTTCCTTTCTTCTTTTCTTATTGTCTTCTTTTTGATTTGATATCTGTTGCGGTGTGCTTTGATGTCTTGTATTAATCTTTTGTTTAACTACTATGGTAAAACAAAGGTTTTTCCTTTGTCTTTACCATGAGACTTACATAAAATATCTTATATTTATGATATCCTATTTTAAGATGATACAACTATATTTGATCACATACAAACACTTTATAGTTTTACTTCTTCTGCAATTTCAAATTTTAGCTCATTGATGTTACAAAATCTTTTATTTCAAATATTGTTTATCCAATAATAAATTATTGTAGTTACAGTGATTTTAGAGTGACACCTAACTTTTTATTTTGAAACAGGTATAGATTTACAAGACGTTACAACAATAGTGTAGAAGGATCTCTTGTACCCTCCATTTAATTTTCTGCAATGATTACATCTTATTTATAATACAATATCAAAAGTAGAAAATTGACATTAGTTCAATATGTGTGTTTCGTCCCATATCTTTTTTATCACAAATGTAGATGGATACAGCCACCACTGCTATCAAGATAGAGAATATTTCCATCACAAATATTCTTTTAAAAGTATTTATTTTACTTTAAGTTCAGGGACACATGTGCAGGACATGCAGTTTGTTACATAAGTATACGTGTGCCATGTTGGTTTGCTGCACCTATTGACCCATACTCTAAGATTTCTCCCCTTGCCTCTTACCCCCCAACAGGCCCAGGTATGAGTTGTTTCCCTTTCTGTACCCATGTGTTCTCATTGTTCAACTCCCACTTATGAGTGAGAACATGTGGTGGTTGGTTTTCTGTTCCTGTGCTAGTTTGCTGAGGATGATGCCTCCCAGCTTCATCCATGTCCCTGTAAAAGACATGATATCATTCTTTTTTATGGCTGCATAGTATTCCATGGTGTATATGTACCACATTTTCTTTATCCAGTCTATCATTGATGGACATTTGGGTTGGTTCCATGTCTTTGCTATTGCAAATAGTGCTGTAATAAACATATGTATGTATGTGACTTTATGGTAGAATGATTTATATTCCTTTGGGTATATACCCAGTAATGGGATTGCTGGGTCAAATGGTATTTCTGGTTCTACATCCTTGAGGGATTGCCATTCTGTCTTCCACAATGGTTGAACTACTTCACATTTTTACCAACAGTGTAAAAGCATTCCTATTTTTCCACAGCCTCACCAGCATCTATTGTTTCTTGATTTTTAATAATTGCCATTCTGACTGGCATGAGATGGTATCTCATTGTGGTATTTATTTGCATTTCTCTGATGATCAGTGCTGTTGAGCTTTTATTCATATGTTTGTTGACCATGTAAATGTCTTCTTTTGAAAAGTGTGGTTTTGATTTGCCTTCCTCTAATGAGCAGTGATGTTGAGCTTTTGTCATATATTTGTTGGCTGCAAAAAGTTCTTCTTTTGCTAAGTGTCTGTTCATATTCTTTGCCCCTTTTTTGATGGTGTTGTTTGTTTGTTTCCTTGTAAATTTGTTAATGTTCCTCGTAAATTCTGGATATTAGCCCTTCGTCAGATGGGTAGATTGCAAAATTTTTCTCCCATTCTGTAAGTTGCCTGTTCACTCTGATGACAGTTTCTTTTGCTGTGTAGAAGCTCTTTAGTTTAACAAGATACCATTTGTCGATTTTGGCTTTTGTTGCAATTGCTTTTGGCATTTTCATCAGGAAGTCTTTGCCCATGCCTATGTCCAGAATGGTATTGCCTAAATTTTCTTCTATAGTTTTTATGGTTTTGGGTTTTACGTTTAAGTCTTTAATCCATCTTGAGTTAATTTTTGTATAAGGTGTAAGGAAAAGGTCCAGTTTCTGTTTTCTGCATATGGCTAGCCAGTGTTCCCAGCACCACTAATTTAATAGAAGATCCTTTCCCCATTGCTTGTTTTTGCCAGGTTTGTCAAAGATCAGATGGTTGTAAATGTGTGGTGTTACTTCTGAGGTCTCTGTTCTGTTCAATTGGTTTGTATGTCTGTTTTGGTACCAGTACCATGCTGTTTTGGTTACTGTAGCCTTGTAGTATAGTTTGAAGTCAGGTAGCATGATGCCTCCAGCTTTGTTCTTTTTGCTTAGGATTGTCTTTGCTCTATGGGGTCACCTAAGATTCCATATAAAATTTAAAGAAGATTTTTCTAATTCTGTGAAGAGTGTCAATGGTAGTTTGATGGGAATAGCACCAGATCTATGAATTATTTTGGGCTGTATGGCCTTTTTCACGATATTGCTTCTTCCTATCCATGAGCATGGAATGTTTTTCCATTTGCTTGTGATCTCTCTTATTTCCTTGAGCAGTGGTTTGTAGTTCTCCTTGAAGAGGTTCTTTACATCCTTTGTTAGTTGTATTCCTAGGTTTTTTATTCTCTTTGTAGCAATTGTGAATGGGAGATCATTCATGATTTGGCTCTCTGCTTGCCTATTGTTGGTGTAACAAATGCTTGTGATTTTTGCACATTGATTTTGTATCCTGAGACTTTGCTGAAGTTGCTTATAGTTCAAGAAGTTTCTGGGCTGAGATGATGGGGTTTTCTGCTGAGACCAGCTCAGTCAGGGAGACCCTAACCCAGCAGTGCTAGAGGAATTAAAGACACACACAGAAATATAGAGGTGTGAAGTGGGAAATCAGGGGTCTCACAGCCTTCAGAGCTGAGAGCCCCGAGCCGAGATTTACCCATGTATTTATTAACAGCAAGCCAGTCATTAGCATTGTTTCTATAGATATTAAATAAACTAAAAGTATCCCTTATGGAAAACGAAGGGGTGGGCCAAATTAACTAGTTGGGCTAGTTAACTGCAGCAGGAGCATGTCCTTAAGGCACAGATCACTCATGATATTGTTTGTGGCTTAAGAATGCCTTTAAGAGGTTTTCTGCCCTGGGCAGGCCAGGTGTTCCTTGTCCTCATTCTAGTAAACACACAACCTTCCAGCATGGGCACTATGGCCATCATGAACATGTCACAATGCTGCAGAGATTTTGTTTGTGGCCAGTTTTGGGGCCAGTTTATGGCCAGATTTTGGGGGGCTTGTTTCCAACAGTTTTCTAAATATAAAATTATGTCATCTGCAAACAGAGACAGCTTGACTTCCTGTCTTCCTATTTGAATACCCTTTATTTCTTTCTCTTGCCTGATTGCTCTGGCCAGAATTTCCAATACTCTGTTAAATAGAAGTGATGAGAGGGCATCCTTTTCTTGTACTGGTTTTCAAAGGGAATGGTTCCAGCTTTTACCCATTCAATGTGATATTGGCTGTGGGTTTGTCATAAATAGCTCTTATAATTTTGAGATATGTTCCATCAATACTTAGTTTATTGAGACTTTTAAACATGAAAAGATGTTGAATCTTATAAGGGTCTGCTTCTGCATTTATTGAGATAATCATGTTTTATTTGTCATTGGTTCTGTTTATCTGATGGATTATGTTTATTGATTTGTGTATGTTGAACCAGCCATGCATCCTGGGGATGAAGCCAACTTGATCATCATGGATAAGTTATTTGATGTGGTGCTGCGTTCACTTTGCCAGTATTTGTTTGAGGATTTTTGAATCAATGTTCATCAGAGATATTGATTTTAAGTTTTTGGTTTTTTTTTTTTTTTTTTTTTTTTTTTTGTCTCTGCTCGGTTTTGGTATCAGGATAATGCTGGCATCATAAAATGAGTTAGGGAAGAGTCCTTCCTTTTCAGTTGTTTGGAATAGTTTTAGACAGAATCGTACCAACTCCTCTTTGTACCTCTGGTAGAATTCAGCTGTGAATCTGTGTGTCCTGGGCTTTTTTTGATTAGTAGGCTAATAATTACTGGCTCAATTTGAGAATTGTTTTTTGTCTATTCACCGTTTCCACTTCTTCCTGGTTTAGTCTTGGTAGGGTGTATGTGTCCAGGAATTTATCCATTTATTGTAGACTTTCTAGTTAATTTGCATAGACCTCTACATAGTATTCTCTAATGGTAGTTTGTATTTCTGTGGAGTCAGTGATAATATCCCCTTTATAATTTTTTATTATGTCTATTTGATCTTCTCTCTCTTCTTCTTTATTACTCTAGCTAGTAGTCTATCTATTTTGTTAGTTTCTTCAAAAAGCCAGCTCCTGGATTCATTGATATTTTGGAGGGTTTTTCATGTCTCTATTTCCTTCAATTCTTTTCTGATCTTAGTTATTTCTTGCCTTCTGCTAGCTTTTAGATTAGTTTGCTTTTGCATCTCTAGCTGTTTTAACTGTGATGTTAGGATGTCAATTTGAGATCTTTCTAGCTTTCTAATGTGGGCATTTTAATGCTATAAATTTCCCTGTTAACACTGCTTTATCTGTGTCCCAGAGATTCTGGTACATTGTCTCTTTGTTTTACTGGTTTCAAAGAACTTCTTGATGGCTGCCTTAATTTCATTATTTACCCAGGAGTCACTCAAAAACAGATTGTTCAATTTCCATGTAGTTGTGTGGTTTTGAGCGAGTTTTTTAATCCTGAGATCTAATTGATTGCACTGTGCTCTGAGAGACTGTTTGTTATGATTTCAGTTCTTTTCCATTTGCTGAAGAGTGTTTTACTTTCAATTTTGTGGTTTATTTTATTTTATTTCCAATTTACTTTTCTTTTTAAATTTTTTTCATTTTCATTTTTATTTATTTATTTTATTTTTCCATAAGTTATTGAGTTACAAGTGGTATTTGGTTACATGAGTAAGTTCTTCAGTGGTGATTTGTGAGATTTTGGTGCACCCATTACCTGAGCAGTATACACTGCACCATATTTGCAGTTTTTTATCTCTCGTCCCACTCCCACTCTTACCCTCAAGTCCCCAAAGTCCATTGTATCATTTTTATGCCTTTGTGTCCTTATAACTTAGCTCCCACATATCAGTGAGAACATATGATGTTTGGTTTTCCATTCCTGAGTTACATCACTTAGACTAATAGTCTCCAATCTCATTCAAGTCACTGAAAATGCTGTGAATTCATTCCCTTTTATGGCTGAGTGTTATTCCATCATATATATATATATATATATACATATACACCACAGTTTCTTTATCTTCTCATTGACTGATGGGCATTTGAGTTGGTTCCACGATTCTACAATTGTGAATTGTGCTGCTATAAACATGTGTGTGCAAGAATCTTTTTTGAACAATAACTTCTTTTCCTCTGGGTAGATACCCAGTAGCAGAATTGCTCGATCAAATGGTAGTTCTACTATTAGTTTTTAAAGCAATCTCCACACTGTTTTCCATAGAGGTTGTACTAGACTACATTCCCACCAGCAGTGTAGAAGTGTTACCTGATTACCGCATTCATGGTAACATCTACTGTTTTTTGATTATGGCCATTCTTGCAGGAGTAAGGCGGTATTGCATTGTGGTTTTGATTTGCATTTCCCTGATCATTAGTGATGTTGAACATTTATTCATATGTTTGTTGGCCATTTGTATATCTTCTTTTGAGAATTTTCTACTCATGGCCTTAGCCCACTTTTTGATGGGATTGTTTGTTTTTTTCTTACTGATTTGTTTGAGTTCACTGTAGATTCTGGATATTAATTCTTTGTGAGATTTATAGATTGTGAAGATTTTCTCCCACTGTGTGGGTTGGTCTCTTTATCCTCCTGACTGTTCCTTTTTCTGAGCAAAAGCTCTTTAGTTTATTTAGGTCCCAGCTATTTATCTTTTTTTTTTTTTTTTTCCGGAGTCTTTTTTTTTTTTTGTATTGTTTTCTTGTTTCAATTTCATTTAGTTCTGCCTTGATCTTGGTTTTTTCCTTTCTTCTGCTGGGTTTGGTTTCAGTTTGTTATTGTTTCTCTTGTTCCTTGTGGTGTGACCTTATATTTGTTTTTGTGCTCTTTCGGACTTTTTGATGTCGGCATTTAGGGCTATAAACTTTCCTTTTAGCACCACCTTTGCTGTATCCCAGAGGTTTTTATAGGTTGTGTCATTATTGTCATTCAGTTCAAGGAATTTTTAAATTTTCATCTTGATTTTGTTTTTGACCCAATGCTCATTCAGGAGCAGGTTATTTAATTTCCATGTATTTGGATAGTTTTGGAGATTCCTTTTGGGGTTGATTTTCAGTTTTATTTCACTATGGTCTGAGAGAGTGCTTGATATAATTACAATTTTCGTAAATTCTTTGAGCCTCATTTTATGGCCTATCTTACGGTCTATCTTGGAGAAATATCCATGCACTGTTGAATAGAATATGCATTCTGTGGTTGTTGGATGAAATGTTCTGTATATGTCTGTTAAGTCAATTTGTTTGAAGATAAGGTTTAAATCCGTTGTTTCTTTGTTGACTTTCTGTCCTGATGACCTGTCTAGAGCTGTCAGTAGAGTACTGAATTCCCCCAGTATTATTGTGTTGCTTCCTATCTTTTTTCTTCAGTCTGTTAGTAATGGTTTTACAAATTCGGGAGCTCCAGTGTTAGGTGCAAATATGTTTAGGATTGTGATATTTTCTTGTTGGACAAGGTCTTTTACCATTATATACGGTTCCTTTTTGTCTCTTTTAACTGCTGTTGCTTAAAGTTTGTTTTGTCTGATATAAGAATAGCTATCCCTGGTCTCTTTGGTGTCCATTTGCCTGAAATGCCTTTTTCCACCCCTTTACCTTAAGTATATGTGCATCTTTATGTGTTAGGTAAATTTCCTGAAAGCAACAGATAGTTGATTGGTGAGTTCTTATCCCTTCTGTGGTTCTGTATCTTTTAAGTGGAACATTTAGGCCATTTACATTTAATGTTGATATTAAAATGTGAGGTACTGTTGCTTTAATCCTGCTCTTTGTTGCCTGCATATTTTGTTTTTTCTTTTTTTGTTTTTGCTTTTTAACTTGTACTTTTATTTTATGGGTCTTGTGTGATTTATACTTTAAAGAGGTTCTGTTTTGATGTGCTTCCAAGATTTGTTTTAATATTTAGAGCTCCTTTTAGCAGTTCTTGTAGTGGTAGCTTGGTAATGGCAAATTCTCTTAGCATTTGTTTGTCTGAAAATAACTGTATCTTTCCTTCATATATGATGCTTAGTTTCCCTGGATACAAACTTCTTGGTTGATAGTTGTTTTGTTTCAGGAGGCTGAAGATAGGGCCCCAATCCCTTGTAGCTGGTAGGGTTTTTGCTAGGAAATCTGCTGTAAATCTGATTTTCCTTTATAGGTTACCTGGTGCTTCTGTCTTACAGTTTTAAGATTATTTCCTCCATCTTAACTTTAGATAGCATGAGATGACAATGTGCCTAAGCAAATATCTCTTTGTGATGAATTTCTCAGATATTCGTTGTCCCTCTTGTATTTGGATGTCTAGGTCTCTTGCAAGGCCAGTGAATTTTTCCTCAATTAGTCCTCAAAATATGTTTTCCAAGTTTTTAGAATTCTCTTCTTCCTCAGGTACACTGATTATTCTTAGGTTTGGTTGTTTAACATAATCCCAGACTTCTTGGAGGCTTAGTTCATATTTTCTTTGTCTTTGTTGGATTGGGTTAATTTGAAGATTTTGTCTTTGAGCTCTGAATTTATTTCTTCTACTTGTTCAATTCTATTGCTGAGACTTTCCAGAGCATTTCACATTCCTAAAAGTATTTCCAAAGTTTCCTGTAATTTTGACTTTTTTATTTAAGCTATCTATTTCCATAAATATTTCTCCTTTCATTTCTTGTATCTTGTTTTGGATTTCCTTGCATTGGGCTTTGCCTTTTGCCAGCCCCTCCCTGATTAGCTTAATAACTAACCTCCTGAGTTCTTTTTCAGGTAAATCAGGGATTTCTTCTTGGCTTGGATCAATTGCTGGTAAACTAGTGTGATTTTTGGGGGGTGTTGATTAGCCTTTATTTGTCATATTACTAGGGTTGGTTTTCTGTTCTTACTTGGGTAGGCTCTGTCAGAGGGAAGGTCTAGGGCTGAAGGTTGTGTGTTCAAATTCTTTTGTCCCATGGGGTCCCTTGATGTAATACTCTCCTTTTTTTATTTCCCATAGGTGTGACTTTCTGTGAGCTGAACTGCAGTTATTGTCTCTCTTCTGGGTCTAGCCACCCCGTGAGTCTACCCAGCTCTGGGCTGGTACTGGGGGTTGTCTGCACAGAGTCCTGTGATGTGAACTGTCTCTGGATCTCTCAGCCATAAATACCAGCACGTTTTCTGGTGGAGGTGGCAGAGGGTTCAGTGGATTCCATGAGGACCCTTAGCTTTGGTGGTTTAATGTTCTATTTTTGTGCTGGTTGGTCTCTTGTCAGGAGGTGGCAATTTCCAGAATGCATCAGCTATAGTAGTTGGAGAGGAACCGGTGGTGGACTTGGCTCTAAAACTTCAAAGATTATATACCCTTTGTCTTTCACTACCTGGGTGGATAGGGAAGGACCATCAGGTGCTAGTGGGGCTAGGCGTGTCTGAGCTTAGACTCTCCTTGGGCGTGTCTTGTTGATGCTGTGGGGGATAGGGGTGTTATTCCCGTGTACTTAGGAGGATTACGGCTCATCTGCTGTCATACAGGTTGTCAGGAAAGTGGGGAAAAGCTGGCAGTCACTGTCCTCACCCAGCTTCTTCACAAACCACAAACCGAAGGGCCAGTCTCACTCCCGCAGTGCTCCCCACAGCAGCCCTGAGTCTGTGTCCAGACGGAGGGTGAGACAGGCTTGAAAACTTGCCTGAGGCTATCTGCTGCCCAGCTGTGAAAAAAAAAGGGCTTTAGTTCTTCCCTGACCTGTGAAGTTTTCACACCTAATTTGCGCCCTCCTGTGAGTGCTGGCGGGAGGCTTCTCACCGTATTCAATTTTTTACAAAGTTCAGCTAGAGAATTCCTTCTCCCTGTGGAGTTTTACCCCTTGCTTCTCTGGTCACCCACCCGATGGATCCTTGTGGTGCCAGGCAGGAATGGCCTGCTTGGAGACGCAGCGAGCTCCCAGGGCCTTTCTGCTGCTTCCTCTACTCTTGTATTTTGCTTGGTTCTCTAACTTGACCGAGCTCCAGGTAAAGTCAGAAACTTCTCCTGCAAACAGATCTTCAGCTTCTCCACTGGGGGTGTGTATTCAAGACAGGAGGGTCTCCCTTTCCCAGTTCCGTAGTTGGGGCACACACAGTATTTCAGGTGTCTCCCAGGTCCTGCAGGAGCAATCTGCTTCCTTCAGAGGGTCTGTTGGTCCTCTCAAGATTGTTGGTTTGTTCTTGCAGTCAATCTAGAGCTAAAATTCTCGGTGCAAGCCGCCACATGCTGCTCTGTCTGGAGCCACAATCTAGTTCTGCCTCCCATCTGCCATGATCACTCTCCTGATTTTAGAATAAGTACCATGTGTCACTGAGAAGAATGTATTTTTTGTTCATTTGGGGTAGAGGGTTCTGTAGATGTATATTAGGTCCACTTTATCCAGAGCTGAGTTCAAGTTCTGAATATCCTTGTTTACTTTCTGTCTCATTGAGCTGTCTAATATTGACAGTGGGGTGTTAAACTCTCCCACTATTATTGTGTGGGAGTCTAAGTCTCTTTGTAGATCTCTAAAAGCTTGTTTTGTGAATCTGGGTGCTCCTGTATGGGTGCATATATATATATTTAGGATAGTTAGCTCTTTTTGCTGAATTGTGCCCTTTACCATTATGTAAGCCCTTTTTTGTCTTTTTTGATCTTTGTTGGTTTAAAGTCTGTTTTGTCAGAGACTAGGATTGCAACCTCTGCTGTTTTTTTGCTTTCCATTTGCTTGGTAAATTTTCCTCCTTCCCTTTATTTTGAGCCTATGTGTGTCTTTGCACATGAGATGGGTCTTCTGAACACAGCACATCGATTGGTCTTGACTCTTTATCCAATTTGCCAGTCTCTGTCTTTTAATTGGGGCATTTAATCCATTTGCATTTAAGCTTAGCATTTTTATGTGTAAATTTGATTCTGTCATCATGATGCCATCTGGTTATTTTGCACACTAGTTGATGCAGTTTCTTCATAGTGTCATTGGTCCTTATATTTTGGTGTTTTTTTTTGCAGTGGCTGGTACTGATTTTTCCTTTCCATATTTAGTGCTTCTTTCAGCAAAGCAGGTTTGGTAGTAACAAAATCCCTCAGCATTTGCTTGTCTGGAAAGGATTTTATTTCTCCTTTGCTTATGAGGCTTACATTGGCTGAATATGAAATTCTGGGTTGAAAATTATTTTATTTAAGAATGTTTAATATTGGCCCCCAGTCTCTTCTGGCTTGTAGATTTTCTGCTGAGAGGTCTGCTGTTAGTCTGATGGGCTTTGCTTTGTAGGTTACCCGGCCTTTCTCTCTGGTTGCCCTTAATATTGTTTCCTTCATTTAAACCTTGGACAGTCTGATGATTATGTGTCTTGTGGTTGATCTTCTCGTGGAGTATCTAATGGTGTTCTCTGTATTTCTTGAATTTGCACGTTGGCCTGCCTTGTTAGGTTGGGGAAGTTCTCCTGGATAATATCCTGAAGTGTGTTTTCCAGCTTGTTTCCATTCTCCCCATCTCCTTCAATCATTTCCAGTCAATCATAGTTTCAGTCTTTTTATTATGTCCCATATTTCTTGGAGGCTTAGATCGTCCCTTTTCATTCTTTTTTCTCTAATCTTGTCTGCATGACTTATTTCAGCAAGGTGGTCTTCAAACTCTGATATTCTTTCTTTTGCTTGGTTGATTCAGCTATTGACATTTGCATATGCTTCATAAATTTCTCATGCTGTGTTTTTCAGCTCCATCAGATTATTTATGTTCCTCTCTAAACTGGTTATTCTAGTTAGCAGCTCCTCTAACCTTTCATCAAGATTCTTAGCTTATTTGCATTGGGTTAGAACATGCTCCTTTAGCTCAGTAGAGTTTTTTATTACCCACCTCCTGAAGCCTTCTTCTGTCAATTCATCCATCTCATCTTTTTTCCAGTCCTGCACCCTTGCTGGAGAGGCATTGTGGCCATTTGGAGGAGAAGAGACACTCTGGTCTTTTTGGTTTTCAGCATTATTTTGTTGATTCTTTCTCATCTTTGTGAGTTTGTCTAGTTCCAATCTTTGAGATTGCAGACCCTTGAATGGGGTTTTTGTGGGGACTTTTTTATTGTTGATGCTCTCACTGTTGATCTTTTCTTGTCTATTTTTCTTTCAATGGTCACTTACCTCTTCTGTTGTGCTGCTGTGATTTGTTGGGGGTTTACTTCATGCCCTATTCATCTGGTCTGCTCCCATGCTTGGAGATGTCTCTCAAAAAGGCTGGACAACAGCAAAGGTGGGTTCCTGCTCCTTTTTGTGGGATCTCTGACCTTGAGAGGCACCAACCTTATGCCAGTAGGATCACCTCTGTATAGAATGTCTGAAAACCCCTGTTCGAGGATATCACCAAGTTGGGTGGCATGGGGAGCAGGACCCATTTAACAAGACACTTTGACTGTCCCTTGGTGGAGGGTGTGTGGTTGGCTGGGGGGAAGTCCACTCATCTGGGCTGCCCTGGATTCCTCAGAACTACCACGAAGAAAGGCTAAGTTTGCTGGTCTGCAGAGACTGTGGCCACCACTCTCCCTAGAGGCTCACGCCCAGGGAGATCTGGGTTCTCTCCCTGAGCCTCTGACTGGAGTTATTGGTTTCTGCAGGGAAGCCCCACCCAGTGAGGATGGATGGTTCAGGGTCAGGCTTGAAGATGTGCTTTGGCTGGAGTGTGCCACAGCTGGTGTGTTGGTTTGTGGGGGATACCTCTTGGGACCAAGCCGTCTAGCTTCCCTAGCTCCAGCATGGGAGAAGCAGGGCCTGGAGCTATAGAGATGGATGCCCCCTTCCCCCCCATCCAGGGAGCTTAGTGTGTTAGGTAGTTATGAGTCCCAGTGCTGGCTGCTGCCCCTCACCCAAGGAGCTCAGACGGCTTATGCAGCAGGCAGCCGCAGCTAGGGTGATGGTTGTCCCTCTCCCTGGGAGATTGGCAGGCTTAAGCAGGTTCCAGTTGAGAGGCTGTTTAGAATCTCCATGGCTCCAGGGTTGGGACCCTGGGACCCAGTGACGTGAGGTTGTGATGAGATCTTCCAATCCATGGGTTGCACATTTCCTTGGAAAAAGCATTGTTTCCCCAGCTGGGTAGCACACTGATTCACTGTATCCTTTGGCTGGGGGGTGGGGGCTCCCCTGTACCATGTGGCTCTCAGGTGGGCCGCCACACCACACTGCTCTTCCTTTCTCTCCATGGATCATGACACCTGCTTAGTCAGTTCTGATAAGAGAACCCGGATGCCTTGGTTGCTGGTGAAGTATTCACATGGTAATTATGGTTCTTTTCGATAGGAGCCTCTGATCACCACTGTTTCTAGTCAGCCATCTTGACCCCCACAAATAGTCTTTGTGTTACCTTTTGATAACCACAGCCGCCTCTCCCATTCTCCATTTCTGACTCCATAAACTATTAATCTGTGTTCTGTATCTCTATAGTTTTGCCATTTTGAGGATGTTATATAAGTGGAATCATATTATATGTGACATTTTGGGATTGGCTCTTTTTACTTAGCATAATGCCCTTCAGATCTATTCAAGTTGCTGCATTTATCAGTAGTTGTTTTTTATTGTTATGGATTATTCTATGTTATGCATACAGCACCACTGTTTGCCTAATACTTTACCTAGTGCAGGACATTTTGTTAGTTTTAGGTTTTTAGCTATTAAGAATAAAGCTGATATGAACAATCATGTGTAGGTATTTTTGTAGAAATAAATTCTTATTTTTATGGCATAAGTACCCTGGGGTCACCCTCCCTTGTTTGTAACTGTCTTAAATATTTTTTCTGCATACATTGAGAACCACTCAGAGAGAGCTACAATTATGTTTCAACCATCAAATGTAATTTTAAAAACTCCTGAGGAGACAGAGTGCTTACCCTCTTGATGTCTCTTTTTCTTTCTTAAGGCTCCAAGATTTCTTTCTTTTTCTCATCATTTTCTTTCTATTTAGAGAACTTCTTTTCACCCTTCTTTTAGGGTAGCTCTACTGAAGACAAATTATTTATTTTTCTTCACCTGAGGATGTTTCCATTTCCACTTCTTTCTGGAAGGATATTTTTGCTGGATATAGAATTCAACACTCCCAAGACTAGATAATAAATTCCTGTAGCATTCCTCCTCTTTCAAAATACTCATTATATTTCCTTGTGTCATGCCTATTTCCACCATAAGACTAGTGATTCTCAGTCTAGGCTGAACACTAAAAATTTTAATGTCAGCCTGTATCCCAGATGAGTTAAACAATAATTCCTGGGGTGGGGGCTTAGACATTAGTATTTAAGAAATGCTTTTCTAAGTGATTTCAATGTGCAGCCAGGAGTGAGAGCCAGTGTTCAAGGCAAACTCTGTCTTAGTTATAGCTGGATAACTAGTACCTAGCTTTGTGCCTTGTGTGTAGTTTGTTCTAATCAAATATTTGTTGAAATCAATTAAGTATAATGGATGTTATAATAATAAACACTTATATCTCCATATTAGTTTAAATAGGGTCTCATCATATTGAAGAGATTCAATTCAATAGTCCAGTAATGTAAACTTTGTTGAGACATACTGCATAGTGTGTGTTGGGTGTATTAAATTCAATATGTTACACTTTCTGACATTGAGCATCCCATACTCTAGAGGGGTAGACGGACCCATGAACAGGTAATTAATATACAGTGGCTAGTGGAAGCCATAAAATATTGTGGAAGATACATAGAAAAAGAAGGTAGAGATTAAATCTGTCTGGGTGGTGGGTCAAAAGAAATGTAAACACACTCTCTTAGAACATCTGGGTAAAGAGGCAAAGAGCTCAGATAATGAAATAATTGGTCCCAGATGGATTCTTTCATAAGTAGGAGAGATTTAGTGCCCTCATGGATGAGAATGCTACAGCCTTGGTTGACAGAAACTTGGTGCTTAAAACCTGTTGGGATCTCCTAGGAGCTTTTGTATCTGTTGTTGGACTCCTCAAAAAAGTGCATGATGTCATCAGAGTGGCGATTTCTATCCTGATTTAACAGAGGAAGAAAGCAAGGTTTAGAGAGGTTAAATTATTTTTTCCAATGTTATGTGGGCAGTTAATGAGAATGCAAGGACTAGAATCTAGGTCTCCTGACTTTCAGTCGAATGTGGTTTTTGAAGGGGCAGTCAATAGATTAATCTGATTTCATGGATCTGAGACACAGTGGAAAAGAAGGCTGGAAAACAAGTTTGGGCCAACTTACTGAGGGCCTCACATTCAGCACAAGGTAATTTTTACCTTTTCTGGTAGGCAATGGAGAGCCGTGTAAAGGTTTTGAGGAGTGGCACTGACAGTGCCTATTGACTGGTCATCGTGTCACTTCAGCACTCACTGTTTGGCACTTAAAACAAAGCTGACAGGTTATTTTTACACCCCTATCAGCAAGTCGGAACCTGGTAGTTTGTGGTCAAACTGTTTATATACTCCCTTTTAACAGTTTTTTCCTCAGCTGCTTTTTGCTTTAAGGGCATTCCAGTCGTTTCTATCTTTCCTCTATTAGTGGCCAACCTTCAAGGAGCTCTAGTGTGTCCTTCCCATTCAGTCTGCCTTAATGAAAAAGCTGGTTTCTTTAGTTCTGAAATCAGACCCAGCCAAATAAGCAGACACAGTCACTTTGGACACGGAACACTGAAAAGATGATTAATCTTCTTCCTGAACATTCTTGTCAAATGCTTACTTTCTTCATTTCTCAAAAAACATCTGGCATGCAGCTTTACCCCCTTCTCCTTCCTACATGTTACTTAATGCATCCCCCTCTTGTCTCTTGTCTTCTATTTTTGCTACTTGGGGAAAAATATGCTAAAAGCAAGATTAAGATGTCAATGAGCCAGATACCTGGTATTACCTACTAGATCCTCACTACAGCCTTGAGAGGAAGGGCAGGTTAGAGATTATCCTTATTTTACTGAAAGAGAGGAAATAATGCATCAAAAATCACCTAAAGTTAATGGAAGACAAAAATATGGGACAAAGATCCAGAGCTTTTTGATAGCCTGAAAAGTTCTCTGCCCTTCATACCATGATTTTAAAGATACAGACGCTGACGTTCAGAAAGCTTAGGTAAACTGATGAAGGTTACAGATACAGCCAGTAAGTTGTGGTTTCAGAATCTGACATGCTTTGGTTCCTTATTCTGCCTTGCTTTCCTCCATTCTCTGTGGGTCAAGTTGCTTCCTTAATTAGTTCCTTTAAGAAAACTGTATTATAAGAGGTCCTACAGTATAAGAGAGTTTGTGTTTTAACTCTTCATACCATTATGTATATCATTATTGCATGGTATTTCCATACAATTATAGAAAGAGTTAAGACACAAACTATTGTACACTGCAGGAGTTCTTATAATACGGCTTTCTTTATTTTGTTTGTTTTGATTTTTGTTTTAAACATTTTATTTTGACATAATTTTAGGCTCACAAAAATTGCAGAAATTGTACAGAGAGTATTCTTCACCAAGCTTCCCTCAATGATAACATCTTACAAAGCCATGGTTCATTTTCAAAACCAGGAAACCTACATTAGAACAATATTATTAACTAAACAATATACCTCTATTATGGCCTGACTTCTACCCTCCACAATTTATATTTGAAAACATAACCCCCAGTGCAACTGTATTTGAGGAAAGGGACTTTAAGAAGGAGATTAAAGCTAAACAAGGTAATATGAGTGGGGTCCTAATCAGAAAGAACTGGTGTCCATATGAGAAGAAGAAGAGACATCCACTTCCTCTCCACAAGTACAGAAGAAAGGCCACGTGAGGATATAGAGAAAAGGTGGCCATTTACAATCTAGAAAGAGGGGCCTTATAAGAAACCAACCCTGGCATCTTTATCTTGGACTTCTAGCCTCCAGAGCCATGAGAAAATAAATGTCTGTTGTTTAAGTGACCCTATTTGTAGTATTTTGTTATGGTAGCCTGAGTAGACTAATCCAATCTCATTCTACTTCGCTAGCTATTATTATTATTATTAAAATTTTTTATATATTCAGAGAGTAGAAGTGTGGATTTCTTATATGCATATGTTGTGTAATGTAGTCAACCAGTTTTTAATGTATGAATTTCTTTTTTGGCATGAAGTCCTATATTAGTTTTCTGGAGCTGCCATAAACAAAACACCACAGGCTAGATGGCTTAAACAACATACATTCAGAGGTGACCAAGATGGCCGACTAGAAACAGCTAGTGTGTATGACTCTTATGAAGAGAAATAGAAAGGGTGAGTAAATACAGCACCTTCAACTGAAACATCCAGGTACTCGCATTGGGACTAATCAAGGAAACAACTTGACGCCCAGAGAATGGAGAAAAGCAAGGCAGAATGACAGCCCATACTGGAGCGACATGGAGACAAGGGAATCTCCCCCACCCAGGGAAGCGTTGAGTGAATGTGCCACCCTAGAAACCCAACTTCTCCCACAGATCTTTGCAATCCTTGGGAGATTCCCTTATGAACCCACTCCACCAGGGCCTTCAGTATGACACACAGAACTATGTGGAGTCTTGGCAGAGCAGCCAATCAGGTACTTGTGTAGACATGGGAGCCTTAGATATTCAGGCTTTCTCGGCTTCCCAGCAAAATTAGCTGCAACTCTGGCAAAGCAGGAGGCTAGACTCATGTGCAGCATAACCCTAGGAGAGAGGCTGAATCCAGGGGGCTGAGCAGAACAATCTGCAGGCCCCACTTCCATGGCACCTCACAGAATAAGGCCCACTGGATTGGATTTCCAGACAGCCACAGATAGCAATGTTACACCTCCCTGAGAGAGATCCCAGCATGGGGGGTGGGCAGCCATCTTTGCTGTTTGGGCTATTTAGCCATTGCAGCCTTCAGGCTTTGGAGAGTCCAAGCCAACTGGGGGCAGAGGTGGTCTTCTCAGCCAGCATAGCTACTCTGTGAAAATGTGACCAGGCTGTTTTTTAAAGTGAGTTCCCAATCCCATTCCTACTCACTGAGTGAAACCCTCCCAACTGGTGCCTCCAACCACCCCTGCCGGTGCTCCCTGGCCAACAGAGTTTTGAAACCTCCCTGTGATGGAGCTCCTAGAGAGAGGGTTCTGCCACCATCTTTGCTATTTGGGTGACTTAACCATTCCAGCTTTTGGGCTTTGGAGTGTCTGAGGTGACAGGAGGCTGAAGCAGACCCCCAGCACAGCATAGCTGCTCTATGAAAACCTGGCCAGACTGCTTTTTAAAGTGCGCTTTCAATCCCATTTCTTCTCACTGGGTGAGACCTCCCAACCAGGGTCTCCAGCCACCTCCTACAGATGTGTTTGAGCTGGCAGCAGGTCTGCACCTCCCTGAGATGGAGCTCTCAGAAGGAGGGGCAGGCTGCCATCTTCGCTGTTTCACAGCCTTCACTGGTGACTAGGGACGGGAGCAGATCCCCGTCTTACCACAGAAGCCTTACGGACAAGTGGCCAGAGTGTTATGTGGGTGCCTATTTCCATATCTCCTCACTAAAAAGGTCCCTCAGGCCTAGGTTCCAGTAGTAACTGCAACTCCCTGGACAGAGCCTCCAGGGGCAACTGAAAGCCTCTCTGCCACTTCATCTGCAATGGAACTGTCCTTGTTACCCTCAGGCTAATGACAGAGCAAAGACCCTAAGTGCTTTATCTGCAATGTCCAACAAGCTGCAGTGCACCCAAGGATAGGAGGCCAGTTCATCTCATATGGGACCCACACAGCCCCCACTGTTCATCACCAGACAGGGAAACCCTGGCTCGAGCTTGCATCACCGACTTTTTATCCTGGGCTGATTGCACCAAACAATTGCGGACCCACATCTCTTTGTGGTGGAGCCCCCGGGAGACAAGCAAAGTGGTGGGGCAGCAAGCCAGCTGATGTGAAACCCAGAGGTTTTGATACAGGAGTATCTTTAGTGAAGCATGGCCAGGGTTGGCTGTCCTTCTAGGCTCTACTTGCTTCCGTAAGATACTTTAGCCCTAGGGGAACTGTCAGACCTGATCTCTGCAGGGCTGCCTTGCACATCAGATGGGGCTGATGCTCAATTTGTTGGGCTCTCCCAAGGCTGCAGCCTGGCCATGCCTGCTTACAGGGCAGTCTCAGGTGCCCTAGGGGCCTACTCCATGGCTTCCATGCTGGCAGACTATGCCTGACAAACGGAGAGCTCCAGCAAGGTGGCCCCTATGGATGTGCATCAGCTCACACGTTTCTTCCCCATACTGAAGCTTCCTCTGGGCCCACAAAAACACCCCACCTCACCTTGAGGGTGTTTCTGCACAGGCGGGTTTTGTTTTGCTTGCTTCACCAGCATGTGGGAGTGCAGTATGACCCAACACCCTCACTGACCGCCATTGCTGACAGAGCTTTGGCAGGCACAGAGCCATCAAGCACACCCCTGCCAGCACCCTGTCCTTGCGCTGAGACTGCACAGAGAACACGGGATCCTTCCACATACTGAGCAATTATTTTTGCTTGTGAGGCAGAGAAGGGAACCAGACCTGCACAGGCCAGCACCCCACCCAAAGCCAACACTACCTCCAGTGCAACAGCACACACAGTTTCTAGCAGGGGCTCCACACTCTATTCTGTAAAGGTTTGGTTTCTTTACATAATTCCATACTTCTCACAGGTTTTGTTCATTCCTTTTCATTCTTTTTTCTCTATTCTTGTCTGCCTATCTTTATTCAGAAAGCCATTCTTCGAGCTCTGAGATTCTTTCCCCTGCTTGGTCTATTCTGCTATTAATACTTTTGGTTGCATTATAAAGTTCTTGTAGTGTGTTTTTAAGCTTTATGAGGTCAGATATGTTCTTCTTTACACTGGCTATTTTGTCGGTCAGCTCCTGCAATGTTTTATCATAATTTTCAGCTTCCTTGCATCAGGTTACAACGTACTCCTGTAGCTCAATGAACTTCATTTCTATCCACATTCTGAATTTTACTTCTGTAATTTCAGCCATCTCAGCCTCAGCCTGGTTCCAAACCCTTGCTGGAGAGATGATGCCATCATTTGGAGGAAAGAAGACATTCTGGTTTTTTGAGTTTTCAGTGTTATTGTGCAGATTCATTCTCATCTTTGTGGGCTTATCTACCTTCAGTCTTTGAGGTTGCTGACCATTCAATGGTTTCCACCCCTTATCCTATTTGATAACCTTGAGTGTTTGATTGTGGCATAAAAGTGATTCAGATGACTGGCTTTGTTTCTGGGAGATTTTAGGGAGCCAATGCTCAACTCCCAACTACTTGACTGCATGCTGTAACTGTGGGGGGCCTTGTGTTGGGTTCTGACGTTGTTCTCTGGCTCCTCAACATTGGGAGTCCACTGTGCTGGGGGTATGAAGTGCAGCAGCTTCAGCAGAGTGCTAGCAGATGCAGATGTACCTGCCTCCCTCTAAGCATTCACCACAGAGGTTTAGGCAAGTCATCTCCAGCCACCTTCTATACATGGGTCTGGGTTAACAACAGGTCTGTAACTCTCTGTGATGGAACTCTCAGAGGGAGCAGCAGGCTGACCTACATCTGTCTAGAGTAGAATCCCCAGGAGTAAAGCAAATGATCCTTGGCCACAACCAGTACAAAGATATCTTCCTCTGCTGTCTTTAAGCTGGGGAAGAAACATAAACACTGAGATTGCCCCAGGGCTGCAATGTGCAGCCTAGGAGTGACAAGTCGTGAACTACAGACAGCACTCAAGGGGGAGAGGAACCCACACTTCCAGAGCACTGAAAAGGAACATGACTACAACTGTTAGTAAACTCAGGGGAGCCAAACAACCAAGCAACAGTCTACCAACTGACCAATAAGCCTAAGTGTTATCTGCTGGATTACACCTCAAAGCTTCAACACCAAAAATACTTCATTAACATACCCCCCCCCCACTGAAACCAGAGATAAAAAGTCAGCTTCAAATAAATACCCTACAAAAAGCTTCAGCCCAGTGAAAACATCCAGAAAAGAACTCTATTGACTGTAGTTAATTTACATTGTAGTTAAAGGAACACTCACACAGAGATAATAGAGAACCAATGCAAGAACTTTGGTAATTCAAATGTCTAGAGTGTCGTATGTCCTTCAAATGACTGCACCATTCTTCAACAAGAGTTCCTAATCAGGCCAAACTGGCTGGAATGACAGAAATATAATTCAAAATATGGACAGGAAGAAAGGTCATTGAGATTCAGGAGGATGGCAAAACCCAATCCAAGGAAAACAAGAATCACAATAAAGTGATACAGGAGCTGAAGGATAAAATAGCCAGTAAAAAAGAATCTAATGGGTATGACAGAGTTGAATAACAAGAATTCACAATGCAGTCACAAGTAGAAACAGAAGAATAAAACCAAGCAGAGGAAAGAACCTCAAAACTTGAAGACTGGTTATCTGAATAGTATAGTTAGACAAAAACAAAGAAAAAATAAAAAGGAGTGAACAAAACCTCCAAGAAGTGTGGGATTATGTAAGGAGACCAAAGCTATGAATCATTGGCATCCCTGAATGGAAGAAGGGTAAAGCAAACTTGGAAAATATATTTCAGAATATCATACGTGAAAACTTTCCCATCCTTGACATAGAGGCCTACAGTCAAATTCAGGAAATACAGATAACTCCTGCAAGATTCTCCCCAAGAAGATTATCCCCAAGAAACATAACTGTTGGATTTTCCAAGGTTGAAATGAAAGAAAGAATGTTAAAGGCAGCTAGAAAGAAAGGGCAGGTCACCTACAAAGGGATTTCTATCAGGCTTATAGCAGACCTCTCAGCTGAAACCTTGCAAGTCAGAAGAAATTGGGGACCCATATTCAACATTCTTAAAGAAAAAAATCTTCAACCAATAATTCTATATCCAGCTAAATTGAGCTTCCTAAATGAAAGAGAACTAAGATTATTTTCTGATAAGCAAATGTTGAGAGACTTCATTACCACCAGATGTGCCTTACAAGAGATCTTGAAAGAAGCACTAAATATAGAAACAAAAGACCAACCAATACCAGTTAATACAAAAACACAATTAAAAACACAGGCCAATGTCACTGTAAAGCAACAACACAAACAAGCCAACATAATAACCAGCTAATAGCACAATAATAGGATCAAATCAACACACTTCAAGACTAACCTTGAGTGTAAGTCAGCTAATGCCCCAATTAAAGACATAGAGTGACAAGCTAGATAACAAACTAAGACCCATTAGTATGCTGTCTTCAAGACACCCACCTCACATGCAATGGCAGACAGAGACTCAAAGAGATGGAGAAAAATCTACCAAGAAAAAGGA
Source organism: Homo sapiens (assembly GCF_000001405.40). NCBI lineage: Eukaryota > Metazoa > Chordata > Mammalia > Primates > Hominidae > Homo > Homo sapiens. The sequence continues at coordinate 77,210,739 of NC_000023.11, read as the reverse complement.
AAACAGAAAAAAGCAGGGGTGGCAAACATAATTTCAGACAAAACATACTTTAAATCTAAAAAGATTTTTAACAGACAAAAATGGCATTACATAATAGTAAAAGGTTCAATTCAATGAGAAAAGCTAACTATTCTAAATGTATATGCACCTAACACAGGAACACCCAGACTTATAAAGCAAGTTCTTACAGACCTTGCAAGAGACACTCCTACTTTGGAGACTTCAGCACACCACTGACAGTATTATGTCACAGAAGTGCAAAATTAACAAAGACATTCAGGACATAAACTCAGCACTAGATAAAATGGACCTGATAGACATCTGCGGAACTCTCAACTCAAAAACAACAAAATATACATTCTTTTTATTGCCACATGGCACATACTCTAAAATCGATCACATAAGTGATCATAAGACAACACCTCAGAAAATGTAAAAAAATAACCAAAAAACTGAGACAAGATAAGAGAAAAAAGAGTGAAAAGAAATGAATAAAGCCTCCAAGAAATGTGGGATATGTGAGAAGACAAAATCTACATTTGACTGGTGTACCTGAAAGTGATGGGGAGAAAGGAACCAAGTTAGAAAACACTCTTCAGGATATTTTCCAGGAAAACTACCCCAACATAACAGGGCAGGCTAACATTCAAATTCAGGAAATACTGAGAACACCACAAAGATACTCCTCAAGAAGAGCAACCTCAAGACACATAATTGTCAGAATTACAAAGGTTGAAGAGAAGGAAAAAATGTTAAGGGAAGTTTGAGTGAAAGGTCGGGTTACCCACAAAGGGAAGTCCATCAGACTAACAGCTGATCTCTTGGCAGAAACCCTACAAGCCAGAAGAGATTGAGGGCCAATATTCAACATTCCTAAAGAAAAGAATTTCAACCCAGAATTTCATATCCAGCCAAACTAAGCTTCATAAGTGAAGGAAAGTAAAATCCTTTACAGACAAGAAAATGCTGAGAGATCTTGTCACCACCAGGCCTGCCCTACAAGAGCTCTTGAAGGAAGCACTAAACATGGAAAGGAACAACCGGTATCAGCCCCTGCAAAAACATGCCAAATTGTAAAGACCATTGACGCTATGAAGAAACTGCATCAATTAATGGGCAAAATAACCAGCTAGCATTATAGTGACAGGATCAAATTCACACTTAAAAAAATTAACCTTAAAGGTAAATAGGCTAAATGCCCCAATTAAAACATAAAGACTGGCAAATTGGACAAAGAGTCAAGACCATCGGTGTGCTATATTCAGGAGACCCATCTCATGTGCAAAGACACACATAGGCTCAAAATAAAGGGATGGAGGAAGATATACCAAGCAAATGGAAAAAAAAAAAGCAGGGATTGCAATCTTGGTCTATGGTAAAACAGACTTTAAACCAACAAAGATCAAAAGAGACAAAGAAGGCCACTACATAATGGTAAAGGGATAAATTCAACAAGAAGAACTAACTATGCTAAACAAATATGCACCCAATACAGTAACACCCAGATTCATAAAGCAAGTTCTTAGAGACCTACAAGGAGACTTAGACTCCTACACAATAATAATGGGAGATGTTAACACCTCATTGTCAATATTAGATTAATGAGACAGAAAATTAACAAGGATATCCAGGAGTTGAACTCAGTTCTGGACCAAGTGGAACTAATGGACATCTGCAGAACTCTCCACCCCAAATCAACAGAATATACATTCTTCTCAACACCACATCACACTTATTCTAAAATTGGCCATATAATTGGAAGTAAAGCACTTCTGAGCAAATGTAAAAGAAAAGAAATCACAATAAACTGTCTCCCAGACCACAGTGTAATGAAATTAGAGCTCGGGATTAAGAATCTCACTCAAAACCACACAACTACATGGAAAATGAACAACCTGCTCCTGAATGAATAGTGAGTAGTAAACGAAATAATGTATAAAGAGATATATAAGATATAAAGATGTTCTTTGAAAACAGTGAGAACAAAGACACAACATACCAGAATCTCTGAGACACATTTGAAGCAGTGTCTAATGGGAAATTTATAGCACTAAATGGCCACAAGAGAAAGCAGGGGAGATCTAAAATCGACACCCTAACATCACAATGAAAAGAACTAGAGAAATCTACAGAACTCTCCACCCCAAATCAACAGAATATACATTTTTTTCAGCACCACACCACACCTATTCCAAAATTGACCACATAGTTGGAAGTAAAGCTCTCCTCAGCAAATGTAAAAGAACAGAAATTATAACAAACTATCTCTCAGACCACAGTGCAATCAAACTAGAACTCAGGATTAAGAATCTCACTCAAAGCCGCTCAACTACATGGAAACTGAACAACCTGCTCCTGAATGACTACTGGGTACATAACGAAATGAAGGCAGAAATAAAGATGTTCTTTGAAACCAACGAGAACAAAGACACCACATACCAGAATCTCTGGGATGCATTCAAAGCAGTGTGTAGAGGGAAATTTATAGCACTAAATGCCTACAAGAGAAAGCAGGAAAGATCCAAAATTGACACCCTAACATCACAATTAAAAGAACTAGAAAAGCAAGAGCAAACACATTCAAAAGCTAGCAGAAGGCAAGAAATAACTAAAATCAGAGCAGAACTGAAGGAAATAGAGACACAAAAAACCCTTCAAAAAATCAATGAATCCAGGAGCTGGTTTTTTGAAAGGATCAACAAAATTGATAGACCGCTAGCAAGACTAATAAAGAAAAAAAGAGAGAAGAATCAAATAGACACAATAAAAAATGATAAAGGGGATATCACCACCGATCCCACAGAAATACAAACTACCATCAGAGAATACTACAAACACCTCTACGCAAATAAACTAGAAAATCTAGAAGAAATGGATACATTCCTCGACACACACACTCTCCCAAGACTAAACCAGGAAGAAGTTGAATCTCTGAATCGACCAATAACAGGCTCTGAAATTGTGGCAATAATCAATAGTTTACCAACCAAAAAGAGTCCAGGACCAGATGGATTCACAGCCGAATTCTACCAGAGGTACAAGGAGGAACTGGTACCATTCCTTCTGAAACTATTCCAATCAATAGAAAAAGAGGGAATCCTCCCTAACTCATTTTATGAGGCCAGCATCATTCTGATACCAAAGCCGGGCAGAGACACAACCAAAAAAGAGAATTTTAGACCAATATCCTTGATGAACATTGATGCAAAAATCCTCAATAAAATACTGGCAAACCGAATCCAGCAGCACATCAAAAAGCTTATCCACCATGATCAAGTGGGCTTCATCCCTGGGATGCAAGGCTGGTTCAATATACGCAAATCAATAAATGTAATCCAGCATATAAACAGAGCCAAAGACAAAAACCACATGATTATCTCAATAGATGCAGAAAAAGCCTTTGACAAAATTCAACAACCCTTCATGCTAAAAACTCTCAATAAATTAGGTATTGATGGGACATATTTCAAAATAATAAGAGCTATCTATGACAAACCCACAGCCAATATCATACTGAATGGGCAAAAACTGGAAGCATTCCCTTTGAAAACCGGCACAAGACAGGGATGCCCTCTCTCACCGCTCCTATTCAACATAGTGTTGGAAGTTCTGGCCAGGGCAATCAGGCAGGAGAAGGAAATAAAGGGTATTCAAATAGGAAAAGAGGAAGTCAAATTGTCCCTGTTTGCAGACGACATGATTGTTTATCTAGAAAACCCCATCGTCTCAGCCCAAAATCTCCTTAAGCTGATAAGCAACTTCAGCAAAGTCTCAGGATACAAAATCAATGTACAAAAATCACAAGCATTCTTATACACCAACAACAGACAAACAGAGAGCCAAATCATGGGTGAACTCCCATTCACAATTGCTTCAAAGAGAATAAAATACCTAGGAATCCAACTTACAAGGGATGTGAAGGACCTCTTCAAGGAGAACTACAAACCACTGCTCAAGGAAATAAAAGAGGAGACAAATAAATGGAAGAACATTCCATGCTCATGGGTAGGAAGAATCAATATCGTGAAAATGGCCATACTGCCCAAGGTAATTTACAGATTCAATGCCATCCCCATCAAGCTACCAATGACTTTCTTCACAGAATTGGAAAAAACTACTTTAAAGTTCATATGGAACCAAAAAAGAGCCCGCATTGCCAAGTCAATCCTAAGCCAAAAGAACAAAGCTGGAGGCATCACACTACCTGACTTCAAACTATACTACAAGGCTACAGTAACCAAAACAGCATGGTACTGGTACAAAAACAGAGATATAGATCAATGGAACAGAACAGAGTCCTCAGAAATAATGCCACATATCTACAACTATCTGATCTTTGACAAACCTGACAAAAACAAGCAATGGGGAAAGGATTCCCTATTTAATAAATGGTGCTGGGAAAACTGGCTAGCCATATGTAGAAAGCTGAAACTGGATCCCTTCCTTACACCTTATACAAAAATCAATTCAAGATGGATTAAAGATTTAAACGTTAAACCTAAAACCATAAAAACCCTAGAAGAAAACCTAGGCATTACCATTCAGGACATAGGCGTGGGCAAGGACTTCATGTCCAAAACACCAAAAGCAATGGCAACAAAAGACAAAATTGACAAATGGGATCTAATTAAACTAAAGAGCTTCTGCACAGCAAAAGAAACTACCATCAGAGTGAACAGGCAACCTACAACATGGGAGAAAATTTTTGCAACCTACTCATCTGACAAAGGGCTAATATCCAGAATCTACAATGAACTCAAACAAATTTACAAGAAAAAAACAAACAACCCCATCAAAAAGTGGGTGAAGGACATAAACAGACACTTCTCAAAAGAAGACATTTATGCAGCCAAAAAACACATGAAGAAATGCTCATCATCACTGGCCATCAGAGAAATGCAAATCAAAACCACTATGAGATATCATCTCACACCAGTTAGAATGGCAATCATTAAAAAGTCAGGAAACAACAGGTGCTGGAGAGGATGCGGAGAAATAGGAACACTTTTACACTGTTGGTGGGACTGTAAACTAGTTCAACCATTGTGGAAGTCAGTGTGGCGATTCCTCAGGGATCTAGAACTAGAAATACCATTTGACCCAGCCATCCCATTACTGGGTATATACCCAAATGAGTATAAATCATGCTGCTATAAAGACACATGCACACGTATGTTTATTGCGGCACTATTCACAATAGCAAAGACTTGGAACCAACCCAAATGTCCAACAATGATCGACTGGATTAAGAAAATGTGGCACATATACACCATGGAATACTATGCAGCCATAAAAAATGATGAGTTCATATCCTTTGTAGGGACATGGATGAAATTGGAAACCATCATTCTCAGTAAACTATCGCAAGAACAAAAAACCAAACACCGCATATTCTCACTCATAGGTGGGAATTGAACAATGAGATCACATGGACACAGGAAGGGGAATATCACACTCTGGGGACTGTGGTGGGGTCGGGGGAGGGGGGAGGGATAGCATTGGGAGATATACCTAATGCTAGATGACACATTAGTGGGTGCAGCGCACCAGCATGGCACATGTATACATATGTAACTAACCTGCACAATGTGCACATGTACCCTAAAACTTAGAGTATAATAAAAAAAAAAAAAAAAAAAAAAAAAAAACACATGAGAAAAAAAAAAAAAAGAACTAGAGAAACAAGAGGAGACAAATTCAAAAGCTAGCAGAAGAGAAGAAATAACTAAGAGCAGAGAAGAACTGAAAGAGATAGAGACACAAAAAACCCTTCAAAAAGTCAATGAATCCAGGAGCTGGTTTTTTGAAAAGATCAACAAAATTGATAGACTGCTAGCAAGACTAATAAAGAAGAAAAGAGAGAAAAATCCGATAGGTGCAATAAAGAATGATAAAGGGGATATCACCACCGATCCCACAGAAATACAAACTACCATCAGAGAATACTATAAACACCTCTACTTAAATAAACTAGAAAACCTAGAAGAAATGGACAAATTCTTGGACACGTACACCCTCCCAAGACTAAACCAGGAAGAAGTTGAATCTCTGAATAGACCAATAACAGGATCTGAAATTGAGGCAATAATTAACAGCTTACCAACCAAAAAAAGTTCAGGACCAGATGGAATCACAGCCGAATTCTACAAGAGGTACTAGGAGGAGCTGGTACCTTTCCTTCTGAAACTATTCCAATCAATAGAAAAAGAGGGAATCCTCCCTAACTCATTTTATGAGGCCAGCATCATCCTGATACCAAAGTCTGGCAGAGACACAACAAAAAAAGAGAATTTTAGGCCAATATCCCTGGTGAACATTGATGCAAAAATCCTGAATAAAGTACTGGCAAACTGAATCCAGCAGCACATCAAAAAGCTTATCCACCACGATCAAGTGGGCTTCAACCCTGGGATGCAAGACTGGTTCAACATATGCAAATTGATAAACATAATCAATCACATAAACAGAACCAATGACAAAAACCACATGATTTTTTCAATAGATGCAGAAAAGGCCTTCAACAACACTCAACAGCCTTTCATGCTAAAAACTCTCAGTAAACGAGGTATCGATAGAATGTATCTCAACATAATAAGAGCTACTGATGACAAACCCACAACCAATATCATATTGAATGGGTGAAAACCAGAAGCATTCCCTCTGAAACCCAGCACAAGACAGTTATGCCCTCTCTGACCACTGCTATTCAACATAGTATTGGAAGCTCTGGCCAGGGCAATCAGGCAAGAGAAAGCAATAAATGGTATCCAAATAGGAAGACAGGAAGTCAAACTGTTTCTGTTTGCAGAAGACATGATTGTAAATTTAGAAAACACCATCATCTCAGCCCATATTTTCCTTTAGCTGATAAGCAACTTCAGCAAAGTCTCACGATACAAAATTAATGTGCAAAAATAACAAGCATTCCTATATACCAATAACAGACAAACAGAGAGCCAAACCATGAGTGAACTTCCATTCACAATTGCTTCAAAGAGAATAGGATACCTAGGAATACAACTTACAAGGGATGTGAAGGACCTCTTCAAGAAGAACTACAAACCACTCAAGGAAATAAAAGAGGATACAGATGGAAGAACATTCCATGCTCACGGATAGGAAGAATCAATATAGTGAAATGGCCATACTGCCCAAAGTAATTTATAGATTCAATGCCATTCCCATCAAGCTACCAATGACTTTCTTCACAGAATTGGAAAAAACTACTTTAAAGTTCATATGGAGCCAAAAAAGAGCCTGCTCTGCCAAGACAATCCTGGGCAAAAGAACAAATCTGGAGGCATTACGCTACCTGACTTCAAACTATAATACAAGGCTACAGTAAGCAAAACAGCATGGTACTGGTACCAAAACAGATATATCGACCAACAGAACAGAACAGAGGCCTCAGAAATAACACCACACATCTACAACCATCTGATCTTTGACAAACCTGACAAAAACAAGAAATGGGGAAAGGATTTCCTATTTAATAAATGTTGCTGGGAAAACTGGCTAGCCATAGGTAGAAAGCTGCAACCGGATCCATTCCATACACCTTGTACAAAAATTAATTCAAGATGGATTAAAGACTTAAATGTCAGACCTGAAACTATAAAAACCCTAGAAGAAAACCTAGGCAATACCATTCAGGACATAGGCATGTGAAAGGATTTCATGAAAAAAAAAAAAAAAAAAAAACACCAAAAGCAATGGCAACAAAATCCAAAATAGAAAATTGGGATCTAATTAAACTGAAGAGCTTCTGCATAGCAAAAGAAACTACCATGAGAGTGAACAGACAACATACACAATGGGAGAAAAAATTTTCAATATACCCATCTGACAAAGGGGTGATATCCAGAATCTACAAAAAACTTAAACAAATTTACAAACAAACAAACAAACAAAAAATAACAAATCAAACAACCCCATCAAAAAGTGGGCAAAGGATATGAACAGACATTTTTCAAAAGAAGACTTTCATGCAGCCAACAGACATATGAAAAAATGCTCATCATCATTGGTCATTAGAGAAATGCAAATCAAAACCACAATGAGATACCATCTCACACCAGTTAGAATGGTGATCTTTAAAAAGTCAGGAAACAACAGATGCTGGAGAGGATGTGGAGAAATAGGAAAGCTTTTACACAGTTGGTGGGAGTGTAAATTAGTTCAACCATTGTGGAAGACAGTATGGCAATTCCTCAAGGATCTAGAAGTAGAAATATCATTTGACCCAGCAATCCCATTACTGGGCATATACTCAAAAGATTATAGATCATTCTACAATAAAGACACATGCACATGTTTGTTTATTGTGGCACTATTCACAATAGCAAAGACTTGGAACCAACCCAAATGTCCATCAATGATAGACTGGATAAAGAAAATGTGGCACATATACACCATGGAATACTATGTAGCCATAAAAAAGGATGAGTTCATGTCCTTTGCAGGGACATGGATGAAGCTGGAAACCATCATTCTCAGAAAACTATCACAAGAGCAGAAAACCAAACAGCACGTGTTCTCACTCATAAGTGAGAGTTGAATAATAAGAACACATGGACAAAAGGAGGGGATCATCACACACTGGAGCCCGTCAGTGGGTGGTGAGCTAGGGGAGAGATAACATTAGGAGAAATACCTAATGTAGGTGACGGGTTGATGGGTGCAGCAAACCACCATGGCATCTGCATACCTATGTAACAAAGCTGCATGTTCTGCACATGTAACCTAGAACTTAAAGTATAAAAACAACATCAACAAAAATCATGAAGTTATAACAACTACTCTGTTTGACAACAGCACAATAAAATTGGAAATCAGGACTAAGAAAATTGCTCAAAACCATACAATTCCATGTAAATTGAACAACCTTCTTCTGAATGACTTTTGTGTAAATAATAAAGTTAAGGCAGAACTCAAGAAGTTCTTAGAAAGTAGTAAAAACAAAGATAAAATGTACCACAATCTCTAGGACACAGCAAGGACAGTGTTAAGAGGGAAATTTATGTTACTAAATGTCCATGCCCCAAAGTTACAAAGATCTCAAATTAACAAGCTTACTTCAGAAGTAAAATAATCAGAACAGCTAGAACAAATCAACCCCAATTTTAGCAGAATATGAGAAATAACAAAAATTAAAGCTGAAGTGAAGAAAATTGAGACACAGAAAACCAGTCAAAAGATGAATGAATAAAGGAATTCGTTGTTTATTTATTAAGAAAGTAGGCTATTAGCCAGACTAATTAAGAAGAAAAGAGAGAAGATCCAAATAAATACAATCAGAAATGATGAAGGGAATATTACCACTGACTCCACAGAAGTAAAACAATCATCAGAAACTACTATGAACACCTCTATGCACACAAACTAGAAAACATAGAAGAGATGGATAAATTCATGTACACATACACCCTCCCAAGACTGAATCAGGAAGAAATTGATTCCCTGAACTGACCAGTAGTGAGCTTCAAAATTGAATCAGCAATAAATAGCTTACCATCTGAGAAAAGTCCAGTACCCAGTGGATTCCCAGCCAAACTCTACCAAATGTTAAAGAAGAGCTCATACCATTTCTACAGAAACTATTCCTAAAAATTGAGAAGGAAGGACTTCTCTTAAACTCATTCTATGGGGCCAGCATTATCTTTATTTTAAAATCTGGCAGAGACACTACGACAAAGAAACTTCAGGCCAATATCCTTGATGAACATTGATGCAAAAATCCTCAACAAAATACTGACACACCAAATTCAGCAACACGAAATAGCCATTTTACTATTTTAGTTATATATTTGAAGTTATTTAATAAATGTAATATATTTAAACTAATAAATTATGTATTAAATTTATTTAATAAATCTGGTAAATAATAAATATAAATATAAATAATATAAAAGGAATAATAATAAACAAATTTAATAAATTTAAATTTATATTACTACTATAACAGCAGCACAAATATATTTATATTACTACTGTAAATTTATATTATAGCAGCACAAATAGAGTCATCTTACTATTTTGACAAATGCATAGCCAACGTTATCGTGAGTGGGCAAAAGCTGAAATTATTTCCCTTGAAAACCAGCTCAAGACAAGGATGCCCTCTCTCACCACATGTATTCAACATAGTATTGAAAGGCTTAGCCAGAGCAATCAGGCAAGAGATAGAAATAAAGGGCATCCAAATAGGAAGAGAGGAAGTCAAACTATCTTTGTTTACAGATGATATAATTCTATAGCTAGATGACCCCATAGTCTTGGCCCCAAAGCTCCTTCAGCTGACGAACAACTTCGGCAAAGTTGCAGGATAAAAAATTCGTGTACAAACATCAGTAGCATTCCCATACACCAAAAACAGCTAAACTGAGATCCAAATCAGAAAGGCAATCCCATTCAAAATTGCCACAAATGGAATAAAATACCTTGGAATAAAGCTAACTGGGGAAGTCAAAGATCTCTATAATGAGAATTACAAAACACTGGTCAAAGAAATTAGAGAAGACACAAACAAATGGAAAAACATCCCATGATCATGGATAGGAAGAACAAAAATTATTAAAATGGCTACACTGGGCGATTCCTCAGGGATCTAGAACTAGAAATACCATTTGACCCAGCCATTCCATTACTGGGTATATACCCAAAGGATTATGAAACATGCTGCTATAAAGACACATGCACACGTATGTTTATTTTGGCACTATTCACAATAGCAAAGACTTGGAACCAACCCAAATGTCCAACAATGATAGACTGGATTAAGAAAATGTGGCACATATACACCATGGAATACTATGCAGCCATAAAAAATGATGAGTTCATGTCCTTTGTAGGGACATGGATGAAGCTGGAAACCATCATTCTCAGTAAACTATCACAAGGACAAAAAAACAAACATCGCATGTTCTCACTCATAGGTGGGGGAATTGAACAATGAGAACACATGGACACAGGAAGGGGAACATCACACACTGGGGCCTGTTGTGTGGTGGCGGGGGGAGGGATAGCATTAAGAGATATGCCTAATGTTAAATGACGAGTTAATGGGTGCAGCACACCAACATGGCACATGTATACATATGTAACAAATCTGCACGTTGTGCACATGTACCCTAAAACTTAAAGTATAATAAAAAAATGGCTACATTACCTAAAGCAATGTACAGATTCAATGCTATTCCTATCAAACTACCAATGACATTCTTTACAGACCTAGAAAAATTGTTTTAAAATTTATATGGAATTAATAAATCACCTGAATAGCCAAGGCAATCCAAAGCAAAAAGGAACAAAGCTGGAAGAATCATGTTACCTGACTTCATTTTAATAGATGCAGAAAAAACATTAAATAAAATCAAATATCCCTTTATGATAAAAACCATGAACATTTTAGGCATCAAAGGAACATACCTCAAAATAATAAGAGCCATCTGTAAGAAACCCACAGCCAATATCATACTGAATGGGCAAAAAAGTAGAATCATACCTCTAAGAACTAGAACAAGGTAAGAATTTTCACTCTCACCAGTGTTATTCAACATGGTACTGAAAGTCTTACAGGAATCAGGCAAGAAGAAAAAATAAAGGGTATCAAAATTGGAAAAGAAGTTAAATTACCTCTTTTTGCAGATGATATGATTTTATACCTAGAAAACCCTAAAGTTTCCACCAAAAGGATCCTAGATATGATAAGCCACTTAAATAAAATTTTAGGATACAGAACCAATGTACAAAAATCAGTATTGGCCGGGCGCGGTGGCTCACGCCTGTAATCCCAGCACTTTGGGAGGCCGAGGCGGGCGGATCACGAGGTCAGGAGATCGAGACCATCCCGGCTAAAACGGTGAAACCCCGTCTCTACTAAAAATACAAAAAATTAGCCGGGCGTAGTGGTGGGCGCCTGTAGTCCCAGCTACTTGGGAGGCTGAGGCAGGAGAATGGCGTGAACCCGGGAGGCGGAGCTTGCAGTGAGCCGAGATCCCACCACTGCACTCCAGCCTGGGCGACAGAGCGAGACTCCGTCTCAAAAAAAAAAAAAAAAAAATCAGTATTAATTCTATACACCAATAATGTTCAAGCTGAGGGCCAAATAAAAAATAATATTTCCTTTATAATAGTCACACACACACAAAATACCTAGGAATACATCTAACCAAGAAGGAAAGATCTCTATGAGAACTACAAAACACTGAAGAAAAAAGTCATAGATTACACAAACAAATAAGCATTTCATGGTCATGCATTGGAAGATACAATATCATAAAAATGTTTCTACAAGCCAAAGCAATCTACAGACTCAGTGCTATTTCTATCAAATTACCACATGGTTTTTATTCACAGAATTAGAGAAAACTATTCTAAAACTTATATGAAACCAAAAAAGAATACAAATAGCCAAAGCAATTTTAAAAGAACAAAATTGGAGGCATCACATTACCTGACTTCGAACTATACTATAAGACTACAGTAACCAAAACAGCATGGTACTGGTACCAAAATAAGCAGATGGAACAATGGAATAGAGTAGAGAACCAGAAATAAACTGATCTTCAACAAACTACACAAAAATAAACAATCGAGGAAGGATTTCTTATGTAATAAATGTTTCTGAGAAAAGTAGCTAACCATAAGCAGAATAATGAAACAATTTCTACGTTTCTTCCATATAGAAAAATTAACTCTACATGGATTAAAGACTTAACAATAAACCCTCAAACTATAAAAATCCTAGAAGTAAACCTATGAAATACCCTTCTTTTTATTTATTTCTTACTTTTTTTTTTTTTTTTATAGACACTGGGTCTCACAATGTTGTCTAGCCTGGGCTTGAACTTCTGGGCTCAGGTAATCCACCGGCCTCAGCCTCCTAAATTGCTAGAATTACAGTCATGAGCCACTGCACCTTGCCTGTAAATATTCTTGAAATCAGCCTTGGCCAGAATTTCTTTTGGCTAAGTCCCCAAAAGCAATACAACAAAACCAAAAATTGACAAGTTGAACCTAATTTACCTAAAGATCTTCTGTAACCAAATTAACTGAAAGAACTTCTGCACAGCAAAAGGAACTATCAGCAGAGCAAACAGACAACCTACAGAATGGGAGAAAATATTTGCCACCTATGCATCGAAAAAAACGACTAATACTCAGAATCTATAAAATACTTACACAAATCAACAAGAAAAAACAAATAATGCCATTAAAAAGTGGGTCAAAGGACAAAAACAGATCCTTCTGAAAAGATGTTATAGAAGTGGCTAATGTAAAAAATGGAAAGGGGGCTGAAGCCAGGGAGCCAAGTGGTCTGGCTCGGCAGTTCCCATCACCACAGAGCCCAGCAAGCTAAGATCCACCGGCTTGAAATTCTTGCTGTCAGTACAGCAATCTGAGGTAGACCTGGGACGCTCAAGCTTGGTGAGGGGAGGAGCGTTCAGCATTACTGAGGTTTGAGTAGGCCGTTTTACCTTCACAGTGTAAACAAAGCTGCTGGGAAGTTCAAACTTGGCGGAGCCCACCACAGCTCAGCAAGGTCACTGTGGCCAGACTACCCCACTAGATTTCTCCTCCCTGGGCAGGGCATCTCTGAAAAAAAAGAAAGCAGCCCCAATCATGGGCTAATAGATAAAACCCCCAACTTCCTAGGACAAAGCACCTGGGGGAAGGGGCGGCTGTGGGTGAAGCTTCAGCAGACTTAATCGTCCCTACCTGAAGGTTCTGAAGAGAGCAGCAGATTTCCTAGCACAGCGTTTGAGCTCTGCTAAGGGTCAGACTGTCTCCTCAAGTGAGTCCCTGACCCCGGTGTCTCCTGACTGGGGGACACCTCCCAGTATGTGCTGACAGACACCTCATACAGGAGAGCTCTGGCTGGCATCTGGCAGGTGCCCTTCTGGGACAAATCTTCCAGAGGAAGGAACAGGCAGCAATCTTTGCTGTTCTGCAGCCTCCGCTGGTGATATCCAGGAAACAGGGTCTGGAGTGGACCTCCAGGAAACTCCAGCAGACCTGCAGAAGAGGGGCCTGTTAGAAGGAAAACTAGCAAACAGAAAGGAATATCATCAACATCAATAAAAGGACATACACTAAGAAACCGCATCTGAAGGTCACCAACATCAAACACCAAAGGTAGATAAATCCACAAAGATTGGGAGAAACAAGCGCAAAAAAGCTAAAAATTCAAAAAACCAGAATGCCTCTTCTCCTCTAAAGGATTACAACTTATTGCCAGCAAGGGAACAAAACTGGATGTAGAATGAGTTTGATGAATTGACAGAAGTTGGATTCAGAAGGTGGATAATAAACTCCTCCAAGCTAAAGGAGCATGTTCTAACCCAATGCAAGAAAGCTAAGAACCTTGAAAAAAGGTTAGACAAAATGCTAACTAGAATAACCAGTTTAGAGAAGAACATAAATGACTTGAAGGAGCTGTAAAACACAGCACAAGAACTTCGTGAAGCATACACAAGTATCCAAAGCCAAAATGATCAGGCAGAAGAAAGGATATGAGAGATTGAAGTTCAACTTAATGAAATAAAGTGAGAAGACAAGATTAGAGAAAAAAGAAAGAAAAGGAATGAACAAAGCTTCCAAGAAATATGGGAGTATGTGAAAAGATCAAATCCATGTTTGATTGGGGTACCTGAAAGTGACAAGGAAAATGGAACCATGTTGGAAAACACTTCAGAATATAATCCAGGAGAACTTCCTCAACTAGCAAGATAGTTCAACATTCAAATTCAGGAAACACAGAGAACACCATGAAGATATTCCTCGAGAAGAGCAATCTCAAGACATATAATCATCAGATTCACCAAGGTTGAAATGAAGGAAAAAATGTTAAGGGCAGCCAGAGAGAAAGGTCGGGTTGCTGACAATTGGAAGCCCTCAGAATAACAGCGGATCTCTCTGCAGAATCCCTACAAGCCAGAAGAGAGTGGGGGCTAATATTTAACATTTGTAAAGAAAAGAAATTTAAACCCAGAATTTCGTATTCAGCCAAACTAAGCTTCATAAGTGAAGAAGAAATAAAATCCTTTTCAGACAAGCAAATGCTGAAAGATTTTGTCACCAGCAGGCTTGCCTTACCAGAGCTCCTGAAGGAAGCACTAAAAATGGAAAGGAAAAATTGGTACCAGCCACTGCAAAAACATACCAAATTTTAAAGATGATTACACTATGAAGAAACAGCATCAACTAACAGGCAAAATAACAAGCTATCATCATAATGACAGCATCTAATTCACACATATCAATATTAACCTTAAATGTAAATGGGATAAATATCCCAATTAAAAGACTGGCAAATTGGATGAAGAGTCAAGACCCATCAGTGTGCTGTATTCAGGAGATGCATCTTGGGTGCAAAGACACACATAAGCCCAAAATAAATGGATGGAGGAATATTTACCAAGCAAATGGAAAGCAATAAAAGCAGGGATTGTAATCCTAGTCTCTGATAAAACAGACTTTAAACCAACAAAGATAAAAAAAATACAAAGAAGGCCATTACATAATTGTAAAGAGATCAATGCAACAAGAACTAACTATTCTAAACAAATATGCACCCAATACGGGGGCACCCAGATTCATAAAGTGAGTCCTTAGAGACCTACAAAGAGACTTAGACTCCCATACAATAAGAGTGGGATAGTTTAACACCCCACTGTTAATATTAGAAAAATCAGTGAGACAGAAAATTTACAAGGATGTTCAGGACTTGAACTCAGTTCTGGACCAAGTGAACCTAACAGACATCTACAAAACTCTCCACCCCAAATCAACAGAATATACTTTCTTCTCAGCACCACATCGCACTTATTGTAAAATTGACCATTTAATTGTAAGTAAAACACTCCTGGCAAATACGAAATTATAAAAAACAGTCTCTCAGACCACAGTGCAATCAAATTAGAACTCAGGTTTAAGAAATTCACTCAAAACCACACAACTACATAGAAACTGAACAACCTGCTCCTGACTACTGGATAATAACAAAATTAAGGCAGAAATAAAGATGTTCTTTGAAATTAGTGAGAACAAAGACACAGCATACCAGAATCTCTGGGACATACTTAAAGCAGTGTTTAAAGGGAAATTTATTGCACTAAATGCCCACAAGAGAAAGCAGGAAAGATCTAAAATTGACACTCTAACATCGCAATTAAAAGAACTAGAGAAGGAAGAGCAAACAAATTCAAAAGCTAGAAGAAGACAACAAATAACTAAGATCAGAGCAGAAATGAAGATAGAGACATGAAAAAAAACCTTCAAAAAATAAATGAATCCAGGAGCTGGTTTTTTGAAAACTCCAACAAAATAGATAGACCAGTAGCCAGACTAACAAAGAAGAAAAGAGAGAAGAATCAAATAGTTGCAATAAAAAATGATAAAGGAGTAATCACCGCTGATCCCACAGAAATAAAAACTACCATCAGAGAATACTATGAACACCTCTACTTAAATAAACTAGAAAATTAAGAAGAAATGGATAAATTCCTGGACACACACACTCTCCCAAGTCTAAACAAAAAAGAAGTAGAATCCCTCAATAGACCAATAACAAGTTTTGCAATTGAGGCAGTAATTAATATCCTACCATCCAAAAAATGTCCAGGACCAGACAGATTCACAGTGGAATTTTAGCAGAGGTGCAAAGAGGAGCTGGTACCACTGCTTCTGAAATTATTTCAAACAACAGAAAAAGAGGAAATCCTTCTTAACTCATTTTATGAGGCCATCATCATCCTGATACCAAAACCTGGCAGAGACACACAAAAAAGAAATTTCAGGCCAATATCCCTGAAATCCCTGATGAACATCAATGCAAAAATCCTCAACACAATACTGGCAAACCGAATCCAACAGCACATCAAAAAAGCTTATCCACCACGATCAACTCGGCTTCAACCATGGTATGTAAGGCTGATTGAACATACATAAATCAATAAATGTAATCCATTACTTAAATAGAACCAATGACAAAACCACATGATTATCTCAATAGATGAAGAAAAGGCCTCTGACAAAATTCAACAACCTTCATGACAGAAAGTCTCAAAAATTAGGTATTGATGGAAAGTATCTCAAAATAATAAGAGATATTTATGACAGACCTACAGCCAATATCACACTGAATGGGCAAAAGCTGGAAGCATTCCCTTTGAAAACTGGCACAAGACAAGGATGCCCTCTCTGACCACTGCTATTCAACATAGTATTGGAAGTTCTGGCCAGGCCAATCAGGAAAGAGAAAGAAATAAAGGGTATTCAAATAGGAAAAGGGAAGTCAAATTGTCTGTTTGCAGATGACATGATTCTGTATTGAGAAAACCTCATCATCTCAGCACCAAATCTCCTTAAACTGATAAGCAACTTCAGTTAAGTCTCAGGATACAAAATCAATGTGCAAAAATCACAAGGATTCCTATACACCAATAATAGATAAACAGAGCCAAATCATGAGTGAACTCCCATTCACAATTGGTACAAAGAGTATAAAATACCTAGGAATACAACTTACAAGGTATGTGAAGGAACTCTTCATGGAGAACTAGAAACCACTATGTAAGGAAATGAGAGGGCAAAAATAATTGGAAAAAGATTCCATGCTCATGGATAGGAAGAATCAATATCGTGAAAATGGCCATATGGCCCAAAGTAATTTATAGATTCAATGGTATCCCCATTTAGCTACCTTTGTCTTTTTTTATGGAATTAGAAAAAACTACGTTAAATTTCATATATAACCAAAAAAGAGTCCACATAGCCAAGACAATCCTAAGCAAAAAGAACAAATCTGGAGGCATCACACTACTTGACTTCAAACTATACTACAAGGCTCCAGTAAGCAAAACAGCATGGTACTGCTACTAAAACAGATATATAGAATGATGGAACAGAACAGAGGCCTCAGAAATCACACCACACATCTACAACCATCTGATCTTGACAAACCTGACAAAAACAAGAAATGGGGAAAATATTCCCTATTTAATAAATATTGTTGGGAAAACTGGCTAGCCATATGCAGACAACTGAAACTGGACCCCTTCCTTACACCTTATACAAAAGTTAACTCAAGATAAATTAAAGACTTAGGCATAAGACCTAAAACCATAAAAATCCTAGAGGAAAACTTAGTCAATACGATTCAGGACATAGGAATGGACAAAGACTTCATGAATAAAACACCAAACACAATGGCAACAAAAGCCACAATAGACAAATGGGATCTAATTAAACTAAGGAGCTTCTGAACAGCAAAATAAACTATCATGAGAGTGAACAGGCAACCTACAGAATGGGAGAAAAATTTTGCAATCTACTCATCTGACAAAGGGCTAATATGCAGAATCTATAAAAATGTAAACAAATTTACCAGAGAAACCAAACATCTTCATTGAAAAGTGGGTGAGGGATACGAACAGGCAGTTCTCAAAAGAAGACATTTATGCAGCCAACAGACATATGAAAAAATGCTTATCATCACTGGTCATGAGAGAAATGCAAAACAAAACCACAATGAGATATCATCTCACACCAATTAGAATGATGATCATTAAAAAGTCAGGAAACAACAGATGCTGGAGAGGATGTGGAGAAATAGGAACGCTTTTACACTGTTGGTGGGAGTGTAAATTAGTTCAACCATTGTGGAAGACAGTGTGGCAATTCCTAAGGGATCTAGAAGTAGAAATACCATTTGATCCAGCAATCCCATTACTGGGTATATACCCAAAGGATTATAAATCATTCTACTATAAAGACACATGCACACGTATGTTTATTGTGGCACTATTCACAATAGCAAAGACTTGGAACCAACTCAAATGCCCATCAATGATAGACTGGATAAAGAAAATGTGGCACATATACACCATGGACTACTATGCAGCCATAAAAAAGGATGAGTTCATGTCCTTTGCAGGGACATGGATGAAGCTGGAAACCATCATTCTCAGCAAACTAACACAGGAACAGAAAACCAAACAGCACATGTTCTCACTCATAAGTGGGAGTTGGGAGTTGAACAGTGAGAATGCATGGGCACATGGAGGAGAACGTCACACACTGGGGCTTTTCAGGGAATGGGAGGCTAGGGGACAGATAGCATTAGGAGAAATACATCACATAGATGACAGTTTGATGTATCCAGCAAACCACCTTGTCACGTGTATACCTATGTAGCAAACCTCCATATTCTGTACATGTACCCCAGAACTTAAAGCATAGTAGAAAAAAATTTTAAAAAGCTCAATATCACTTATCATTAGAGAAATGCAAATCAAAACCACAATAAGATACCATCTCATACTAGTCGAATGACTATTATTAAAAAGTCAAAGCATGACAGATGCTTATGAGGCTGCAGAGAAAATAGAAGACTTTTACACTGTTTTTGGAAACATAAATTAATTCAGCCACTGTGGAAAGCAGTTTGAAGATTTATCAAAGATTGAAAAATAGAACCACCATCTGACCCAGCAATCCTATTACTGTGTGTATATTGAAAGGAAAACATTAAAAGATACCTGCACTCTTATGTTTATTACAGCACAGTTTGCAGTAGCAAAACTATGGAATCAACCTAGGTGTTTCTCAATGCCATATTGGATAAAGTAAATGTGGTACATATACACCATGGAATACTGTGCAGCCATAAAAAGGAATGAAGTTATATCCTTTGCAGCAACATGGATGTAGGTGCAGGCCATCATTCTAAGTGAATTATTGCATAAAGAGAATACCAAATATTAAATATTCTCACTTCAAAGTGGGAGGTAAACATTGGGCACACCTGGACATAATGATGGAAACAATAGGCACTAGGTATTCCAAAAGGGGGAAGGGATTGAATGAGGAGGGGAGAGGCTAAAACACTTTCTACCGGGTACTATTTTCACTATATGAGTGATGGGATCATTAGAAGCCCAAACATCAGCTTCACACCATGTACCCTTAGCAAGCATGCACATGTACCCCCTGAATATAATTTTTTTAAAAAAGAATGTTATGCAAAAGTAATCCTACAGTATATGACGTTTTGAGGTTTCCTTTTTTTTTTTCACTCAGTATTATGCCTTTGGGATCCATCCAAGTGGTTGCATGTATTAGTTTGTTCATTTTTTTTATTATACTTTAAGTTTTAGGGTACATGTGCACAACATGCAGGTTTGTTACATATGTATACATGTGCCATGTTGGTGCGCTGCACCCATTAACTCGTCATTTAACACTAAGTATATCTCCTAATGCTATCCCTCCCCCCTCCCCCCACCCCACAACAGGTCCCTGTGTGTGATGTTCCCCTTCCTGTGTCCATGTGTTCTCATTGTTCAATTCCCACCTATGAGTGAGAACATGCGGTGTTTGGTTTTTTGTCCTTGCGATAGTTTGCTGAGAATGATGGTTTCCAGCTTCATCCATGTCCCTACAAAGGACATGAACTCATCATTTTTTGTGGTTGTATAGTATTCCATGGTGTATATGTGCCACATTTTCTTAAACCAGTCTATCATTGTTGGACATTTGTGTTGGTTCCAAGTCTTTGCTATTGTGAATAGTGCCGCAATAAACATACGTGTGCATGTGTCTTTATAGCAGCATGATTTATAAACCTTTGGGTATATACCCAGTAATGGGATGGCTGGGTCAAATGGTATTTCTAGTTCTAGATCCCTGAGGAATCGCCACACTGACTTCCACAATGGTTGAACTAGTTTACAGTCTCACCAACAGTGTAAAAGTGTTCCTATTTCTCCACATCCTCTCCAGCACCTGTTGTTTCCTGACTTCAATGATCGTCATTCTAACTGGTGTGAGATGGTATCTCATTGTGGTTTTGATTTACATTTCTCTGATGGCCAGTGATGAGGAGCATTTTTTCATGTGTCTTTTGGCTGCATAAATGTCTTCTTTTGAGAAGTGTCTGTTCATATCCTTCACCCACTTTTTGATGGGGTTGTTTGTTTTTTTCTTGTAAAGTTGTTGGTGTTCATTGTAGATTCTGGATATTACGCCTTGGTCAGATGAGTAGATTGCAAAAATTTTCTCCCATTCTGTAGGTTGCCTGTTCACTCTGATGGTAGTTTCTTTTGCTGTGCAGAAGCTCTTTCGTTTAATTAGATCCCATTTGTCAATTTTGGCTTTTGTTGCCATTGCTTTTGGTGGTTTAGACATGAAGTCCTTGTCCATGCCTATGTCCTGAATGGTATTGCCTAGGTTTTCTTCTGGGGATTTTATGGTTTTAGGTCTAACATTTCAGTCTTTAATCCATCTTGAATTAATTTTTGTATAAGGTGTAAGGAAGGGATCCAATTTCAACTGTCTCCATATGGCTAGCCAGTTTTCCCAGCACCATTTATTAAATAGGGAATCCTTTCCCCATTTCTTGTTTTTGTCAGGTTTGTCAAGATCAGATGGTTGTAGATGTGTGGTGTTATTTCTGAGTGCTCTGTTCTCTTCCATTGGTCTATATCTGTTTTGGTACCAGTACCATGCTGTTTTGCTTACTGTAGCCTTGTAGTATAGTTTGAAGTCAGGTAGTGTGATGCCTCCAGCTTTGTTCTTTTGGCTTAGGATTGCCTTGGCGATGCCGGCTCTTTTTTGGTTCCATATGAACTTTAAAGTAGTTTTTTCCAATTCTGTGAAGAAAGTCATTGGCAGCATGATGGGGATGGCATTGAATCTATAAATTACCTTGGGCAGTATGGCCATTTTCACGATATTGACTCTTCCTACCCAGGAGCATGGAATGTTCTTCCATTTGTTTGTATCTTCTTTGATTTCATTGAGCAGTGGTTTGTAGTTCTCCTTGAAGAGGTCCTTCACATCCCTTGTAAGTTGAATTCCTAGGTATTTTATTCTCTTTGAAGCAACTGTGAATGGGAGTTCACTTATGATTTGGCACTCTATTTGTGTGTTATTGGTGAATAAGAATGCTTGTGATTTTTGCACATTGATTTTGTATCCTGAGACTTTGCTGAAGTTGCTTCTCAGCTTAAGGAGATTTTGGGCTGAGACAATGGGGTTTTCTAGATATACAATCACGTCATCTGCAAACAGGGACAATTTGACTTCCTCTTTTCCTAATTGAATACCCTTTATTTCCTTCTTCTGCCTGATTGCCCTGGCCAGAACTTCGAACACTATGTTGAATAGGAGTGGTGAGAGAGGGCTTCCCTGTCTTACGCCATTTTTCAAGGGGAATGCTTCCAGTTTTTGCCCATTCAGTATGATATTGGCTGTGGATTTGTCATAGATAGCTCTTATTATTTGGAGATACGTCCCATCAATACCTAATTTATTGAGAGTTTTTAGCATGAAGGGGTGTTGAATTTTGTCAAAGGCCTTTTCTGCATCTATTGAGATAATCATGTGGTTTTTGTCTTTGGTTCTGTTTATATGCTGGATTACGTTTATTGATTTGCATATTTTGAACCAGCCTTGCGTCCCAGGGATGAAGCCCACTTGATCATGGTGGATAAGCTTTTTGATGTGCAGCGGGATTCAGTTTGCCAGTATTTTATTGAGGATTTTTGCATTGATGTTCATCTGGAATATTGGTCTAAAATTCTCTTTTTTTGTTGTGTCTCTGCCAGGCTTTGGTATCAGGATGATGCTGGCCTTATAAAATGAGTTAGGGAGGATTCCCTCTTTTTCTATTGAGTGGAATAATTTCAGAAGGAATGTTACCAGCTTCTCCTTGTACCTCTTGTAGATTTCTGCTGTTTATCCATCTGGTCCTGGACTTTCTTTGGTTGGTTAGCTATTAATTATTGCCTCAATTTCAGAGCCTGTTATTGGTCTATTCAGATATCCAACTTCTTCCTGGTTTAGTCTTGGAAGAGTGTATGTGTCGAGGAATTTATCCATTTCTTCTAGATTTTCTAGTTTATTTGCATAGAGGTATTTATAGTGTTCTCTGATGGTAGTTTGTATTTCTGTGGGATCGGTGGTGATATCCCCTTTGTCATTTTTTATTGTGTCTATTTGATTATTCTCTCTTTTCTTCTTTATTATTCTTGCTAGCAGTCTATCAGTTTTGTTGATGTTTGTGAAAAAGCAGCTCCAGGATTCATTAATTTTTTGAAGGGTTTTTTGTGTCTCTATTTCCTTCAATTCTGCTCTGATCTTAATTATTTCTTGTGTTCTACTAGCTTTTGAATGTGTTTGCTCTTGCTTCTCTAGTTGTTTTAATTGTGATGTCTGGGTGTCAATTTTAGATCTTTCCTGTTTTCTTTTGTGGGCATGTAGTGCTAGAAATTTCCATCTACACACTGCTTTGAATATGTCTCAGAGATTCTGGTATGTTGTGTATTTGTTCTCGTTTGTTTCAAAGAACATCTTTATTTCTGCCCTCATTTCTTTATGTATCCAGTAGTCATTCAGGAGCAGATTGTTCAGTTTCCATGTAGTTGAGCGGTTTTGAGTGAGTTTCTTAATCCTGAGTTCTAGTTTGACTGCACTGTGGTCTGAGAGACAGTTTGTTATAATTTCTGTTCTTTTACATTTGCTGAGGAATTCTTTGCTTCCAACTATGGTCAATTTTGGAATAGGTGTGGTGTGGTGCTGAAAAGAATGCATATTCTGTTGATTTGGGGTGGAGAGTTCTGTAGATGTCTATTAGGTCCACTTGGTGCAGAGCTGAGTTCGATTCCTGGATATCCTTGTTAACTTTCTGTCTCATTGATCTGTCTAATGTTGACAGTGGTGTGTTAAATTCTCCCATTATTATTGTGTGGGAGTCTAAGTCTCTTTGTAGGTCACTAAGGACTTGCTTTATGAATCTGGGTGCTCCCGTATAGGGTGCATGTATATTTAGGTTATTTAGTTCTTCTTGTTGAAATGATCCCTTTACCATTATGTAATGGCTTTCTTTGTCTCTTTTGATCTTTGTTGGTTTAAAGTCTGTTTTATCTGAGACTAGGATTTCAACCCCTGCCTCTTTTTGTTTTCCATTTGCTTGGTAGATCTTCCTCCATCCCTTTATTTTGAGCCTATGTGTGTCTCTGCACGTGAGATGGGTTTCCTGAATACAGCACACTGATGGGTCTTGACTCTTTATCCAATTTACCATTCTGTGTCTTTTAATTGGAGCATTTAGCCCATTTACATTTAAGTTTAATATTGTTATGTGTGAATTTGATCCTGTCATTATGATGTTAGCTGGTGATTTTGCTCGTTAGTTGATGCAATTTCTTCCTAGCCTTGATCATCTTTACAATTTGGTATGTTTTTGCAGTGGCTGGTACCGGTTTTTCCTTTCCATGTTTAGTGCTTCCTTCAGGAGGTCTTTTAGGGCAGGCCTGGTGGTGACAAAATCTCTCAGCATTTGGTTGTCTGTAAAGGATTTTATTTCTCCTTCACTTATGAAGCTTAGTTTGGCTGGATATGAAATTCTGGGTTGAAAATTCTTTTCTTAAAAATGTTGAATATTGGCCACCACTCTCTTCTGGCTTGTAGAGCTTCTGCCGAGAGGTCTGCTGGTACTCTGATGGGTTTCTCTTTGTGGGTAACCCGACCTTTCTCTCTGGCTGCCCTTAACATTTTTTCCTTCATTTCAACTTTGATGAATCTGACAATTATGTGTCTTGGAGTTGCTCTTCTCGAAGAGCATCTTTGTGGCATTCTCTGTATTTCCTGAATCTAAATGTTGGCCTCCCTTACTAGATTGGGGAAGTTGTCCTGGATAATATCCTGCAGAGTGTTTTCCAACTTGGTTCCATTCTCCCTGTCACTTTCCAGTACAGCAATGAGATGTAGATTTGGTCTTTTCACATAGTCCCATATTTCTTGGAGGCTTTGTTCATTTCTTTTTATTCTTTTTTCTCTAAACTTGTCTTCACGCTTCATTTCATTCATTTTGTCTTGCATCACTGATACCCTTTCTTCCAGTTGATCGCATCGGTTACTGAGGCTTGTGCATTTGTCACGTAGTTCTTATGCTGTGGTTTTCAGCTCCATCAGGTCCTTTAAGGACTTCTCTGCATTGGTTATTCTAGTTATCCATTCGTCTAAATTTTTTTCAAAGTTTTTAACTTCTTTGCCATTTGTTCAAACTTCCTCCTTTAGCTGGGAGTAGTTTGATCTTCTGAAGCCTTCCTCTCTCAACTCGTCAAAGTCATTCTCCATCCAGCTTTGTTCCATTGCTGGTGAGGAGCTGCGTTCCTTTGAAAGAGGAGAGGTGCTCTGATTTTTAGAGTTTCTGGTTTTTCTGCTCTGTTTTTTCCCCATCTTTATGGTTTTATCTACCTTTGGTCTTTGATTTTGGTGATGTACAGATGGGTGTTTTGTTTTGATGTCCTTTCTGGTTGTCAATTTTCCTTCTAACAGTCTGCATCCTCAGCTGCAGGTTTGTTGGAGTTTGCTGGAGGTCCACTAGAGACCCTGTTTGTCTGGGAATCAGCAGCAGTGGCTGCAGAACAACGGGTATTGGTGAACCGCAAATGCTGCTGCCTGATTCTTCCTCTGGAAGTTTTGTCTCAGAGGAGTACCTGGCCGTGTGAGGTGTCAGTCCGCCCCTACTTGGGGGTGCCTCCCAGTTAGGGTACTTGGGAGCCAGGGACCCCCTTGAGGAGGCAGTCTGCCCATTCTCAGATCTCAAGCTGCATGCTGGGAGAACCACTACTGTCTTCAAATCTGTCAGACAGGGACTTTTAAGTCTGCAGAGGTTTTTGTTGTCTTTTGTTTGTCTGTGCCCTGCTCCCAGAGGTGGAGCCTACAGAGGCAGGCAGGCCTCCTTGAGCTGTGGTGGGCTCCACCCAGTTCGAGTTTCCCAGCAGCTTTGTTTACCTACTAAAGCCTGAGCAATGGTGGGCACCCCTCCCCCACCCTCGCTACCACCTTGCAGTTTAATCTCAGACTGCTGTGCTAGCAATGAGCAAGGCTCCGTGGGCATAGTACCCTCCGAGCCATGTGCAGGATATAATCTCCTGGTGTGCCGTTTGTTAAGCCCTTTGGAAGAGCACAGTATTAGGGTGGGAGTGACCCGATTTTCTAGGTGCCATCTGTCACCCCTTTCTTTGACTAGGAAAGGGAATTCCCTGACCCTTTGTGCTTCCTGGGTGAGGCAATGTTTCACCCTCCTTTGGCTCATGCACAGTGCACTGCATCCACTGTCCTGCACCCACTGTGCAGCACTCCCCAGTGAGATGAACCCAGTACCTCAGTTGAAAATGCAGAAATCACCCATCTTCTGTGTCACTCACACTGGGAGCTGTAGACTTGAGCTGTTCCTATTTGGCCATGTTGGCTCCACCCCATTTGAGTGATTTTGAGTGAGTTTCTTAATCCTGAGTTCTAGTTTGATTGCATTGTGGTCTGAGAGACAGTTTGTTATAATTTCTGTTCTTTTACATTTGCTGAGGAGTGCTTTACTTCCCACTATGTGGTCAATTTTGGAATAAGTGTGGTGTGGTGCTGAAAAGAATTTATATTCTGTTGATTTGGGGTGGAGAGTTCTGTAGATGTCTATGAGGTCTGCTTGGTGCAGAGCTGAGTTCAATTCCTAGATATCCTTGTTAACTGTCTGTCTTGTAGATCTGTCTAATGTTGATAGTGTGATGTTAAAGTCTCCCATTATTATTGTGTGGGAGTCTAAGTCTCTTTGTAGGTCTCTAAGGACTTGCTTTATGAATCTGGGTGCTCCTGTATTGGGTGCATATATATTTAGGACAGTTAGCTCTTCTTGTTGAATTGATCCCTTTACCATTATGTAATGACCTTCTTTGTCTCTTTTGATCTTTGTTGGTTTAAAGTCTGTTTTATCAGAGACTAGGATTGCAACCCCTGTCTTTTTTTGTTTTCCATTTGCTTGATAGATCTTCCTCTATCCCTTTATTTTGATCCTACATGTGTACCTGCACATGAGATGGGTTTCCTGGATACAGCTCACTGATGGGTCTTGACTCTTTATCCAATTTGCCATTCTGTGTCTTTTAATTGGAGCATTTAGCCCATTTACATTTAAGGTTAATATTGAAAAAAAAGAATTATTATTACTTTTTACTGTTGAGTTTTGAATGTTCTTTACATATTCAAGTGCTTTGCCAGATCCGTGATTTGCAAATATTTTCTCCAGTGTATCGTTTTTCTTCTCATTTTCTTAATAGGATCATTCACAGAAGTTTTAAATTTTGATGAGATAGTTTATCAGTTTATTTAATGACTTATGCTTCTGATGTCATGTCCAAGAACACTTTGTAAAGCTCTAGGTCCTGAATACTTTCTCTAGTGTTATCTCCTAAACGTTTTATAGTTCCATATTTTACATTTAAGTGTGTGATCCAGTTTGAGTTTATTTTTTGTATAAGGTATGAAGTTTAGAATGAAGTTCATTTTTTTGGCTTAAGAATACTGCTTTTTTACAGTGTTCTATATTTGAAAAATCTTTGACTATTTCCCATGACCTTAAGGATAGAGTCAAAATTCCTTACTCTGTTATTCATGATCCTCACTGATCAGGGCTCACGTTTCTTTCTCATTTTCCATACGACCTGCATTCAAATCCTGGTACTGCCTTGTGGTGACTCAGTTTCTCATTTGTCAAATGTGATACTAATAGTGTCTATTTAATAGTGTTGTAATAAAGATAAAAAATTGAGTTAATTTTTTTGAGCAGCACGGTGCCTGTATTAGTCCATTCTTACACTGCTATCAATACCTAAAATTGGATAGTTTATAAAGAGAAGAGGTATAATTGGCTCATGGTTACTCAGACTGTACAGGAACCTGATACTGGCATCTGCTCAGCTTCTGGGTCAGTTACAATCATGGCAGAGGGTAATAGGGAAGCACACACATCACATAGCCAGAGTAGGAGCAAGAAAGAGAGAGGGTGGAAGTGCTACACACTTTTAAATAATCAGATCTCACAAAAACTCACTCACTGTTGTGAGTACAGTACTGAGAGATGATGCTAAACCATTCATGAGAAACTCACCCCTGTGATCCAATTATGTCCCACCAGGTTTCATCTCTGATATTGGAGCCTACAACTTGACATGAAATTTGCTGAGGACACAGATTCAAACTATATTATTTCACCACTGCCCCACTCAAATCTTGTGTCCTTCTCATATTGCAAAATACAATTATCCCTTCTCAACAGTCCCCCAAAATCTTAACTTATTTCAGCATTAACTCAAAAGTTCAAAGTCCAAAGTCTCATCTGAGACAAAGCTAGTCCCTTCCAACTATGAGCATGAAAAACAAAACAAAACAAGCAAAAAAAAACAGTTAGTTACTTCCAAGATACAATGGGGTTACAGGTATTGGGTAAATACTTCCATTCCAAAATGGAGAAATCCACCAAAAGAATGAGGCTACAGGCCCTATGCAAGGCTGAAACCCAACAGGGCAGTCATTAAATCTTAACACTCCAAAACAATATCCTTTGACACCTTGTCACACATCCAGAGCACACTGTTGGCAGGGGTGGGCTCCCAAGATCTTGAGGCTTTGCAGGATTCAACCCCCACCATTACTCTCATGAGCTGGAATTGAGTGCCTGTGGCTTTTCCAGGAGCAGAGTGGAAGTTGTCAGTGGATCTACTGTTTTGGAGTCTGGAGGATGGCGGCCCTCTTCTCATAGCTTCACTATGCAGTGTCCCAGTGGGAACTCTGTGTGGGGGCTTCAACCCCTCTGCACTTCCCTAGTAGAGGTTCTGCATAATGGCTCTGCCCCTGTAGCAGCCTTCTGCCTGGACAATAGGGATTTTTCATACATCCTCTGAAACCTAGGTGGAGGATTCCAAGCCTCCACTCTTGCATTCCATGTACCTGCAGGATTAACACCACGTGAAAACTACCAAGGCTTATAACTTGCACCCTCTGGAGCAGTGGCATGAGCTGTATCTGGCTCCCTTTGAGCCACAACTAGAGTTGGAGCAGCTGGGATACAGGGAGCAGTGTCTTGAGACAGGCTCTCGGCCTGGCCTAAGAAACCATTCAATTGTCCTAGGCCTCTGGGCCTGTGATGGGAAGGACTGCCACAATGGTCTCTTAAATGCCTTTGAGGCCTTTTCCCCATTGTATTGTCTATTGGCACGTGGCTCTTATTTACTTATACAAATTTCTGGAGCCTGCTTGAATTCCTCCCCTGAAAATGGGCTTTTATTTTCTACTACATGGCTAGGCTGCAAATTTTCCAAGTTTTTATGCTCTACTTCCCCTTTAACTGTATATTTGACTTTAGGTCATTTCTTTGCTCATACATATGAGATAGGCTGTGAGAAGCAGCCAGGCCACTTCTTGAATTTTTTGTTGCTTAGAAATTTCGTCCTCCAGATACCCTAAATCATCACTCTCAAGTTCTAAGTTCTACAGATCCCTAGGGCAGAGGCACAATTCAGTCAAGTAATTTGCTAAGACATAACAAAAGTGACCCTTGCTCCAGATCATAATACATTCCTCATGTTCATCTGAGTCCTTTTTATTTTTAGCCTGGCCTTCTCTGTCCATATCACTATCAGCATTTTGGTAACAACTATTCAACTAGTCTGTAGGAAGTTCCAAACTTTTCCTCATCTTTCTGTTTTCTTCTGAGCCCTCTATTCTCTTCCAAACTCTGCTTGTTACCTAGTTCCAAAGTTGCTTCCACATTTTCAGGTATCTTTATAGCAATGTCCTACTCCTTCATACCAATTTTCTGTATTAGTCTGTTGTTACACTGCTATAAAGAAATACGTGAGACTGGGTAATTTATAGAGAAAAGAGGTTTAATTGGTTCATGGTTCTGCAGACTGTACAGGAAGCATGATGCTAGCATCTGCTTGGCTTCTGGGGAGGCATCAGAAATTTACTATTATGGTGGAAGGTAAAGGGTGTGAATGCATGTCACATGACTGGACTAGGAACGAATAAGATGGAGGGGGGAGGTGTTACACACTTTTAAATGACCAGATATCACCAGGACTGTACCAAGGGAGATAGTGCTAAACCATTCATGAGAAACCATCCCCAATGATCCAATCCCCAGTCCCCACCTCCAATATTGGGGATTACAACTTGACATGAGATTTGGTAGGGATGCAGATCCAAATCATATCAGTGCCTGAGAAACACTGTTCAACAAATGTTACCTCCTAACATTATTGTACAAAATGTTTACTTCCAACAAGCTTTTCCATCTGCTAGCCTCAAAAGCCGTTTTTTTTCTTTCCCTTTGACTCTGTCATAATCTTCACTGATCAAATTGCTATCTGTTTTTGTGGTTGCCTCTGAGGGTGATGGACCAGTCAGGACTGACTGGAAAGGGGAGATTTCTGTGATGATGATAAGATTCTATGTTTTGATAGGTGTTTGGGCTACATAGGTAAATGCATTTGTCAGAGTTTAGCAAATGTTCCCTTAATGTTTGTGATATAAATGTATGTACATTTACCTAAAAAAAACTGTACATGTACATTAAATTTTAGTTAATGATATGCATGGAGAAGTGTTTGTTGGTGAAGTGTACTAATGTCTGTTACTTTCTTTGAAGTGCAACAGAAAATAAAATAGCTTAAAGAATGGATAGAGAAATGGATAGATATATGATGAAGCAAATGTAGTAGAATCTAGATGGTGGGTAGGCCGGGCACAGTAGCTTATATCTGTAATCCCAGCACTTTTGTAGTTAGAGGTGGGCAGATCACCTGAGGGCAGGAGCTCCAGACCAGCCTGGCCAACATGGCAAAACCCCGTCTCTAGTAAAAAATACAAAAATTAGCTGGGCATGGTGGCAGGCACCTGTAATCCCAGCTGCTCAGGAGGCTGAGGCAGGGAGACTTGCTTGAACCCAGGAGGCAGAGGTTGCAGTAAGCCAAGATCATGCCACTGCACTCCAGCCTGGGTGACACAGTGAGACTCCGTCTCAGAAAGATAAAAAAATTATCTAGGTGGTGGGTATACTGGTGTTCACTATATAATTCTTTATATTTTGCTATATGCAGGATAATCTTCAAGGGTTTGTGACCTGTGGAGTCATGCAGGGCCCCATGCACAGAAGGGCATTGTGCTTGGTTTAATGCTCTGTTGTCATGTTTTCGAAGTTCTTAATAATTTCATCTTTGAACTTGTGTTAAAAATCCAATAGGACAATGGAGTATGCACATAAGCAGAGTAGATACACATAATATGTATCTACTATTCCTTGCCACCCCAGGTATATATAGTGTTTGTAATGCTCCATGAGTGAGGAATTCCAGTACACCTACAATGTGTGGGAGTTCAGCAAGGCTCAAACTGAGTGCAAGGTAAGTGATTTATGTGTAAAACCAAGTGGGAGTACTGACAACCTTAAGAGGCTATACTTTCCTTTTAAATCAGAACTTCCTTTGAATGCAAAAAAAGCAATTATGTTCTAAGAAACACGAATGACCAAGGAACTCTATCGTATTCTATTTTACTCATGCTACTTCCCTATATTAGCCAACTACTATTGCTAAATATGATGATTTAAAAGGAAAGGGAAAGATAGGGCCACCCGTAGTAGTTACTCCTTTCAGTCCTTTCATCAGTGAACTGAAAGTAGAGACTGTTGGTAGAATGTGGACATATCAAAAAGTGAAATAGAAAATACTTGAATTAGCTTTGTGCAGCATTTCCATTCTTCTGGTAAGCAGAAAATACATATGCATGTATAAGCTATGAAATACAAATTGTGTAATTTTGGTGACTGTGAATATGAGTTAAATCCTTTTTGAGATAGGATCTTGCTCTATCTCCCAGGCTGGAGTGCAGTGGTGCAATCATGGCTCACTGCAGCCTTGACCTCTGAGGCAAAAGTGATTCTTCTACCTAAGCCTCCTGAGTAGCTGGGTCCAGAGGTGTGCACCACCACACTTGGCTGATTTTTATTTATATATATTTTGTAGAGACAGGGTCTTTTAATGTTGCCCAGTCTGGTCTCAAACCCCTGGGCTCAAGTGATCCTCCTGCCTTGGTCTCTCAAAGTGTTGAGATTACAGGTATAAGCCACTGTGCCTGGCCTAAATGTTCTTATATTTGCAGTTAAATCCAACATTGCATAATATAAAAATGAACAGTAAAGTTCATACTAATAATTTCAATTTTTAATTATTCCTTATATAGAACAACATTAAATAGCAAGTAGAAGATACCATGGTGAGAGAGAGAAAGAGAAAGATATATATGTAAGAGAGACAGAGCATGTGAATGCACCAACGAATGAAAACACTTTTTACGTTAACAGTACTTTCTCCCTGCTTTTTCAAAGAGAGGTCCCACATTTTCATTTTGCACTAGGCCCCACAAATTATGTAGCTGTCTCTGGCTGTATGTTTGACATTTTTCATAATATACTTTTGGGTAATGTCTTACCTGTTCTTTAAATACTCACACAACACCCTATGAAGTTTTTTCTTGACATTTCATATCAAACCACTAATTTTTAAGCCCTTTAGTGATTAGTAGAAAGGTCAGCTTTGTTATTACATGGCTGTGTAACTATTGAGAATGCTTTATCTCTCTCTAGGTTTGTGTCTTTACTTGTACAATGAAGAGGTTGGATGAGATGGTTCTTTCTTAAGTTCCTTCAGATTGGGACACTGTGATTCTCTCATTTATATAATTTAAAGACCTTTTCCATCTACAGCTGAGTGACATTGGTTATGTGTAAACGTCATGTCCTTTTATGGATGTGAGTTTTTGCAAAATGAACCTCCTGCTTTGTATATTTCTACTCTCTATGAAATTTTGCACATAGTAGGTACACAATAACTGTTGTGTGGATAAATAAAGAAGTGAGTGAATGTGGTGACTATTATTTGTATTTTACCACACAGTGGCTTCAGAATCAACCATTTGCTCCTCTTTCATTGTAAAAAGGTTTTGTGCCAAGCCTATGCTGTAGAAAGTCCAAACAAGATAGAAAGCGTGGCTGATACTGCCCTGAGACATCAGCTAGCCTTTTGAGACCACTCTCTTTATATTGCCTAGGAAAGATTTTTCTCTTTTTCCAACCTCCTGCCTAAGGTCCTTGGATTCACAGCTCCCATCCTCAGGGAGAGATAGGTCTGCCCTGCCTCACTATGCTCAGGGGTGTGTGCCCAGCTCAGAGGCCCATAAAGGAATTGGGAAAATGGCCAGGGTTCCTCATGTGGGTTAAAGGCTCAGCCCCACAAGAGGCCATTAAAACTTCCCATCTATACTTGAGCCTTTTGTTTCCCACACCCTCTGGAAGGGTGGAGTAGGATGTGGAGTCAGGAGGATGGCTTTGTGAAATCCAACATCTTGAGGCAGTGAGCCATAAATACCGACAGAAAAGTAGCCTGGGCCTTTGTAGGACCTGGGATGTCTGTTTCCTTGCCACTGGCCAGCACACATTGGTGGCATTATAAACCAGGCTAGGTTCACTCCCTCCAGAGCCCACTGTCCAGCCCTAGTTTCCACTTTCATAGGCTCTACTCATCATTTCTCAATGAATCAGGCAGAATTTTTCCATGTGGGCTCGGTATTGGTTTCCCCAAATGACCCTTAAAAAGTTCAGATTTGAGTCCACAGATCTGTCTGAGCAGGAGGCGGACCTCATACATCATTGAACACTCATCTCAGAAGGTCGAGGCCTTGGCATGGTTGAGTGTTGATGTGTTTATGGATGGAAAATATTGGTTTTGCATTCTATCAGTAACCCTCACAGAGGTGATATTGGGATTTAGGGATCTAATCATTTGGAAAATGCTTGATTGTAGCCAGTTCTAGACTCATTTATATTTTGGAAAGTGAGGATAATGACCTGTACCTCAGATGGCTGCTCTTCTGCAATCTTGTTGGACGGAGTTTGGGAGTGATCAAACTGGCAAAGTCAGCAGAGTGAGGTGATGGGAAGGCAATTTAAGGAAGAGACTCAACAAACGATCAGAAGCAATAGTGGAAAGAGCACTGGATTGGGAGTCAGCAGACTGAGGCTCTGGTTCTGGCTCTATTATGCTCTTACTTGTTTGCTGTATAGCCTTTGGCAGATTATTTTCTCTCTCAGAGTTTCAGTTCCCTCATGTATAAAATGAAGAGATGGCCCTTGATGGTCCCTAAGGATCTTCCCAGCTCTAATTTGTAACACTTGGGAGGATACTTACCCTCCTTTAGTTGGGTTAAGATCATGAAGTCTGGAGCCAGGCTGCCTGGGTTTATGTCTTGGACTTACCCTTTCCTGACTGAGTGACCTTAAACAAACTAACCACTCTATGCTTCACTACCTTCAACTGTAAAATGGGAATAGTAACAGTACTTGCCTTATAGGATTTTAATAAAGATTAATTGTTTCAATTTACCTGAAGCCCTTAGAATATTACCTGACACATATTAAGTGCTAATAAATATTAGGTAATATTATTTTTTATAGGACCCTTCCCTGGGTTATCCTGAGGAAACCAGGTTACAGTATCTGGGATTTCAGGATATAGCCTTTACCTTCTCTCTGAGAAAAAAGACTGCCTAATGGTTGACTTCCTAGACCTCCTGACACATACCTCAACTACCTTTGGAGAAGGTCAGCTTCTGCTCACCCATGGTATGGTACTCTGGGGCTACTGTATATGAGTCCTCAAACTGGACCTCTTTAGAAAACAGCTATTCTAGGATTTGGTCTTGTTTCTCCAACTTGGAAGGTCTGTTCATCTTCCCATATGTGCTTCTCTACCTTCTAGCTAGCTTTTACCTTCTCCAGCTGACATGGTCAGTTTTGGGGTGGAGATAAGACAGTCATGGCAGAAAGGAGAACAGTAGCTCTCTAATCTCTGATTGTCCTGTGAGGATTTGTTTCCATGAAGAGTTTCTATGCCTCTGGGATATCTTTGTAATCAATCCATGTCTCTGGATTTCTACTTTTCCAGGGACATGTCTGGTCAATTCTAACAAATGAATAAATGAATACTTGTAGTCCTGCAAAGTAACATTTGAGCTTGTACTTGGGTCATAATAATGTAGAATGTTTTAGTCATAAGGGGCCTTTGAGATGAACTTATCTATTTCCCTCCTTCTATAGTATATTGAGGAAACTGAAACCCAGAAATGGGAAGGGACTTTCCCAATATCATGCATATTAGTTGGGGCTAGAAGCTAGGTAACTTAATGCCTACTTGTAGGCCCTTTCCCATATATAAATTTGCCTCTGGGGCATTTTTGCAGGCACATTTTCCTTAACCAAAAGGAGTGTAGATGAGTGAGTGAATATGTTTTAGGATAGAGAGGCCTTTTGGTTCTGCTCAAAATTCCTGGTAGGCAGTTGCATGCACTTCTTTTAAACCGGGCCAGCCTTGCTGATACTTAAAGAATTCTAAGAGAGCTAGAATTTCAGAGCTCTGTATCTTCAACTGTAGTACCATTGTTGGGTGGGGCCAGGAGGATAAGCATTGCAGCTGGATTGCCTCTGTGTCTCCAGGGCCTGGGAGGAGCTTGTCACTCTGGAGTAATACAAAAGGCTCTCAGCATTTGCTTTGAGGTGCTTGGTCACATCTTGCAAAGACAATGAAGAGATATGAATAGAATTGATGGAAGAGTGAATCAGGGGTCAGTGTCTGGTTTGCTCGGCAGCCAGTCCATGGGAGTGGCAGAGCAATGAGAACAAAGCACAGTGTGAACTCCTGGCCAAAAATATAACCTAATAAATAGAGGTTTTGCACCCCAGAGAGCACAGTGGAGTTTCTGGCAGGATTGGGTAGTAGTCATTCTGAACAAACAAGATCTTAATTTATGTCTAAGCAGAGCAAGATTAGAAACCTGCTTCACATTCCTCCTAGAGAGTTTCTGAAAATCAGCCAAGTGAATTTCCTCCATTTGGAGGCAGAGCAGAGAAGTCATGCACAGGGATTTCCAAACATAGTTCCCAGGCCACTGCACTGGTAGTCCCAGTCATGAGCCTCTAGGTACCACCATCTGGTGCCAACTTGCAATGCCAAGACACTGGTAGCAACAGTGGTATCTTGACAAACACCAAGATGTAGATGGCTTAGTTGGAGCTTTGTATATCTATTTCAATAGCTGACTGACTTTGCAATCTGCTTTACCAGAAGATCTTAAACTTATTTTT
Source organism: Homo sapiens (assembly GCF_000001405.40). Lineage (NCBI taxonomy): Eukaryota > Metazoa > Chordata > Mammalia > Primates > Hominidae > Homo > Homo sapiens. The sequence continues at coordinate 77,174,699 of NC_000023.11, read as the reverse complement.
TCTTGCCTATATTCCCTTCCTATCTAGAACAGTCTTCTATTTATTATCTGTTATGCTGTCTTTTTTACTCTATTCAGTTGTTTCCTGAAAACTTATCACTTTCACTTTCACAGAAGATTTAATCTAAATGAAAGACAATAAAAGAATAACCATGAAGGATTCTTAATTTTGAAGCTGGCAGATTACCAAAGAATATGTAATATATCCTTTTGAGGCACCAACTCTCTTTCAGCTACCATTTGTACTCTGATGACCCTTGATTCTATATCCCATCCTCATGCCCAAGTTACAAATTAATATCAAGTTGTCTGCCACTCAGATGTATCACAGGTACCATGAACCTAACATGACCAAGGTGGAACTTACCATATTACCCCTTCAACATCATTCTACTCCTGAGTTTCAGTTTTACTTGGTGGCACCACTACTTACCAGCGACCTAACCTAGAAACTATGGAGTCATCCTTGAATCACCTTCTTTCCTTTCCTGTTAGACCCAAATCCATCATCAAGTCCTACTGATTTTTATCTCCTAAATATATTTCAAATCTGTCCACTTAATTTTGTTTCTACTGCCTTAATTCAAGCCCTCATTACTTCATATCCAAACAACTGCTTCCTGATGTCCCTGTCTCCAATCTGGGCCCCTTCCACTTCATCCTCCACACTGCCAAAATAATTTTAAAATATAAATCTGATTATGGTACTCGAGGTGCTTAAGGCCCTACAATGGCTACTGATATGATTTGGCTCTGTGTCCCCAACCCACAATTGTTGAATTGTAATCCTCATGTGTCAGGGGAGGGACTTGGTGGAAGGAGATTGGATCATGAGGGTGGATTTCCCCCATGCTGTTCTCATGATAGCGAGTGAGTTCTCATGAGATCTGATGGTTTAAAAGTTTGGCACTTCTCCCCTTGCTCTCTCTCTCCTGCTTCCATGTAAGACGTGCCTTGCTTCCCCTTCTGCCATGTTTGTAAATTTCCTGAGGCCTCCCCAGCCTTACAGAACTGTAAGTCAAACCTCTTTTCTTTATAAATTACCCAGTCTTAGGTAGTTCTTTATAGCAGTGTGAAAACAGACTAATACACCTGCCCATTGCCTTTAAAATAAATCTCAAATTCCTTTCAGGGCCCACAAGGCCTTATATGATTCTGTCCCTACTTATTTCAGAAGCCTTGTTTTTTGCCACCCCTTGGATTGCTCTTTATGCTCTAGCAACACTGATCTCTTTGAAGTACCCCACAGACACTGTTTTGTTTGTGTAACTGTTTGTGTTGCCTTCTTGAATTGGGTCTTCCCTACTTATTATTTTGTCTGGCTAACCTTTTATTACTTAACCCCAGAAGTCTTTCCAGACTGAGTGAGGTGGTACCCTTCTGTGATCTCATAGCATCCCATCACATTCCATATCATATCTCATTATCACACCCTATTATAATTATCTCTTCACCTGTGTTGCCCACTAGATTATACTGCTCTTGAAGAGACAGTGTGTAACTTATCTCTATCCTAGCACACTGTTTGGCATATAGTAAGTGCTCAATGGTTGCTTTCTGAGAGAATGAAAGGAGCAGGTATATATTTGACTATTCAGCTAGCCCTTTGACATCAAGTAATTTTTCACTCATTGACTCATTTTTCTCTCACAACAAGTCCATGGAGTTGGTTTTTGGGGACATTAATGCATATGCTGCTTTTATAGAACACTTATTGTGTGTTACTTTCCTGAAACTTTTTCTGGTAAGGACAGCAAATTTGATATTCCCCATTTTGAAAATGCAAAAACTGACCCTCAAAGATGTTACATAACTTGCCTCAGCTCATGCAACTAATTAATAATGGAGTGTAAATTTTGATTTATAAACTCATCCCAAGGGTCTTTCTCCTGCCTCCCACTGTTTCCAAATCATAGTCTTGAAACATTTGGGTTTCAAGGGAGATCCTTGGGATGACTGGGTTTCTCTTATACTTTGTTTATCTGCTGACTTAAAACATTGAAAAAATTATTTTATTTTATTTTTAGTTGACATATAACAATTGCACATATTCACAGGACACATAATGATGTTTCAATACATATAATGTATGGTGATGAGAAAAGAATAATTAGTGTATCCATCATCTTAAATATTTATCATATATATATAAAACTGTTAACTGTAGCCATCCTATGGTGGTATAGATTACAATAACTTATTTCTCCTAATAAAACCTCTCCCTATGCATTCCTTCCCCCTACTCTTCCTAACCCCTAGCATCCTTTGATCTACTTTTTAACTTCTCTGAGATCAACCTGTTTTTTTTTTTTTTTAAGCTTTCACATATGTGTGAAAACATGCAGTGCTTAATTTTCTTTTCCTGGCTTATTTTACTTAACATAATGCCCTCTAATTCCATTCATGTTGCATGAATGACAGGATTTCATTCTTTTTATGGCAAAATATTATTCCACTGTATATAAACAGATTTTCTTTATCCATTCATCTGTTGTTGGACATCTAGTTAGATTCCATGTCTTGTCTATTGTAAATAGTGCTGCAATAAACAAGGGTAGGGCAGCAGATATCTCCTCAATATCTCCATTTCCTTTCTTTTGGATAAATATTCTGTAGTGGGATTGCTGAATCATATGGTAGTTCTATGTGTAGTTTTGTGAGGAAGCTTCATATTGTTCTCCATAGTGGCTGTACTAGCTTACATTCCCACCAAGAGTCAATCAAATGTTTTTTTTCTCTGCATCTTTGGCAGCACTTGTTATTTTTTGTGTTTTTGATAATAGTGATTCTAACTGGGATGTAACAGTACCTCATTGTGGATTTGATTTGCATTTCTGTAATGATTAGTGATATTATTATCATCACTGTTAGTCATCATTAGTAATAACGATCATCAATTTTTAAAATATATTTCTAGGCCACTTGTATGTCTTCTTTTGAGAAATGTATGTTCAGATAATTTTCTCATTTTAAAATCAGATTTTTTTTTTTTTTTTTTTTTTGCTGTTGAGATATTTGAATGTCTTTTATATTCTGGGTATTGATCCCCTGCCAGATGAGTAGTTTGCAAATGTTTTCTCCCATTCTGTAGGTTGTATTTTCACTCTGTTGATTGTTTCTTTTGCTATGAAGGAGCTTTGCAGTTTGATATAATCCCATTTGTTTATTTTTACTTTGGTTGTCTGTGCTTTCGTGGTCTTATTCAAAAAGTATTTTTCCAGACCAATATCCTAGACTGTTTCCCCTGGGTTTTCTTCTAGTAGTTTTGTAGTCTTGGGTCTTACATTTATGTCTTTGATTCATTTTGAGTTGATTTTTCTATAGGATGAGAGGTGTGGGTCTAGTCTTATATTTCTACACATGGATACCTAGTTTGAAAGCACCATTTATTGAAGAGACTATTCTTTCCCCAATGAATGTTCTTGGCACTTTTGTAAAACACAAGTTGGCTGTAGATTCTTATATTAATTTCTGGGTTATTTCCTCTCTTTCATTGGTCTGTGTGTCTATTTTTATACCAGTACCATGCTGTGCTTGTTACTGTAGCTTTGCAGTACATTTTGAAACATGGTAGTGTGATAGCTCCAGCTTGTTCTTTTTGCTCAGGATGGCTTTGGCTATTCTGGGTCTTTTGTGGTTCCACAAAAATTTTTAGGATTTTTTTTCCTATTTCTGTGAAGAATGTCATTAGTATTTTGATAGAGATTACCTTGAATCCAGATTTCTTTGAGTAGTATGGTCATTTTAAAAATATAATTCTTGTGATCCATGAACATGGGATGTCTTTCCATTTGTTTATATCCTCTTTAATTTTTTTCATCAGTGTTTTATAGTTTTTCTTATAGAGATCTTTCACCTCCTTGGTTAAATTTATACTTAGGTATTTTATTTTTTGGTAGCTATTTGTAAATGGAATTTCTTTCTTGATTTACTTTTCAGCTACTTTTTTGTGTATGTGTAGAAATGCTGCTGAATTTGTAGATTGATTTTGTATCCTGCAACCTTATTACTAAATTTGTTTATAAGTTCTAAACGTTTTTTTGGTGAAATCTTTATGCTTTTCTATTTAAAACATCATGTCTGCAAACAGGGACAATTTTACGTCCTTCTTTACAATTTAAATGACCTTTGTTTCTTTCTCTTTTAAAGTGAAACTCACATAACATAAAATTAACCACTTCAATGTGTACAATTTAGTACATTTGTAACAGTGTGCAACTATCACCTCTATCTAGTTCTAAAACATCTTTATCACCCTAAAAGGAAATTCCATTCACATTAACCAATCACTCCCCATTCGTGCTATCCTCCTAACCACTTCTGATGACTTTTTCCTTCTGTCTCTATGGATTTACCTATTCTGAATATTTAATATAAATGTAATCATACAATATGTGACCTTTTTTGTATGATTTCTTTTATTTAACATCATTTTTCCAAGTTCATTTTTGTTATGGCATGTATCAGTATGTCATTCCTTTTTTGGCTGAATCATATTTTATTATATGGATATACCACATTTGGATTATCATCCATTTATCATTGGTGGACGTATTTGGTTTGTTTTCAACTTTGGACTATTGTGAATAGTGCTGCTATAAAACACAACACTACAGTACAATTTCTGTACAAGTTCTTGATTGAATACCTATTATCAATTCTTTTGGAAATATATCTACAAGCAGAATTGCTGAGTCACATGGTAGTTCTGTGTTTAACAGTTTGAGGAAATGCCACAATGCTTTCCATAGCAACTATGATATTTTAGATTTTGAGTAGCAATGTATGAGGGTTCTAATTATTCTACATTCTCACCAACACTTCATATTTGGTGGATGTGAAGTAGTATCACAATGTGGTTTTGATTTGCATTTTCCTGATGGCTAATAATGTTGAGCATCATTTCATGTGTTTATTGGTTCTTTGTATATCTTCTTTAGAGAAATATATGTTTAAGTCATTTGCTTATTTGTATCATTGGGTTTCTTTGTCTTCTTGTTATTGAATTGTAAACATTGTTTAAATATTTTGGGTACTACACCTTTATCAGAAATATGGTTTGCAAATAATTTTTCTCATTCTGTGGATTGTCTTTTCACTTTGTAATAGTGTTCTTTTATGTGTATATATTTTTTAATTTTGTAAAGATCCAATTGATCTATTTTTCTTTTGCTTTTTTTGTGCTTTTGCTGTCATAGCTAAGAATTCATCTCTAAATCTAAAGTCATGAACAGTTGCCCACTTTTTTATGGCAGTATGAGTGATAAAAAATGCATCCATTTAAGGTATAAAAGTTTTTTTGAAGATGGCAGATTAGAGGCATTGCTAGCTTACTTGTCTCACTTAGAAGAACAAAATAGTGTGTAGAGATTCACACTGTAAATGTTCTTTATTTCCAAGAAGTGACATGGGAACTAAACAGTAAAACTGAAGGAATCCACAGACCTTTTGAAGGAGCTGGCAGGCTGCAGACTACACTGTGCGTCAGGTGAAAGGCTATGAGTCCCCAAACTGTGAGAGGGAAAGACTGACTCTGGGATCTACAACCTCACTAGGGAGCTTGAAAGTTCAGGCTATGGGGGAAGGCCTTAACCCTACCCAGTGCAGGAACCAACTTGGGAAGAGTCATGGAATATAAAAGTAGGAGCAGTGGTGGGAAGACCCTTGTATGCACTTCCAATCACCGGTGCACACCAAAGGAAACCATTCTTTATTATTCCTCACAGGGGACCATGTGAAAGTCAGCCAAATAGTTCAGACAGTGGTTGTAGGTTGAAAGAAGTCCCCAACTGGGTTTCATAATGTAACCTCACGTGGGGATGAATTCCGTTTGCCAGGGCTGGGGGGGCCAGTGAAAAGCAAGCTGCATCCACGAGTGCAGGAACCAGGCACCTGGTTTTGTGGGTGAAGAGAAAGGGTATGGCTGGAAACCCATAATTGGTGTCTCTGCAGGGAAAGTTTATAACCTATGGCAGTTGCAATTTCTGAGTGCAGGCTGCCTGGAACTTAGTTTTCTGTTGCCAGTGGAATACTGTGGGAATGGATCTGCCTCACCAAGTGTGTGGGATCTATGTGGGTCTTACTGCCACCTGATACTCCCCATTCCCTGTGTGAACTTTTCTGTGCAGCAGAGGCAGCATCATTCTGCTCTGGATCATCAACCCAGAAGCTTTAGAACCCCCCTACCCCCAAACACCCACAGGGGCTGCTGCTTGCACTGCACATGGAGAGTGAAACCACAAACCCACCTGACCCAGTCCCCACCTTACTTTGCCCCACCACCAGCCCTGGTAGCTTAACACAAAAGACAGAAACTTTGGGGAGCTATAAGGCTCTCCCCATTGTCTGAAAAACCAGAGTACCCACCCTGGGCAACATAAGGGAAGAAAAATCCCACTGCTACTATTGTGCCTGTTGCTCTTTTGCAAGCACCATTTCCTGGCTGGAGGCCAACCAACACAATTTATTACGACATCTCTTGATAGAATAACACTGTGCCCAGGAAAGAGAAAATAGCTGTGTGACCTCAGCTATTACCACTGCCTGCACCACTCTGGCTAACCAGGAGGTCCTGAGTCTGTCCACATAACCAGTTCATTACTGCAATAGCTGCCATTTGAGAAAGCCAACATGCTAAGACTCTCATAACCCAGGAATACCACAGAGTCTATGTCATTTACCTTCCACTCTTATTAGATCTGGTGCTGCTACCCACTGCTGAGGGACTAAAAAAATCCTCAACAAAATACTAACTGATCCAACAACACATCAAAAAGAACACATCATGATAAAGTGAGTTTTATCCCAGAGATTCAGGGATGGTTTAACATACATAAATCAATAAATGTGATACATTGCATGAACAGAATTAAACACAAAAACCATATCATTATCTCAAGAGATGGAGAAAAAGCATTCCATAAAATTCAGCTTTCCTTTATGATAAAAACACTCAACAAACTAGGCATCAAAAGAACCTACCTCAAAATAATGTTATGTAAGACAAACACAGAGTCAACATCGTACTGAATGGGGAAAAGTTGAAAGTATTCCCCCTGAGAACAGGAACAAGGCAAGTTTTCCCACTTTTACCACTCCTATACAACATAATTCTGGAAGTCCTAGCCAGAGCAATTAGGCAAGGGAAAAAAATGAAGGGCGTCAAAATTGAAAAAGAGGAAGTCAAACTATCACTGATTGCAAATGATATGATTATATACCTAGAAAATCCTAAAGACTCCTCCAAAAGACTCTTAGATTTGATTTAAAAAATTCGAAGTATCAGGTTACAAAATCAATGTACACAAATGAGTAGCACTGCTATACACTAACAACAGTCATGCTGAGAATTAAATCAAGAACTCAATCCCTTTTACAACGGCTGCAAGAAAACCCTAGGAATATACTTAACCAAGGAGGTGACAGATATCTACAAAAAGAACTACAAAACACTGCTGAAAGAAATTATAGATAACACAAACAAATGGAAGCATATTACATATTCATGGATTGGAAGAATCAATATTGTGAAAATGACCAGATGGCTGAAAGTAATTTACAGATTTAATGCAATTCCCATCAAAATATGAATATCATTTTTTACTGAATTAGAAAAAGCAATTCTGAAATTTATATGGAATAAAAAGGGCCCAAATAGCCAAAGTAATCCTAAGCAAAAAGAACAATTCAGGGAACATTGCATTGCCACACTTAAAATTATACAACAAGGCTATAGTCACAAAAACAGCATGGTACTGTTATAAAAGTAGATACATAGACCAAATGGACCAGAATAGAGAATCCAGAAGTAAACCAAATATGTGCAACCAACTGATCATTGGCAAGGCATAAAAAATATAATTGGAGAATGGATACCCTATTTAATAAATGGTGCTGGGAAAACTGGAAAGCCACATGTAGAAGAATGAAACTGGATTTTATCTCTCACCTTATACAAAAATCAATGCAAGATGGTTCAAAGACTTAAATATAATACATGAAACCATAACAATTCTACAACACAACATTGGAAAAACTCTTCTAGACATAAGCTTACACAAATAATTCAGGACTAAGATCCTTAAAGCAAGTGCAACAAAACAAAAATAAATAAATGGGACCTAATTAAACTAAAAAGGTTTCTGCACAGTTAAATAATAATAATACCAGAGTAAACAGACAACCCACAGAATGGGAGAAAATATTTGCAATCTATGCATCCAGCAAAGGACTAATATCTAGACTCTACAAGGAACCCAAAGAAATTCACAAGAATAAAACCCAAATAATCCCATCAAAAAGTGGGCAAATGACATGAATAGACATTTCTAAAAAGAAGATATACAAATGGCCAACAGTCATATGGAAAAATGCTCAACATTTCTAATCATCAGAAAAATGCCAATTAAAACCACAGTGAGACACACCTTTACTCCTGCAAGAATAACCATTATTAAAAAGTCAAACAACAATAAATATTGATGTGGATGTGAGGAAAAGAGAACACTTATATCCTGCTGGCTGAATATAAATTAGTACAACTTCTGTGAAAAACAGTATTGAAGATTCCTTACAGAGCGAAAAGTAGATCTATCATTCGACCCAGCAGTCCCACTACTGTGTATTCACACAAAGGAAGAAGAGTCATTATCTGAAAACGACATGCATTGCAACACAATTCACAATTGCAAAGATGTGGAACCAACTTAAGTGCCCATCAACTAATGAGTGGATGAAGAAAATATAGTATAAATACACCATGGAATACTACTCAGCCATAAAAAGGAATAAAATAATGTCTTTGCAGTAACTTGATTGGAGCAGAAAGCCATTATTTTAAGTGAAATAACACAGGACTTAACCAAAAACCATATATTCTCACTTATAAGTCAGAGCTAAGCTACTAGTACACAAAGGCATACAGAGTGATGTAATGGACTTAAGAGACTCAGAAGGGAGAGGTTAGGAGGGGTGTAGGGATAAAAAAACATTAAGTACAATGTACACTACCTGGGTGATGGGTGCACCAAAATCTCACAATTAGCCACTATATAATTCATCCATGAAACAAAAAACCACTTGTACCCCAAAAGCTATGTAAATAAAATATATATATTTTTAAAAATTTAAAAAGAACCAACTTAAGTGCCCATTGACTAATGGGTGGATAAAGAAAATGTGATACATATACACACAATGGAGTACTATTCAGCCATAAAAAAGAATGAGATCTTGTCATTTGCAACTACATGGATGGTACTGGACATCATTATGTTTAGAGAAATAAGCCAGAGACAGAAAGACAAACTTTGCATATTCTCCCTTATTTGTGGGATGTAAAAATCAAAACAATTGATCTAATGGACATAAAGAGTAGAAGGATGGTCATAAGAGGCTGGGAAGGTTAGTGGGGTGGGGTTGATGGGGAAAGGTGGGGATAGTTAATATGTACAAAGTAGAAAAGAATGAATAAGACCTAATATTTGATAACACCACAGGGTGAATATAGTAAATAATAATTTAATTGTACATATAAAATAACTTAAAAAAGTACAATCAGATTGTAACACAAAGGATAAATGTTTGAGGAGATAAATATCCCATTATCCATGATATGCATTGCATGTCTGTATCAGAACATCTCATGTACCCCATAAATATATACACATACTATGTACACACAAAAATTAAAAATTTAAAAATAATGAAAAATACGTTGTGAAACAATTCCTCCAATTAAGCTAATTAACCTATTAACCACCTCACATATTTGCCCCTTCTTCGATGAGAATGCTGAAGATCTATTTTCCTAGCAAATTTCAAGTATACATTACTATTAACAATATTCACCATGATGTACATTATAGCTCCATAACTTTTCACTTTTTAACTGAAAGTCTGCATCCTTTGACTAACCTATTTTTCTCCACCCCTCCAAACCTGACAACCATCATTCCACTCTCAGCTTCTATAAGTCCAACTTTTTTAGATTCCCCATATAAGTAAAATCATACAGTACTTGTCTTTCTGTGTCTGGCTTATTTTACTGAGCATAATGTCTTTCAGGTTCATCCATGTAGTTGAAAATGGCAAGATTTCCTCCTTTTTAAAAGGCTGAATAGTATTTTATTGTGTATATACACATTTTCTCTATTCATTCATCTGTTGACGAACACATAAGTTGTTTCCATACCTGGCTATTGTAAATGAAACTGCAGTGAACATGGGAAGGTAAATGTCTTTTCAGGACAGTCATTTTATTTTCTTTGCGTATATATCCAGAAGTGGGTTTCCCAGGTCATATGGCCTATATTTATTTTTTGGGGAAAGCTCCATACTGTTTACATAATGGTTGTACCAATTTACATTCCCACCTATGATGTACAAGTGTTCCCTTTTCTACAAATTCTTGTCAACATATGTTATTTGACTTGTTGTAGTAACACCCTAACAGGAGTGAGGTGATATCTGTGTGTGGTTTTGATTTGCATTTTCCTGATCATTAGTGATAAATATCCATTCAGGCCCTTTGTCCATTTCTTTATTTAAATACTTCTTTATTTTTAAGTTTTATGAGTACATAGTAAGTGTATGTATTTATGGGGTTCATAAGATATTTTGACAGAGGCATGCAGTGTAAAATAATCACATCATAAGAAGTGAGATACCCATCCCCTCAAGCATTTATCTTTTGCATTACAAACAATCTAATTATACTCTTTCAGTTATTTTAAAATGTACAACTAAATTATTGACTATAGTTAAGTGGTTGTGCTATCAAATAATAGGTCTTATTCATTTACTCTAGTTACCTTTTTGTACACATTAACAATCCCCACATCTCTCCCGCCCAACCACTACCTTTCCTAGCCTCTGGTAACCACCTTTCTACTCTCTATCTCCATGAGATCAATTGTTTTAATTTTTAAATCCCACAAGTAAGTGTAAACATGTGCTTTGTCCTTTTGTGCCTGGCTTATTTCATTTAACATAATGAGCTCCAGTTTCATTCATAATGTTGCAAATGACTAAATCTCATTCTTTTTTATGGCTGAATAGTAGCGTGTAAGTACATTTTCTTTATTCATTCATATGTAGATGAACACTTAGGTTGCTTCCAAATCTTGGCAATTGTGAAGACAGCTGCAACAAACATGAGAGTGCAGATATATCTTCAATATACTAATTTTTTTTTCTTTTGGGTCTATACCCAGCAATGAGATTGTTGGAACATATGATAGCTCTAGTGTTATAAAATAGAGCTGTCCAAGTTGTTCTTCCTAGTAGTTTTACTAATACACACTCCCACCAAGAGTGTATGTGTGTTCCCTTTTCTCCATATCCTCACCAACATTTGTTATTGCCTGTCTTTTGGATATGAGCCATTTTAATTGGGGTGGGATTATATCTCATTATAGTTTTGATTTGCATTTCTCTGATGAACAAAGGTATTGAGTACCAATTCATATCCCTGTTTTCCATTTGTAGGTCTTCTTTTGAGAAATGTCTATTCATATCTTTCACCCATATTTAAATCGTATTATTAGAATTTTTTTCTATAGAGTTGTTCAAGCTTCTCATATATTCCCATTAATAATTCCTTGTCAGATTGGTAGTTTGCAAATATTTTCTTCCATTCTGTGGGTTGTGCCTTCACTTTGTTGATTGTTTGCTTTGCTGAGCAAAAGCTTTCTATCTTGATGTGGTCTCATTTGTCCATGTTTGCTTTGGTTGCCTGTGCATGTGGGGTATTACTCAATAAGTCTTTGTCCAGACCAATGTCCAGGAGAGTTTTCCCAATGTTTTCTTGTAGTAGTTTAATAGTTTGAGATCTTAGATTTAAGACTTTATTCCATTTTGATTTGAGAGATAGGGTCTGGTTTCATTCTTCTGCATATGAATATCCAGTTTTTCCAGCACCATTTATTGAAAAGACTGTCTTTTCTCCAGTGTATGTTCTTGGTACCTTTGTCCAAAATGAGTTCACTGTAGGTGTGTGAGTTTTTTTTTTTTACATTTGTGAGAAGTTTTTTTATGATCAATTATGTGATTAATTTTAGAGTATGTGCCATGTAGCAATAAGAAGAATGTATATTTGTTGTTTTTGAGAGGAGAGTTCTGCAGACGTCTATTGGGTCCATTTGATCTAGTGCTGAGTTTAGGTCCTGAATATCTTTGTTAACTTTGTGCCTCTATGATATAAAACTGTCAGTAGGGTGTTGAAATTTCCAGTGTGGGAGTTCACATCTTTTTCAAGGTCTGTAAGAACTTGCTTTTAAGATCTTTATAAATTCATAAATCTGGGTGCTCCTGTCTTGGGTGCATATATACTTAGGATAGTTAGCTTTTCTCATTGAATTGAACCCTTTACCATTATGTAATGCCCTTTTTGTCTTTTAAAAATCTTTTTAGGTTTAAAGTCTGTTTTGTCTGAAATTAGGTTTGTAACCTCTGCTTTTTTCTGTTTTCCTTTTGCTTGGTAAATTTCTCTTCATCTTTTTATTTTGAGTCTATGAGTGGCATTTCATGTGAAATTGGTCTCTTGAAGACAGCATACTAATGGGTCTTTGTTTGTTATCCAGCTTGTCACTCTGTGTCTTTAATTGGGGCATTTAGCCTATTCAAATTCAAGGTTAGTATTGATATGTATGGATTTGATTCTGTCATTATAACATTAGCTGGTTATTTTACAGACTGGTTTATGTGGTTGCTTTATAGTGTCACTGATTTGTATACTTCAGTGTGTTTTTGTTGTGGCTGGTAATGGTCTTTTTTATATTTAGTGCTTTCTTCAGGAGCTCTTGTAAGGCAGGTCTGATGGTAATGAATTCCTTCAGCATTTGCTTGTTTGAGAAGTATCTTATTTCTTCTTTGCTTATAAAGCTTATTTTGGCTTGGAATTTCTTTAATGATGTTGAATATTGGCCCCAAATCTCTTCTTTATAGGGTTGCTGCTGAGATGTGTGCTGTTAGCTTGATGGACTTCTCTTTGTAGGTTACTTGGCCTTTCTCTCTAGCTGCCTTTAACATTGTTTTCTTACATTTTGACATTGGAGAATCTGATGATTATGTGTCTTGGGGATGATCTTCTTGGGAAGTATCTTACTGAGTTTCTCTGCATTTTCTGAATTTGCCTATTGGCCTGTCTAGCTAGGTTGAGGAAGTTGTCATGAATGATATCCCAGAATATGTTTCCTGAGTTTCTTCCATTCTCCCCATCTATTTCAGAGACAGCAATGGGTCATAGTTTTGATCTCCTTACACAGTTCCATATTATTCAGAGATTTTGTTTTTTTCTTTTCATCCTTTTTTCTCTATTATTGTCTGACTGTCTTATTTCAGAAAGCCAGTCTTCAAGCTCTGAGATTCTTTCCTAAGCTTTGTTTATTCTGTTCTTAATATTTATGATTAAATTATAAAACTATTGCAGTGTGCTTTACAGCTCTGTCAGGTTGATTATGTTTTTTACTATACTGGCTATTTTGTCTCTCAGCTTCTGTATTATTTTATTGATTTTCTTCCTTGTATTGGCTTTGAACGTACCCTGAATCTCAATTATCTTAATTCCTATTTATATTCTGAATTCTATTTCTGTCATTTTAGCCATCTCAGCCCAGCTCAGAACCCCAGTTTTAAAGCTAGTGTGATTGTTTGGAGTAAAGAAGGCACTCTGGCTTTTTGAGCTGTCAGATTTCTAGTTCTGGTTCTTTCTCATCTTTCTGTGCTGGTGTTACTTCAGTCTTTGAAATTGCTGTTTTTTGGATTTTTCCTTTTATCCTATCTGATAATCTTGAGCATTTTATTATAGTATAAGGTGGGTTCAGTTGACTGGCTTCATTTCTGGAAAATTTTAGGGTCCAAGTTTCAGCTCCCAATTTCTGGACTGCCTACTCTATCTCTGGGGGACTTGTATTGCACCTTGGCTTTGTTCTTTGGCTCCTCTATGTGAGCAACTCACTGCTCTGTGAAGGCAATGTGCTCTTGGACTGCTGGTTACCACACTTTGATCAGTGGTGCCAGTTAAAACATTTTATAGGGTGGTGGCAGCAGGATCCATCCTTGCATATGCCAGGTGCAGCAGCCAGCATGGCAGAGTGCACACTCATTGGCTGAGGAAGAATGCTAGTGGGTGCTGGGGTGCCTGTCTTTGTGCATTCATTCATAGCAGAGGTGGAGGCAGCATGGCTCAGGCGGAGAGGCGCCCCCTGCTGGCCACTGTGCATGCCATTGCTCTGGTGGTGGTGTTAGCATGGGGACAAGGCACTGGTGGGCACAGGTTTATGTGTGCACTCTGTGGCTGCTCATAGTAGGGGAAGGTCTGCTGTTCATGCCTAGTTTCACTCTAGCACCCATGTTGTCACTGGGGCAAAAGGCTGGTTAGGGCAGGGCTGAGAGGCTCTGTGCCTACCAGGGCTCCAAAGGCAGTGGAGGTACAGTGGGTGGGTGGGGGATCAGAGTGCATTTCTGCTGGCAGAAGTTATAGGGCATGGTGCACATGCACACAAGTGCTGGTGGGATAAGTATGGCAAAATTTCTCCATGCATATACACACTGGCAAAGTGATGTGGGGGGATTGCCATGGGCCTAGGGAAAGCTGCAGTGATGGGAGAGAGCAGATGGGCTGGTCAGTGGCATGGAGACAAACCTACTGGAGCTTTCTGTCAGTTAGGCATGGTCTTTTAGTGCAAGAGGTATGATGTGGGTCCTCAGGGAACTTAAGGCTGCACTGCAAGTAGGTGTGGCCAGGATGGGGTCCTGATAGAGGCCAGCAGACCAAGAGGTGCTCAGGTCAGACTGACCCCATTTGAAGGGCAAGACCACCCTGCAGATTTCAGGTGTAGAAGTTCCCTTAGGGCTAAAGTTTTCTATGGAAGCAAGTTGAGCCCAGGAGGATGGGAGTCCTTAGCCATGTTCTGCCACAGACACTCCCACACCAAACCCTCTGGGCTTGACACTGGCTGCCCCTACCACTTCTCTAAACAGCTCTTCCTGCCAACATAAGAGTCTGGTGGTTGAGAGGTCTCCTCCTGACAGGATTCCAGAGGTCCATGGCAAAAGCAGGTTGCTCTCTGCCAGTTTGACTCACCCGTTCCCCTGAAGTCATTGGTGGCCAGGAATGATCCCCTGTATTGTGGCCACAGGGTAGTAGCCCGGTGGAAGGTTCCCAGCTTTCTCCATCTTCAGCCCAGCTTCTGTGTCTTCCATCCATTTGCTCTCAGTGCCTTCCCTCTGATGATCTGTTAAGAGTGTGCCAGTTGTCCTGATCCCTTAGTGGCAGGTGTTCCATCTGGCTGTGTGTATTCAGCTATCTTGCCTGAATCCTAATTCTCCTTCTTTTTAAATGATAGTTTTGCTGGATATTAAATACTTGGTTGAAAGTTTTTTCTTTCAATACTTTAAATATGTCACCCTACTTTTTAGGGCATTCATAGTTTCTGGTGAGAAAATAGCTGCCAATGTTGATGACTATTTCTTGAATGTGTCAAGTAGCTTATCTTTTGCTGCTTTCAAGATTTTTTTTTGGTCAGTTTGATTATGTATTGGAGTATAACTGTTCGTTTAAATAACTTGTAGTTCATTGAGCTTCCTGTATGTTTAGATCATGTTTTTTTAATCAAATTTGGGACTTTTAAACCATTTTTTATACATTCTTACATTGCTTTTTTCTCTTTCCTCTATTTCTGGAACTCCTATTGTCACATTCTATATTGGTACACTTGATGGTTTCCCACAGGCCTCTTGGACTCTGTTCATTTTTCTTCTTTTTTTCTGTTTCTCAGACTGGATAATTTCAATTTCCTGTCTTCCAGTTCACTAATTATTTTCTGCTTGCTCAAATCTGCTGTTGAAAACCTCTAGTGAATTTTGTTTTTGAATTATTTTAGTTTTCGGCTGTAGAATTTTTTTTGAAAAATACATTTTTTCTTTATTGATATTCTCTATTTCTTAGAATGTTTTCCTTATGACTTCCTTTAGTTCTTTGTCCATGGTTTCATTTAGCTCTTTGAGCATATTTAAGACAGTTAACAATATTTTTTGAGCAGTAAGTACCATGATCTGTGTTTCCTTAGAAACAATTTCTGTTACTTTCTTAAGAAAATGAGACATAGTTTTTGTTCCTTTGCATGCTTCATATTTTTTTGTTAAAATGAGCCTTTTGGCAATGATAATGTGGTAGCTCGGAAAATAGATTCTCCACCTCCCATAGCAGGAGTTGTTGTTGCTTGCTGTGAGTTGTAACTGTTTGTCTATTGACTGCTTTTAAATCTAATTTTTATGTAATTTTAAAAGACCTTATTATTGGCTGTGTATGGTCTCTGAAATTTCTGTTTCTTTAGTTGATGGTCAGCTAGCAATTTGACAGATTTTTCTTAAACAGTTGGACTGAAAAAGACACAAAACTGTTCCATTCTTTGCAGACTGTCTTTGTTTTGGGCCACTCCTTTAAGATTAAGGTGGTCCAGTTAACACTCTGTCTTAGCCTTCACTTCCTGCTTTCACAGAGCGTAAAGATTAGCCAGAGATGAGAGGTAAGTTCTTTTGAGGTATTTTCTGAACATGTACCCTATCTTGGGCAGGTGTGTGGCTCTTACTTTCTATCTTTTAGTTTGGATAATTTCTATTAACTTTTCTCCAATTTATTTTTATTTTATTTTAAAGTTCTGGGGTATTTGTGCAGAATGTGCAGATTTGTTACATAGGTAAAAGTGTGCCATGGTGGTTTGCTGCACCTATCAACCCATCACCTAGGTATTAAGCCTGGTATGCATTAGTTATTTTCCTGATGTGCTCTCCCCACTGCCCTCCTCTGACAGGCCCCAATGTGTGTTGTTTTCTTCCCTGTGTCCATGTGTCTTCATTGCTCAGCTCCCAGTTATAAGTGAGAAAATGCAGTGTTTTATTTTCCATTCCTGCATTAGTTTGCTGGGTACAATGGCTTCCAGCTTCATTCATGTCCCTGCAAAGGATATGATCTCCTTCTTTTTTGTGGTTGCATAGTATTCCATGGTGTATATGTACCACATCTTCTTTATCCAATCTATCATTGATGAGCATTTGGGTTGATTCCATGCCTTTGCTATTGTAAATAGTGCTGCAATTAACATACACATGGATGTATCTTTATAATAGAATGATTAATATTCATTTGGGTATATTCAGTAATGGGATTGCTGGTTCAAATGGCATTTCCAGTTCTAAGTCTCTGAGGAATTGCCAACAGTATTCCACAATGGTTGAACTAATTTACATTTCCATCAACAGTGTAAAACTTTCCTATTTCTCTGCAACCTTGCCAACAATCTGTTGCTTTTTGACTTTTTAATAATCACCACTTTAACTCTTATGTGATGTTATCTCATTGTGATTTTGATTTGCATTTCTCTAGTGATCAATGATGTTGAGCTTCTTTTCATGTTTGTTGGCCACGTGTATGTCTTCTTTTGAGAAATGTCTGTTCATGCCCTTTGTCCACTTTTTGATGGGGCTATTTGTTTCTTTCTTGTAAATTTGCTTAAATTCCTTGTAGATTCTGGATATTACACCTTTTTCAGATGAATGGCCTCAATTTCATAACTCATTATTGATCTTTTCAGGGATTCAATTTCTTCCTGGGTCAGTCTTCGGAAGTAGTACGTGGACAGAAATTTATCGATTTCTTCTAGATTCTCTAATTTATGTGCATATAGATGTTTATAGTGTTATCTGATGGTTGTTTGTATTTCTGTGGGGTCAGTGGTGACATCTGCCTTATCATTTCTTTCTTTTTTTTATCATTTCTTATTGTATTTGTTTGAATCATCTCTGTTTTCTTCTTTGTTAGTCTAGCTAGTGGTCTATTTTATCATTATTTTTCACTAAACCAGCTCCTGGATTCGTTGATCTTTTGAACGGCTTTTTATGACTCTATCTCCTTCAGTTCAGCTCTGATTTTGGTTATTTATTGTCTTCTGCTAGCTTTGGAATTTGTTTTCTCTTGGTTCTCTAGTTTTATTAGTTGTGCTGTAAGGTTGTTAACTTGATATCTTTCTTCCTTTGGTTGTGGGCATGTATTGCTATAAGTTTCTCTCTTAACAATGCCTTAGCTGTGTCCCAGAGATTGTGGTACATTGTATATTTGTTCTTAATAGTTTCAAAGAACTTCTTGATTTCTGCCTTAATTTTATTATTTACCCAAGTCACTCAGGAGCAGGTTATTAAATGTCTACGTAATTATATAATTTTGAGTAGATTTCTTGCTAGATTTCTAATTTGATTGTACCGTGGTCCAAGATACTGTTTGTTATGATTTCAGTTCTTTTGCGTTTGTTTAGGAGTGTTTTATTTCTGATTATGTGACTGATTTTAGAGTGAGTGCCATGTGGCAATAAAAAATGTATATTTTGTTATTTTTGGGTGGAGATTTCTGTAGATACCTCCATGTCCATTTGATCCAGTATTGATTTTAGGTCCCGAATATCTTTGTTAATTTTCTATGTTGATGATCTGTCTAATATTGTCAGTTGGATGCTAAAATCTCACACGATTATTATGTGGGAGTCTAAGATTTTTTGTAGGTCTTTAAGAACTTGTTTTATGAATCTAGGTGCTCCTGTATTGGGAGCATATATATTTAGGATAGTTAGCTTTTCTTGTTGAATTGAGCCCTTTACCATTATTTAATGCCCTTCTTTGTCTCTAATAATATTTGTTGGCTTAAAGTCTGTTTTGTCAGAAACTTGGATTGCAACCCCTGCTTTTTTCTGCTTTCCATTTGCTTGGTAAAATTTCCTTCATCCCTTTATTTTGAGCCTGTGTGTGTCTTTGCATATGAGATGGTCTCTTGAAGACAGTATACCAATGGGTCTTGGTACTTTCAGCTTGCCACTCTGTATCTTTTACTTGGGGGCATTTAGCTCATTTATATTTCAGATTAGTATTTATATGTGTGGATTTGATCCTGTCATCATAATGCTAGCTGGTTATTTTATGAACTTGTTTATGTGGTGGCTTTATAGTGTCACTGTTCTGTGTACTTCAGTGTGTTTGTTAGTGGCTAGTAGTGGTATTACCTTTCCATATTTAGTGCTTCCTTCAGGAGCTCTTGTGAGTCAGGCCCGGTTTTAACAAATTTCTTCAGCATTTGCTTGTCTGTAAAGGATCTTATTTCTTATTCTCTTATGAAACTTAGTTTGGCCAGATATGGAATTTTGTGTTGGAATTTCTTTTTTCTCTTTCTTTCTCTCTCTTTCTTTCTTTCTTTCTTTCCTTCCTCCCTTCTTTTCTTTTTCTTTTCTTTCTTTTTTTTTTTTTTTGCAACTGTTGTGTGTAGGCCCCAGTCACTTTTGGCTTGTAAGTTTTCAGCTGAGAAGTCTGCTGTTAGTGTGATGGGCTTCCTATTGTAGGTGATCCGGCCTTCCTCTCTAGCTGCCTTCAATATTTTTTCTTTCATTTTGACTTAGGAGAATCTGATAATTATATGTTTCGGGGTTACCTTCTCATGGAGTATTTTACCGGGGTTCTCTGCATTACCTGAATCTGAATGTTGGCTTGCTTAGCTAGGTTAGAGAAGCTGTCATGGAAAATATGCTGAAATATGCTTTCCAAATTGGTTCCATTCTCCCCATCTACTTCAGGTATACCAGTCAGTCACAGATTTGGTCTCTTTACACGATTCCATATGTTTTTCTCTATTCTTGTGTGCTTATCTCATTTCAGAAAGACAGTCTTCCAGCTCTGAGATTCTTTCCTCAGGTTGGTCTATTCTGCTATTAATACTTGTGATTGCATTATGCAATTCTTTTATTGTGCTTTTTTCAAACCAACATATATATTTTTTATTTCACTTTAAGTTCTGTATTACGTGTGCAGAACATGCAGGTTTGTTACATAGATATACATGTGCCATGGTGGTTTGCTCCACCTATCAAGCCGTCATCTAGGTTTTAAGCCCCACATGCATTAGGTATTTGTCCTGATGCTCTCCCTCCCCTTGTCCCCCACCCCCAAAAGGCCCCAATATGTGATGTTCCCCTCCCTGTGTCCATGTGTTCTCATTGTTCAACTCCCACTTATGAGTGAGAACATGTGGTGTTTGTTTTTTGGTTCCTGTGTTAGTTTGCTGAGACTGATGGCTTCCAGCTTCATCCATGTCCCTGCAAAAGACATGAACTTATTCTTTTTTATGTCTGCATAGTATTCCATGGTATATATGTGCCACACTTTCTTTATCCAGTCTATCATTTATGGGCATTTGGTTTGGTTGCAAGTCTTTGCTATTGTAAATAGTGCTGCGATAAACATATGTGTGCATGTGTCTTTATAGTAGAATGATTTATAATCCTTTAGGTATATACCCAGTAATGGGATTGCTGGGTCAACAAGGAAATGGTATTTCTGATGTCTTTGGTATTACCAGCTTTTTTAAGGCTTAACAGAAACAAAGCAAATAAAGTAATTAACCACTTCATATTTATATATGTGCAAATTTCACAAAAGGGTACGTGTGTATGTATGAACACACACTCACATACACTCACACCCACTCACACCACGTACAAGGTCATAACCAGACCCAAGTACAGGTGCCCTTTAGATGTATCTAAGCAAATGTAGTTGTGGGTAATCACAACTGAAAGTAAAACATAACATAAAAGTTCCAATTACAGTTATCCCCTAAGATAGCCTGTAAATTACAGTTTTTACCAAGGACAGGATCAGAGAGCATTTATCTGCATCTCCCTCTGTGGTTTGATAACAACTTGACGTGTTCGCCAGGCACAGAATAGAGAAAGATTTGACTAGACGCTGAATGGGCCTCATTAGTAGAAACTCACTACTTTCTACATTCAGCAGGCAGGCTTTGATCCAGAACTCCCCACACCGCAGCTCTGTTTGGGGCTTGCTGAGAGTTTTAGGAAGCTTTCACCAAGAAATGCTTTTTGTGCAGCCTGTACCGAAAAACATGTTCTATGTTTTTCTTAATATCAACATCAAATTTGGAAGAATACACTTACATGTGTTCTATTCTTTTCTGGGATACCGCCTTCAGCTCTTAGAAAACATGCTGTGGTCGCTAAAGGTTGCACTGATTACCTCTTTGAGCCGAGGTGCGGATTCAGAGAGACAAGCTCTATCCTACTGCTGATCATTCATGATGCTTGTCTCCAAGGGAGGGCTTCATGGCAGGTAACCTGTGAAGTCACAAAGGCCCCCCTCTGAGAAAAGCTCACATTTGGTTTAATGCTGTGTGGTAGCTGTCTTGAAACTCTTTTTTTTCCTTTTTTAAATTATATTTTAAGTTCTAGGGTACACGTGCACAAGGTGCAGGTTTGTTATGTATACATGTGCCATGTTGGTTTGCTGCACCCATCAACTAGTCATTTATATTAGGGATTTCTTCTAACTCTATCCCTCCCCTAGTCCCCCACCCCCCAACAGGCCCTGGTATGTGATGATCTCCTCCCTGTGTCCATGTGTTCTCATTGTTCAACTCCCACTTATGAGTGAGAACATGCTGTGTTTGATTTTCTGTCCTTGTGATATTTTGCTGAGAATGATGGTCTCCAGCTTCATCCATGTCCCTGCAAAGGACATGAACTCATCCTTTTTTACGGCTGCACAGTACTCCATGGTGTATATGTGCCACATTTTCTTTATCCAGTCTATTATTGATTGACATTTGGGTTGGTTCCAAGTCTTTGCTATTGTGAATAATGCCACAATAAACATACATGTGCATGTGTCTTTATAGTAGCATGATTTATAATCATTTGGGTATATACCCAGTAATGGAATTGCTGGGTCAAATGGTATTTCTGGTTCTAGATCCTTGGGGAATCGCCCTCTGTCTTCCACAATGGATGAACTAATTTACACTCCCACGAACAGTGTAAAAGTGTTCCTATTTCTCCATATCCTCTCCAGCATCTGTTTCCTGACTTATTAATGATCACCATTCTAACTGGTGTGAGATGGTATCTCATTGTGGTTTTGATTTGCATTTCTCTGATGGCCAGTGATGATGAGCATTTTTTTCATATGTCTGTTGGCTGCATATGAGTCTTGTTTTGAGAAGTGTCTGTTCATATCCTTGGCCCAAGTTTTGTTGGGGTTGTTTTTTTTCTTGTAGATTTGTTTAAGTTCCTTGTAGATTCGAGATATTAGCCCTTTGTCAGATGAATAGATTGCTAACATTTTCTCCCATTCTGTAGGTTGCCTCTTCACTCTGATGGTGGTTTCTTTTGCCATGCGGAAGCTCTTTACTTCAATTAGATCCCACTTGTCTATTTTGGCTTTTGTTGCCATTGCTTTTGGTGTTTTAGTCATGAAGTCTTTGCCCATGCCTATGTCCTGAATGGTATTGCCTGGTTTTGTTCTATGGTTTTTATGGTTTTAGGTCTTACATTTAAGTCTTTAATCCATGTTGAGTTAATTTTTGTATAAGGTGAAAGGAAGGGATCCAGTTTCAGCTTTGTACATATGACTAGCCAGTTTTCCCAGCACCATTTATTAAATAGGGAATCGTTTCCCCATTTCTTGTTTTTCTCAGATTTGTCAAAGATCAGATGGTTGTAGATGTGTGGTGTTGTTTCTGGGGGCTCTGTTCTGTTCCATTGGTCTATATCTCTGTTTTGATACCAGTGCCATGCTGTTTTGGTTACTGTAGCCTTGTAGTATGGTTTGAAGTCAGGTAGTTCAGGTAGCGTGATGCCTCCAGCTTTGTTCTTTCTGCTTAGGATTGTCTTGGCTATTTGTGCTCTTTTTTGGTTCCATATGAAATTTAAAGTAGTTTTTTCCATTTCTGTGACAAAAGTCAGTGGTAGCTTGATGGGGATAGCACTGAATCTGTAAGTTACCTTGGACAGTATGGCCATTTTCACAATATTGATTCTTTCTATCCATGAGCATGAAATGTTCTTCCATCTCTTTGTGTCCTCTTTTATTTCATTAAGCATTGTGCTTTTTGGCTTTATCAGTTTTATTATGTCGTTCTCCAATTGTAATATTTTGCCTCAGGTGGCAACAGATTGTTCATTTGCCTTTCAATGCTTTTAAAAAATACCTTCCACACAAATACTTTTCTTCCCTGAAAATGTTCTGGATTTTCAAACACCTAGCATTAATTCATCAGTAAACCCCAAGAGAGGTCAAACTTGAACAAAATTACTTTAGAAAAAGGTTCACTTTGTTCCTCCAGAAACCAGGTATCTACACCTGAACATGGGCTGCTGTCTTCAAGACTGTCACTTTACTGGGGTGAGTGCAGAGAAAATTTGAATTAACAGCTTCAAAACTCTCCTCCTAGCTTGTTTTAGTCACTTTTACTTAACTCAGTGTTCAGTTTGTTGCTGTAAATCTTTGAATATTTTTCAGAGTTCTGAAAATGTTGATACTGACAATTTTTACTTATTTTCTTTTTTTTTTTCCTGTAGTGGAATGGGCCTTTGGAATGGTGTACTCTACCACTTTCACTAATGTCACCTCTTCTGCTGTATTTTGACTAGGAGGGTAGAGTTGTCAGTACTATAATAATTGAAATTAAGAAATATTTACACCATATATTTCCAAAGTGGCATATGTGCTTGTTGGCAAATAGGAGCTGGCTAAGTGCAAATAAATCTTGTTTTAGAGTTTGATGATTAATAAAGCTGAGGCAATCGTCTTTAGAAACACAAAAATACAGTGATTTTAACAGTACCATTTACTTTAAGAAAACTTTTTATTATATTAAATAAGTGTGTTTTGAATTAAGTTTTTTTTTAATTTTTATAAATAGGTTATTCCAAGTTGGGTAGCAAAAGAACCATCAGGAGAAATAGAATGTATCTTTTTTTCTCAAAAGAATTCTTTATTTTATGATAAATGATATGTTAAAAATGATTGATACTATCTGTCATTTTGAAGCTATGCCCTTGAATATGCTTTTGCGTAAGACCCGTTGTCATATAAACTGGAATGGAATTTTGCCTTGGCAGGTGTGAGAAGTGCTCCCTGAATATGTTGCAGTATGTTAGACTGAAAACTGTTTAAAAATTTACTAGTAAATCATATATGCCTTTGATCATATTACTCGTATATCTAAAAATCTTTAATACTCTCTATTGCCCATAGCATAGCATACAAATTATTTTGACTGGCAACCAAGCATCGCAAATACAAGCATACCTTATTTTATTGTACTTTGCAGATATTGCATTTTTACAAATTGAAGATTTGTAGCAACCCTGCACTGAACATATCTATTGGTACTATTTTTCCACCAGCATGTGCTCACTTAGTGTTTCTGCATCACATTTTGGCAATTTTCACAATACTTCAAACTTTTTCATTATTTTTATATCTGTTATAATAATCTGTGATCAGTTTTCTTTGATGTAACTTCATAATTGTTTTGGGCACCAAGAACCACACCCATATAAGACAGCAAACTTAATTGATACATGTTGCATGTGTTCTGATGGCTCCACTAACTGGCCATTTGCCTATCCCTGTCTCTATCTTTGGGTATCCCTATTCCTTGAGACACAAAAATATTGAAATTAATCCAGTTAATTACACTACAATGGCCTCTACGTGTTCAAGTGAAAGAAAGAGTTGCACATCTCTCACTTTAAGTCAAAAGCTAGAAATAATTATGCTTAGTGATAGCCAGGTCTCTTGTGCCGAACAGTCAAGTTGTTAGTGCAAAGAAAAAGTTCTTAAAGGAAATTCAAAGCATTACTCCAGTGAACTTGCTAAAAATAAGAATGTGAAATAACCTTACTGCTGATATAGAGAACCTAGTAGTGGTCTGGATAGATCAAACCAGCCACAACTTTCCCTTAAGTCAAAGCCTAATCCTGAGCAAAGCCCTTCTGTTTTTAATTATATCAAGGCTGAAAGAGGTGAGGAAGTTGCAGAAGAAAAGTTTGAAAGTTTAAGGAAAGAAGCCATCTCTATAACATAAAAGCACAAGGTGAAGCAGCAAGTGCTAATGTAGAAGCTGCATCAAGTTAAACAGAAGATCTAGCTAATTGATGAAGGTGGCTACACTAAACAAGAGATATTCAATGTAGACAAAACAGTCTTCTATTGGAAAAGGGTGACATTTAGGACTTCTTTAGGTAGAGAGAAAAGTCAGTGCCTGGTTTCCAAACTTTGAAGAACAGAATGACTGTCTTGCTGGGGCTAATGCTGCTGGTGACTTTAGGTTGAAGGCAACACTCATTTACTATTCTGAATCTCCTATGGCCCTGCATAATTATGCTAAATCTACTGTGACTTTGCTGTATATATGGAGCAACAAAGCCTAGATAACAACATATCTGTTTACTGTATGATCTAATGAATATTTTAAGCCCATTGTTAAGACCTACTGCACAGAAAAAAGATTCTTTTTAAAATAGTGCTGCTTGTTGATAATACACCTGCTTACCAAAGATCTCTGATGGAGATGAATGAGGAGATTAATGTTTTCATGCCTGCTAACACAACATCCATTTTGGAACCCATGGATCAAGAAGTAATTCCAACTTTCAAGTCTTATTATTTAAGAAATACTTTTCATAAGGTTATAGCTGAAATAGATAGTGTTTCCTTTGATGGATCTAGAAAAAGTCAATTGAAAACCTTCTGAAAAGGATTCACCATTCTAGATGTCATTAAGAAGATTTGTAATTCATGGGAGGAGGTCAAAATGTCAACATTAACTAAAGTTTAGAGGAAGTTGATTCCAACTCTCATGAATGACTTTGAGGGGTTTGAGGCTTGTGGCTTAAAACAACAGCAAAAGGTAGTAATTGCTGGTTTAGACTGTTCTCCTGCCTTCTTCCCCCTTTTAAATAGATAAGTTGTACCTATTTCTCAGTGCACAGCTTTCTATGATGTATTATAGTTATGAATATATTTTTAGTGGGAAGAGTTTTGGAGACGGACATATACAAGTTTTAATCTTGGTTCTATCACTCAGTAGTTTTGTGGCCTTGGACAACACACTGAACCCTTTTTAAGCTTTATTGGAAAAAGACTGATGGTAATACCCATCCCATGGATTTGTTGGATTCAATTAAATGAGATAAAATATGTTAAACACCATTTTTTGCCTGGCAGATAATAGGTGCCCAATACATGTAAATTTTATTATCTGCAAGTAGCAGAAAACCTGATTAACAGTGGCTCAAACCATAATGCAATTTTTGTTTACTTATCAGGAAGTCTGGAGGTGGTGGTTCCAGGGTTACATCAATGGCTCAATGATGTCATGAAAGACCTAACTTTCTATTCTTTTGCTCCATCCTTTCAGTATATGGCTTTTTGTCTTCATTCTTGTTGCTTCATTGTTGCAAGATAATTGCAGCAGCTGTCGGCACGGCATTCTCATACTTATGCAAAAAAGGGCTGCAGATATAAGGTTTTCTTCTCATTAGGGTGGAGAAAGCTTAAAAATATCTTCCATAAAAGCCTTCCAAAAAACTCCACATTACATTTCTTTGGACAAAATGTTATCATATGAACACTTCTAGTTGCAAGAGAGTCTGGGAAGGTAAGAATTTGGCCAAAAAGATATGGAAGTACTTTGAATGGCTTCAACTAATCATGGTTGTCTCTGAGGCAGGGATATATTGCCATTCCAGACAAAAGTGAGGTACCTTAAGCAAGAAACAAGAAGACAGTAGCTTAAATTTTTTCATAATTAAAAAATGATACAAAATAATTGTACATATTTTGGGGGTGCATGTAATATTTTGACACATATATACAATGTGTAATTATCAAATTGGGGTATTATAACATCCATCACTTCAAGTGTTTATCATTTCTTTGTATTTGGAACATTTTAAATCTTCTCTTTTAGCTATTTTGAAATATACACCAAATTATTAACTATAGTCATGCTACTGCGCTATCAAACAGAACTTATTCCTTCTATCTAAGAGTATGTTTGTACCTATTAACCAATGTCTCTTCATCTCCTACTCAGCCTTCCCAGCCTCTAGCAACCAGCATTCTACTCTCTATCTCCATGAGATCAACATTTTTAGCTCCCACATATGAGTGAGAAGATACAATATTTGTATTTCTGTACCTGGCTTATTTCACTTAACATAATGACTTTCAGTTTCATTCGTGTTGATGAAAATGACATGATTATATTCTTTTTTGTGGCTGAATAGTATTCCATTGTGTACATATAACACATATTCTTTATTCATGTAATCCACTGATGGATATTTAGGTTGATTACACACCATGGCTATTGTGAATAATGCTGTAATAAACATGGTGATACAGGTATCCCTTTGATATACTGATTTGCTCTTTTTGGACATATACCTCATAGTGGGATTACTGGATTATATGGCAATCCTATTTGTAATTATTTTGAAAAACCTCCATACTGATTTCCACACTGATTGAGCTAATTTACATTCTCATCAACATTATATGAGTTTCCTTTTTGAGGACAGTAGCTTTTGAGTAGGTAATGAAGTTCCCATTGTCTTTTATTTCTTTTATTTCTTTTTTTCTTTTATTATTATTATACTTTAAGTTTTAGGGTACATGTGCACAACGTGCAGGTTTGTTACATATGTATACATGTGCCATGCTGGTGTACTGCACCCATTAACACGTCATTTAGCATTAGGTATATCTCCTAATGCTGTCCCTCCCCCCTCACCCCACCCCACAGCTGTCCCTGGAGTGTGATATTCCCCTTCCTGTGTCCATGTGATCTCATTGTTCAATTCCCACCTATGAGTGAGAATATGCGGTGTTTGGTTTTTTGTTCTTGCGATACTTTACTGAGAATGATGATTTCCAATTTCATCCATGTCCCTACAAAGGACATGAACTCATCATTTTTTATGGCTGCATAGTATTCCATGGTGTATATGTGCCACATTTTCTTAATCCAGTCTATCATTGTTGGACATTTGGGTTGGTTCCAAGTCTTTGCTATTGTGAATAATGCCACAATAAACATACATGTGCATGTGTCTTTATAGCAGCATGATTTATAGTCCTTTGGGTATATACCCAGTAATGGGATGGCATGGTCAAATGGTATTTCCAGTTCTAGATCCCTGAGGAGTCGCCACACTGACTTCCACAATGGTTGAACTAGTTTACAGTCGCACCAACAGTGTAAAAGTGTTCCTATTTCTCCACATCCTCTCCAGCACCTGTTGTTTCCTGACTTTTTAATGATTGCCATTCTAACTGGAGTGAGATGGTATCTCATTGTGGTTTTGATATGCATTTCTCTGATGGCCAGTGATGATGAGCATTTTTTCATGTGTTTTTTGGCTGCATCAATGTCTTCTTTTGAGAAGTGTCTGTTCATGTCCTTCGCCCACTTTTTGATGGGGTTGTTTGTTTTTTTCTTGTAAATTTATTTGAGTTCATTGTAGATTCTGGATATTAGCCCTTTGTGAGATGAGTAGGTTGTGAAAATTTTCTCCCATTTTGTAGGTTGCCTGTTCACTCTGATGGTAGTTTCTTTTGCTGTGCAGAAGCTCTTTAGCTGAATTAGATCCCATTTGTCAATTTTGGCTTTTGTTGTCATTGCTTTTGGTGTTTTAGACATGAAGCTCTTGCCCATGCCTATGACCTGAATGGTAATGCCTAGGTTTTCTTCTAGGGTTTTTATGGTTTTAGGTCTAACGTTTAAGTCTTTAATCCATCTTGAATTGATTTTTGTATAAGGTGTAAGGAAGGGATCCAGTTTCAGCTTTCTACATCTGGGTAGCCAGTTTTCCCAGCACCATTTATTAAATAGGGAATCCTTTCCCCATTGCTTGTTTTTCTCAGGTTTGTCAAAGATCAGATAGTTGTAGATATGTGGTGTTATTTCTGAGGGCTCTGTTCTGTTCCATTGATCTATATCTCTGTTTTGGTACAAGTACCATGCTGTTTTGGTTACTGTAGCCTTGTAGTATAGTTTGAAGTCAGGTAGTGTGATGCCTCCAGCTTTGTTCTTTTGGCTTAGGATTGACTTGGCGATGCGGGCTCTTTTTTGGTTCCATATGAACTTTAAAGTAGTTTTTTCCAATTCTGTGAAGAAAGTCATTGGTAGCTTGATGGGGATGGCATTGAATCTGTAAATTACCTTGGGCAGTATGGCCATTTTCACGATATTGATTCTTCCTACCCATGAGCATGGAATGTTCTTCCATTTGTTTGTATCCTCTTTTATTTCCTTGAGCACTGGTTTGTAGTTCTCCTTGAAGAGGTCCTTCACATCCCTTGTAAGTTGGATTCCTAGGTATTTTATTCTCTTTGAAGCAATTGTGAATGGGAGTTCACTCATGATTTGGCTCTCTGTTTGTCTGTTGTTAGTGTATAAGAATGCTTGTGATTTTTGTACATTGATTTTGTATCCTGAGACTTTGCTGAAGTTGCTTATCAGCTTAAGGAGATTTTGGGCTGAAACAATGGGGTTTTCTAGATGTACAATCATGTCGTCTTTCTTTAAGAATGTTGAATATTGACCCCCACTCTCTTCTGGCTTGTGGGATTTCTGCTGAGAGTACTATTGTTAGTCTGATGGGCTTCCCTGTGCAGGCGACCTGACCGTTCTCTTTGGTTGCCCTTAACATTTTTCCTTCATTTCAGCCTTGCAGAATCTGATGATTATGTATCTTGCTGTTGATCTTCTTGTGGAGTATCTTAGTGGTATTCTCTGTATTTCCTGAATTTCTTGTTGGTCTACCTTGCTTGGTTGGGGAAGTTCTCCTGGGTGATATCCTAAACTGTGTTTTTCAACTTGGATTCATCCTCTCCATCACTTTCAGGTACACCAATCAATCATAGGTATTGTCTTTTACATAGTCCCATATTTCATGGAGGCTTTGTTTTTTCCTTTTTATTCGTTTTCCTCTAAGCTTTTCTGCATGCCTTATTTCAGCAAGGTGGTCTTCAGTCTCTGATGTCCTTTCTTCTACTAGGTCTACTTGCCTATTGATACTTGTGTATGCTTCATAAACTTCTCATGCTGTGTTTTTCAGCTCCATCAGGTCATTTATGTTCCTCTTTAAACTGGCTATTCTAGTTAGCAGTTCCTGTAACTTTTTATCAAGGTTCTTAGCTTTCTTGCATTGGGTTAGAACCTGCTCCTTTATCTCAGAGGAGTTTGTTATTACCCACCTTCTGAAGCCTACTTCTGTCAATCCATCAATCTCATTCTTCCTCCGGTTTTATGCCCTTGATGGAGAAGTGTTGCAATCATTTGGAGGAGAAGAGGCATTCTGGCTTTTGGAATTTTTAGCTTCTTTGTGCTGGTTTTTCCTCATCTTTGTGGGTTTATCTACCTTTCATCTTTGAGGCTGAAGACCTTTGGAAGGCTTTTTTTTTGTGTGTGTGTGTGGGGTCTTTTTTTTTTGTTGTTGTTGTTTTTGCTTTATGTTTGTTAGTTTGTCTTATAACAGTCAAACCCCTCTTCTCCAAATCTGCTGCAGTTTGCTGAGGTCCACTCCAGACACTGTTCTCCTGGGTATCACCAGTGTAGGCTGCAGAACAGCCAAGATTGCTGCCTGCTCCTTCCTCTGGGAGATTCATCTCAAAGGGGCACCGGCCTGATGCCAGCCAGAGCTCCCCTGTGTGAGATGTCCGTCGACCCTTATTGGGAGGTCTCTCCCAGTCACGAAGCATGGGTTCAGGGACCCACCTGAGGAGGTAGTCTGTCCCTTAGTGGGCCTGGTGCACTGTGCTGGGAGAATCCCCTTTGCCAGGATCAGTTGCTCTTTTCAGAGCCTGCAAGCAGGAAAGATTAAGTCTGCTGAAGCTGCAACTGCAGCCGCCCCTCCCCAGATGCTCCGTCCCACGGAGATGAGAGTTTTATCTGTAAACCCCTGACTGGGGCTGCTACATTTCCTGCAGAGATTCCCTCTCCAGTGAGCAGGAGTCTAGAGAATGAGTCTGGCCACAGCCACTTTGCCATTCTGTGGTGAATTCTGTGCAGTCTAAACCTGACAGCCTCCTTAGCACTGTCAAGGGAGAAAACTGCCTACTAAAACCTCAGCAATGGCAGTTGCCACTCCCCCCACCAAATTCAATCAACCCAGGTTGACTCCCGACTGCTGTACTGGCAGTGAGAATTTTAAGGCAGTGGTTCTTAGCTTGTTGGGATCCATGGAAGTGGAACCTGCTTAGTGAGACCCCTTGGCTCCCTTGCTTCAGCCTCCTTTCCAAGGGAGTGGTTGGTTCTCCCAACTTGCTGGGGTTCCAGGTGCTGCTGGAGTACAAAAAAAAATTCTGCAGCTAGCTCAGTGCCTGCCCAAGCAGCTGCCCAGTTTGGTGCTTGAAACCCAGGGCCCTGGTGGTGTAGGCTCACAAAGGAATCTCCTGATCTGAAGATTGGAAATATCTGTGGGAAAAGTGTAGTACCCAGAGTGCATAGCACAGTTCCTCACCACTTTCCTTTGCTAGGGGAAGGAGGTCTCCCAGCTCCTTGCACTTCCCGGGTGAAGCAACACCCTAGCCTGCTTCTGCTCACTCTCTGTGGGTTGCACCCACTGCCTAGCCAGTCCCAATGAGAAGAACTGCGTACCTCAGTTGGAAATGCAGAAATCACCCACCTTTTGTGTTGGTCTCGCTGGGAGCTGCAGACTGGAGTTGTTTCTATCCAGCCATCTTGACCCCTCTCTGAGCTCCCCCATGCGTTGTAATGATAGTGAGTGAGTCTCATGAGATCTGATGGTTTTATAAGTGTCTGGCATTTCCCCTGCTGGCACTCATTCTCTCTTCTGACACTCTGTGAATAAGTGCCCTCTGCCATGATTGTAAGTTTTCTGAGGAGTTTGCAGCCCTGTGGAAATATGAGTCAATTAAACCTCTTTTCTTTATAAATTACCCAGTCTTGGGTGTTTCTTCATAGCAGCATGAGAATGGACTAATAGCCCATATACAAAAATCAAATCAAAATGGATTGAAGGCTTAAATGGAAGACTTCCAACTATAAAACTGCTACAAAAACACATTGGGGAAAATCTTCAGGATATTTTTCTGGACAAAATTTTCTTGAGTAAAACCCCTCAAGCACAAGCATTCAAAGCAAAAATGGACAAATGGGATCATGTTAAGTAAAAAACTTCTGCACAGCAAAGGAACAATCAACAAAGTGAAGATCCAACCCACAGAATGGAAGAAAATATTTGCAAAGTACCTATCTGCATCTGACAAGGGATTAATAACCATAACATATAAGGAACTAAAACAACTCTATAGGAAAAAATCTAATAATCTGATTAAAAATGTGCAAAAGATTTTAATAGACACTTCTCAAAAGAAGACTTACAAATGACAAACAGGCATATGAAAAAGTTCTCAACATCATTGGCCCTCAGATAATACAAATCAAAATTATAGTGAGATATTTTCCCCCACTTAAAATGGCTTACACCCAAGAAACAGCAATAACAAATGCTGGTGTGGATGCAGAGAAAAGGGAAACCTTGTACACTGTGGTGGGAATGTAATTAGTATAACCACTATGAAGAACAGTTTAGAGATTCCTTATAAACTTAAAAATTGAGCCATTATATGATCCAGCAATCCCATTGCTTGGTATGTACCCAAAAGAAAGGAAATCAATATGTTGAAAAGATATCTGCACTCCCATGTTTGTTGCAGCAGTGTTCCCAAAAGCTGGGTTTTGAAGCAACCAACGTGTCCATCAACAGACATATGGATAAAGAAAATATGGTACTTATAAACAATGGAATACTATTCAGTCATAAAAAGAATGAGATTCTGTCATTTGCAACAACGTGGGTAAGACTGGAGGTCATTATTTTAAGTGAAGTAAGCCAGTCACAGAAGGGCAAACATTACATGTTCTCACTTATTTGTGGGAGATAAAATCAAAACAATTGAACTCATGGAGATAGAGAGTAGAAGGATTGCTATCAAAGATTGGGAAGAATAGTCGGAGTGCTTTTGGGGGGGAGGATGTTTAATGGGTAAAAAAAAAAGTAAGAATGAATAGGTCTTACTATTTGATATCACAATAGGGTGATGATATTAGTCCGTTTTCACATTGCTATAAATAACTTCTCTGAGACTGGGTAATTTATATATTTGGTTTTTTTTTGGGTATTCTGGCACTTTATTACATTTCATAATCTAGTTATCGGTTCATATGTAATGTTTAAAAATCTACCCATAGCTTACCATGTCTTCAGATTAAAAAAAAAATGTGGAGCATGGTTTCCACTGTGTATTAGTAATTAATTGGTTCCTACTGGGGCTGATTTTCCACACCTCTTTTTATACCGTAAGCCCCTTTCAAAATTATTTTAATCTTTTGGACTATTCTTTTTTTTTTCTTTTTCTTTAATAATTATTATACTTTAAGTTTTAGGGTACATGTGCACAACGTGCAGGTTTGTTACATATGTATACATGTGCCATGTTGGTGTGCTGCACCCATTAACTCGTCATTTAGCATTAGGTATATCTCCTAATGCTATCCCTTCCCCCTCCCCCCACTCCACAACAGTCCCGGTGTGTGTTGTTCCCCTTCCTGTGCCCATGTGTTCTCATTGTTCAATTCCCACCTATGAGTGAGAACATGCGGTGTTTGGTTTTTTGTCCTTGCGATAGTTTGCTGAGAATGATGGTTTCCAGCTTCATCCATGTCCCTACAAAGGACATGAACTCATCCATTTTTATGACTGCATAGTATTCCATGGTGTATATGTTCCACATTTTCTTAATGAGACTGGGTAATTTATAAAGAAAGGTTTAATTAACTCACAGTTCCACAGTGCCTGGGGAGGCCTCAGAAAACTTACAATCATGGCAGAAGAGGAAGCAGGCACATCTTACGTGGCAGCAGGTGAGAAAAAGAGAGAACATATGAGAGTGCAGGATAAGCTATTATTTATAAAACCATCAGATCTCATGAGAATTCACTCACTATCATGAGAACGGCATGAGAGAAACCACCCCCATAATTCAATCACTTCCCTTCCTCAACAAGTGAGGATTATAGGTTCCTCTCTTGACATGTGGGGATTACAATTTGAAATGAGATCTGGGTTGGGACAGAGAGCCACACCATATCAGTGACTACAGTGAATAATAATTTAATTGTACATTTAAAAATAACTAAAAGAGTATAATTAGATTGTTTGTAGCACAAAGGATAAGTGCTTAAAGGAATGGATAATCCATTTTCTATGATGTGATTATTACACATTGCATGCCTGTTTCAAAATATCTCATGTACCCCATCAATATCACCTACTATCTACCCACAAAAATTAAAAATTAAAAAAACTAAACAACAAGAAGAGCAAACAAAAAAGCCCCTACATATTCTGGTTCCTGCTTATCTCACTAACTTCATGACCCACCACTCTCCTTGCGATCTGCTATGTTTCAGCCATGCTACCTTTCTCTCAAACTATCAAGCTACTTTCTACTACAAGGCCTTTGCATATGATTTTTTTTTCTGCCCAGACTAGTCAACCTTCCATTTTAATTATGGCTGACTCTCATACTTTGAATTTTAGAACAACTGTCACTTCTTCAGAGACTCCTTCCTTGATTATTACTATTTAATGTAGCTTTCATATTATGTTCTTGTACCTTATTTGCTTCATATACCTTATTATTTATAAATATTTTATTTATATCTTTGGTTACTTTTTTAAATTAGTCACCCAAAGTCACATCTATGAGAGCAGGGACAGTGACTTTCTTATTCACATAGTAGGTGCTCAATAAACACACGTTGAGTGAATTAATGAAAATATGTTAAGCTTGTTTACTAGTTACTTCCATGCATAAGTCTTGGCTTCACCCACTACATTAGACTGCAACAGGTCTATTTGCCTACTGACCCAGGCAACCCATGAGGTAGTAAAGAAGGAACTTCTGGGAAGCCAGTTGTCTTACAAATGGAGTGGAAGACTAGATTCCCATCACGTGGCTTGGTGAGTAGCTCACAGAGGGCAAATGTTTTACCTGATTCTTTAGTTGTGCTTGGGAAATTGTGCTGTGGCATGGGGAGGAGAATGGGAAAATTTCATATCTCAAATGGGAGTGTCATCTCCATGGGAAAATTAGACATTCACCTACACACCCATCTAGGAAAGATGGGGACTCTCTCCCCAATCAACTGTCCACACCATCATTCAGTCTTGAGTTGCTAGCTTGTATCTGATACTGTCTAGTTTAGAGGTAGAGAATGAACATGATTTTTCTTGTGTTTTGAATTGTGTGAGATCCCTATTTCAAAACTAATTAATGACCATATCCCCTTTTCCTCATGCAAAGGTAAAACCACAGTCTATTTGAGCTAGCGAGGTCATTTGGAGCTCCTAGTCTACCCCCTTTTGTGTAATCAATCAAGAAACTGACATTCAGAGGGGAGAGATGATTTGGCCAAAGTCATGTCTTTGGACCCCCAACCCAGTTCTCCTTCTACTAGCTCTTCAGCTACATAAATAAGCTCCCTAAGGAAAATGACCTTCTCTACATTTAAGCAAATTTTCCCTATGCCCAGAGGAGTGATTGATACACGGTAGATATTTATGTATTTGTTGGCTGCCATTATGTAATAGTGGGCCACTTTGTAAATATTTTTTCCCCTCAAGAGATGAATAATATTGTTTATTCTCTGCCTACTTTTTTGCTTTACTTTTTGTCAGAAAAAAATTATAGCAAGCAAATGGGCTTAAATATAGGTGGTATTGTATTTCATAGGAAATAATATTAGAAAATTAACATTTACATTAATGCTTTCATTTATCTATCTTTAGTGTTATCTTCTCCCTTCATACCTCTAACTAGAGTCTTATTCTTTCTCAACACAAGATTACTCTAGAAATACCGGTTACAAAATCTCTTTTATTTGATTATTTACTTATCATTCTTTCAAAAAATATACCCCAATTAAACATTATATGTAAAAGAGAGAGATACAGATATACAGTACAAGAATATCATGAGTGTAATAGTAGAAGGACAGAAAAAGTGCTATGAAAATTATAGGGTCTTGTCAGGAAAACAGAAAAGCTGTATTATGTATTTCGGGCAGGAGGGAGTTGGTTATACAAGTGTTGGAAGGCTGAAAGAGCAAAAGTGAGGTAACCAGAGTAACCTAGATATTAATGACTGCAGGAAATAGCTAGGGTGAGGGGAATAAAATGATATATGGAGGGAAGTTCTGAACAACTGGTGTTTGGACTTTTGAGAAGGAGACATGGCATGGTAGGTGCTTGAACCTCTGAGGAGGGTAATGCAAGTTAAGGGATGCCAGGACCACTGAAGGGGTTGTGGCTCAATGAGTATTAAGGTGGTCTAGGGGATATAGCTAAACTGATGAGGGAGCTCATACTCTGATTATCCAGGGAAGATGACTCAGCGGCTGCTTTTAGGTGATGCAGTGAGGCTGGTACTAGGAGTGGAGAAAGAAGGCACTGGATATGTTAATAGGAAATGGAGAAAAAGAAAGTCTCTTTTCCCTCTTTCTATTTTCAAATCTACCTCTGATTGCCTCCAATTGGCAGAACCTACCTGGAAGTCTGTTGGCATGGGTTTTTGGGAAAAGTGGTTTGAAGAATCCATTAGAAATCAGCATATAGAAAAGTGAGTTGAGTCGGAGGAGCCAAGATGGCCGAATAGGAACAGCTCCAGTCTACAGCTCCCAGCATGAGTAACGCAGAAGACGGGTGATTTCTGCATTTCCATCTGAGGTACCGGGTTCATCTCACTAGGGAGTGCCAGACAGTGGGCGCAGGACAGTGGGTGCAGCGCACCGTGCGCGAGCCAAAGCAGGGCAAGGCATTGTCTCACTCGGGAAGCCCAAGGGGTCAGGGAGTTCCCTTTCCTGGTCAAGGAAAGGGGTGACAGACCGCACCTGGAAAATCGGACCACTCCCACCCAAATACTGCACTTTTCCAATGGGCTTAGGAAACGGCGCACCAGGAGATTATAACCCGCACCTGGCTCAGAGGGTCCTACTCCCACAGAGTCTCGCTGATTGCTAGCACAGCAGTCTGAGATCAAAATGCAAGGCGGCAGCGAGGCTGGGGGAGGGGCGCCCACCATTGCCCAGGCTTGCTTAGGTAAACAAAGCAGCTGGGAAGCTCGAACTGGGTGGAGCCCACCACAGCTCAAGGAGGCCGGCCTGCCTCTGTAGGCTCCACCTCTGGGGGGCAGGGCACAGACAAACAAAAAGACGGCAGTAACCTCTGCAGACTTAAATGTCCCTGTCTGACAGCTTTGAAGAGAGCAGTGGCTCTCCCAGCATGCAGCTGGAGATCTCAGAATGGGCAGACTGCCTCTTTAAGTGGGTCCCTGACCCTTAACCCCCAAGCAGCCTAACTGGGAGGCAACCCCCAGTAGGGACAGAATGACACCTCACACGGCCGGGTACTCTTCTGAGACAAAACTTCCAGAGGAACGATCAGACAGCAGCAATTGCAGTTCATGAAAATCCATGGTTCTGCAGACACCGCTGCTGATACCCAAGCAAACAGGGTCTGGAGTGGACCTCTAGCAAACTCCAACAGACCTGCAGCTGAGGGTCCTGTCTGTTAGAAGGAAAAGTAACAAACAGAAAGGACATCCACACCAAAAACCCATCTGTACATCACCATCATCAAGGACCGAAAGTAGATAAAACCACAAAGATGGGGAAAAAACAGAGCAGAAAAACTGGAAACTCTAAAAAGCAGAGTACCTCTCCTCCTCCAAAGGAATGCAGTTCCTCACCAGCAATGGAACAAAGCTGGACAGAGAATGACTTTGACGAGTTGAGAGAAAAAGGCTTCAGATGATCAAACTACTCTGAGCTACAGGAGGAAACTGAAACCAAAGGCAAAAAAGTTGAAAACTTTGAAAAAAATTTAGACGAATGTATAACTAGAATAACCAATACAGAGAAGTGCTTAAAGGAGCCGATGGAGCTGAAAGCCAAGGCTCAAGAACTACGTGAAAAATGCAGAAGACTCAGGAGCTGATGCTATCAACTGGAAGAAAGGGTATCGGTGATGGAAGATGAAATGAGTGAAATGAAGCAAGAAGGGAAGTTTAGAGAAAAAAGAATAAAAAGAAATGAACAAAGCCTCCAAGAAATATGGGACTATGTGAAAAGACCAAATCTGCGTCTGATTGGTGTACCTGAAAGTGAC
The DNA here is from genome assembly GCF_000001405.40 of Homo sapiens. Classification (NCBI taxonomy): domain Eukaryota; kingdom Metazoa; phylum Chordata; class Mammalia; order Primates; family Hominidae; genus Homo; species Homo sapiens. The sequence continues at coordinate 77,136,598 of NC_000023.11, read as the reverse complement.
AGAGAGAATGGAACCAAGTTGGAAAACACTCTGCAGGATACTATCCAGGACAACATCGCCAATCTAGCAAGGCAGGCCAACTTTCAGATTCAGGAAATACAGAGAATGCCAGAAAGATAATCCTCGAGAAGAGCAACTCCAAGACACATAATTGTCAGATTCACCAAAGTTGAAATGAAGGAAAAAATGTTAAGGGCAGCCAGAGAGAAATGTCGGTTTACCCACAAGGGGAAGCCCATCAGACTAATAGCGGATCTCTTGGCAGAAACTCTACAAGACAGAAGAGAGTGGGGGCCTATATCCAACATTCTTAAAGAAAAGAATTTTCAACCCAGAATTTCATATCCAGCCAAACTAAGCTTCATAAGTGAAGGAGAAATAAAATCTTTTACAGACAAGCAAATGCTGAGAGATTTTGTCACCACCAGGACTGCCCTAAAAGAGCTCCTGAAGGAAGCACTAAACACGGAAAGGAACAACTGGTAGCAGCCAATGCAAAATCATGCCAAAATGGAAAGACCATCGAGACTAGGAAGAAACTGCATCAACTAATGAGCAAAATAACCAGCTAACATCATAATGACAGGATCAAATTCACATGTAACAATATTAACTTTAAATGTAAATGGACTAAATGCTCCAATTAAAAGACACAGACTGACAAATTGGATAAAGAGTCAAGACCCATCAGTGTGCTGTATTCAGGAAACCCATCTCACGTGTAGAGACACACATAGGCTCAAAATGAAAGGATGGAGGAAGATCTACCAAGCAAATGGAAAACAAAAAAAGGCAGGGGTTGCAATCCTAGTTTGGGATAAAACAGACTTTAAACCAACAAAGATCAAAAGAGACAAAGAAGGTCATTACATAATGGTAAAGGGATCAATTCAACAAGAAGAGCTAACTATCCTAATTATATATGCACCCAATACAGGAGCACCCAGATTCATAAAGCAAGTCCTGAGTGACCCACAAAGAGACTTAGACTCCCACACATTAATATTGGGAGACTCTAACACTCCAGTGTCAACATTAGACAGATCAACGAGACAGAAGGTTAATAAGGATACCCAGGAATTGAACTCAGCTCTACACCAAGCAGACCCAATAGACATCTACAGAACTCTCCACCCCAAATCAACAGAATATACATTTTTTCAGCACCACACCACACCTATTCCAAAATTGACCACATAGTTGGAAGTAAAGCTCTCTTCAGCAAATGTAAAAGAACAGAAATAATAACAAACTGTCTCTCAGACCACAGTGCAATCAAACTACAACTCAGGATTAAGAAACTCACTCAAAACCACTCAACTACACGGAAACTGAACAACCTGATCCTGAATGACTACTGGGTACATAACGAAATGAAGACAGAAATAAAGATGTTCTTTGAAACCAATGAGAACAAAGACACAACATACCAGAATCTCTGGGACACATTCAAAGCAGTATGTAGAGGGAAATTTATAGCACTAAATGCCCACAAGAGAAAGCAGGAAAATCCAAAATTGACACCCTAACATCAAAATTAAAAGAACTAGAAAAGTAAGAGCAAACACATTCAAAAGCTAGCAGAAGGCAAGAAATAACTAAAATCAGAGCAGAACTGAAGGAAATAGAGACACAAAAAACCCTTCAAAAAATCAATGAATCCAGGAGCTGGTTTTTTGAAAGGATCAACAAAATTGATAGACCGCTAGCAAGACTAATAAAAAAAGAGAGAAGAATCAAATAGACACAATAAAAAATGATAAAGGGGATATCACCACCGATCCCACAGAAATACAAACTACCATCAGAGAATGCTATAAACACCTCTATGCAAATAAACTAGAAAATCTAGAAGAAATGGATAAATTCCTCAACACATACACCCTCTGAAGACTAAACCAGGAAGAAGTTGAATTTCTGAATAGACCAATAACAGGTTCTGAAATTGTGGCAATAATCAATAGCTTACCAACAAACAAGAGTCCAGGACCAGATGGATTCACAGCCGAATTCTACCAGAGGTATAAGGAGGAAATGGTACCATTCCTTCTGAAACTATTTCAACCAATAGAAAAAGAGGGAATCCTCCCTAACTTATTTTATGAGGCCAGCATCATCCTGATACCAAAGCCAGGCAGAGACACAACCAAAAAAAGAGAATTTTAGACCAATATCCTTGATGAACATTGATGCAAAAATCCTCAATAAAATACTGGCAAACCGAATCCAGCAGCACATCAAAAAGCTTATCCACCATGATCAAGTGGGCTTCATCCCTGGGATGCAAGGCTGGTTCAATATACGCAAATCAATAAATGTAATCCAGCATATAAACAGAACCAACGACAAAAACCACATGATTATCTCAACAGATGCAGAAAAGGCCATTGATGAAATTCAACAACACTTCATGCTAAAAACTCTCAATAAATTAGGTATTGATTGGATGTATCTCAAAATAATAAGAGCTATCTATTACAAACCCACAACCAAGATCATACTCAATAGGCAAAAACTGGAAGCATTCCCTTTGAAAACTGGCAGAAGACAGGGATGCCCTCTCTCACCACTCCTATTCAACATAGTGTTGGAAGTTCTGGCCAGGGCAATCAGGCAGGAGAAGGAAATAAAAGGCATTCAATTAGGAAAACAGGAAGTCAAATTGTCCCTGTTTGCAGATGACGTGATTGCATATCTAGAAAATCCCATTGTCTCAGCTCAAAATCTCCTTAAGCTGATAAGCAACTTCAGCAAAGTCTCAGGATACAAAATCAATGTGCAAAGATCACAAGCATTCTTATACACCAATAACAGACAAACAGAGAGCCAAATCATGAGTGAACTCCCATTCACAATTGCTTCAAAGAGAATAAAATACCTAGGAATCCAACTTATAAGGGATGTGAAGGACCTCTTCAAGGAGAACTACAGACCAGTGCTCAATGAAATAAAAGAGGATACAAACAAATGGAAGAATATTCCATGCTTATGGATAGGAATAATCAATATCATGAAAATGTCCATACTGCCCAAGGTAATTTATAGATTTGATGCCATCCCCATCAAGCTACCAATGACTTTCTTCACAGAATTGGAAAAAACTACTTTAAAGTTCATATGGAACCAACAAAGAGCGTGCATTGCCAAGTCAATCCTAAGCCAAGAAAACAAAGCTGGAGGCATCACGCTACTGGACTTCAAACTATACTACAAGGCTCCAGTAACCAAAACAGCATGGTACTGGTACAAAAACAGAGATATAGACCAATGAAACAGAACAGAGTCCTCAGAAATAATGCCGCATGTCTACAACCATCTGGTCTTTGACAAACCTGACAAAAACAAGAAATGGGGAAAGATTCCGTATTTAATAAATTGTGGGAAAACTGGTTAGCTATATGTAGAAAGCTGAAACTGGATCCCTTCCTTACACCTTATACAAAAATTAATTCAAGATGGATTAAAGACTTCAATGTCAGACTTGAAACCATAAAAACCCTAGAAGAGAACCTAGACAATACCATTCAGGACATAGTCATGGGCAAGGACTGCATGTCTGAAACACCAAAAGCAATGGCAACAAAAGCCAAAATCGACAAATGGGACCTAATTCAACTAAAGAGCTTCTGCACAGCAAAAGAAACTACCATCAGAGTGAACAGGCAACCTACAGAATGGGAGAAAATTTTCGCAACCTACTCATCTGACAAAGGGCTAATACCCGGAATCTGCAATGAACTCCAATAAATTTGCAAGAAAAAAAACAAACAACCCCATCAAAAAGTGGGCAAAGGATATGAACAGACACTTCTCAAAAGAAGTCATTTATGTAGCCAAAGACACATGAAAAAATGCTCATCATCACTGGCCATCAGAGAAATGCAAATCAAAACCACAATGAGATACCATCTCACACCAGTTAGAATGGCGATCATGAAAAAGTCGGGAAACAACAGGTGCTGGAGAGGATGTGGAGAAACAGGAACACTTTTACACTGTTGGTGGGACTGTAAACTAGTTCAACCATTGTGGAAGTCAGTGTGGCGATTCCTCAGGGATCTAGAACTAGAAATACCATTTGACACAGCCATCCCATTGCTGGGTATATACCCAAAAGATTATAAAACATACTTCTGTGAAGACACATGCACACGTTATGTTTATTGCGGCACTATTCACAATAGCAAAGACTTGGAACCAACCAAAATGTCCAACAGCGGTAGGCTGGATTAAGAAAATGTGGCACATATACACCATGGAATACTATGCAGCCATAAAAAATGATGAGTTCATATCCTTCGTAGGGACATGGATGAAGCTGGAAACCATCATTCTCAGCAAACTATCGCAAGGACAAAAAACCAAACACCACATGTTCTCAGTCATAAGTGGGAATTGAACAATGAGAACACATGGACACAGGAAGGGGAACATCACACACCAGGGCCTGTCATGGGGTGGCGGAGGGGAGAGGGATAACATTAGGAGATATACCTAATGTTAAATGACGAGTTACTGTGTGCAGCACACCAACATGGCACATGTATACATATGTAACTAACCTGCCTGTTGTGCACAAGTACCCTAAAACTTCAAGTATAATAAAATAAAAAATAAAATAAAAAAAGAACTTTTTTTCTTTCAACTTTTACTTTAGGTTCAGTGGGTACATGTGTATTCTTGTTACATGGGTACATTGTATATCACTGGGGTTTGGTGTACAGATAATTTTGTCACTCAGGTAGTGAGCATTCTACCTGGTTGATTGTTTTTCATTCCTCACCCTCCTCCCACCCTACACCATCAAGTGACACTTGATGTCTATTGTTCCCTTCTTTGTTTCCATATGTACCCAATGTTTAGCTCCCACTTATAAGTGAGAATCTGCAGTATTTGATTTTCTATTCCTTTGTTAATTCATGTAGGATAATGGCCTCCAGCTGCATCCACATAGCCTCAGAGGACATAATCTCCTTTTTTTTCTTTGGCTGGGTAGTATTTCATATTGTATATACACCACATTTTCTTCATCTGGTCCACTGTTGATGGACATCTAGGTTGATTCCCTGTCTTTGGTATTGTGAAAGGTGCTACAATGAACATATGCATGTATGTGCCTTTAAGGCAGAACAATTTATATTGCTTTGGGTATATATCCAATAATGGGATTGCTGGGTTGAATGGTACTTCTGTTATAAGTTCTTCAAGATATGTACAAACTGCTTTCCACAGTGGCTGAACTCATTTATATTCCCACTAGCAGTAATGTGTGTTCCTTTTTTCCTGCAACCTCACTAACATCTCTTATTTTTTACTTTTTATTAATAGCCATTCTGAGGGTTGTGAGATGGTATCTCATTGTGGTTTTGATCTATATTTCTCTAGCGGTTAGCGATGTTGCACATTTTTTACACGCTTGCTGGTGGCATGTATGTCTTCTTTTGAGAAGTGTTTGTCCATGTCCTTTGCCCAGTTTTTATTTTTAAAAAATGTGTACATTATGTTTATCTTCTCTGTAAGAATCATACATTTTATTTTATCATTTCATTAGGTTTTTGGGAAACATTTGGTGTTTGGTTACATGAATAAGTTCTTTAATGGTGATTTCTGAGATTTTGGTGCACCTGTCACCCAAGCATTGCACACTCTACCCAATGTGTAGTCTTTTATCCCTCACCTCCCTTTCACCCAAAGTATATTGCATCATTCTTATGCCTTTGTGTCCACATACCTTAGCTTCTACTTATATGTGAGAACATACTATGTTTGGTTTTCCATTCCTGAGTTACTTCACTTAGAATAATGGTCTCCAATTCCAGTCAGGTTGCTGTAAATGCCATTATTTCCTTCCTTTTATGGCTAAGTAGTATTCCATGGTGTATATATATATATAACATATATATAATATATATGTTATATAATATATGTATATATTATATATAATATATATGTTATATAATACATATGTATATATTATATATGTTATATAATATATATGTATATATTATATATATAGATACATCACATTTTCTTTATCCACTCATTGAATGATGGTAATTTGCTTTGCCCATTTTTAAATGAGGTTATTTGTTTTTTGCTTGTTGAATTGTTTAAGTTTCTTATAGATGTTGGATATTAGAACTTTGTCAGATGCATAGTTCGCAAATATTTTCTCTAATTCTGTAGGTTGTCTGTTTACTCTGTTGATAGTTTATTTTGCTGTGCAGAAGCTTTTAAGTTTAATTACATCCCATTTGTCAATTTTTGTTTTTGCTGCAATTGCCTTTGGTGCCTTCATAATGAAATCTTTGCCGTTGCCTATGTTCTGAATGGTATTGCCTGGGCTGTCTTCCAGGGTTTTTATAGTTTTGGTATTTACACTTCAGTCTTTAATCCATCTTGAGTTGATTTTTGTATATGGTGTAAGAAATGGGTCCAGTTTCAATCTTCTGCATATGGCTGGGCAGTTATCCCACCAACATTTATTGAATAGGGAGCCCTTGTTCCCATTGCTTGTTATTGTCAACTTTGGCAAAGGTCAGATCCCTTTATTTGTGTGGCTTTATTTTTGGGTTCCCTAACCTGTTCCTTTGGTGTATGTGCCTGCTTTTGTACCAGAACTATGCTGTTTTGGCTACTGTAGCTTTGCAGTATAGTTTGAAGTTGGTGTGATGCCTCCAGCTTTGTTCTTTTTGCTTATGATTGCTTTGGCTATTCAGGCTCTTTTTTGGTTTCATATAAATTTTAAAATAGTTTTTTTCTAATTCTGTGAAAACTGTTGTTGATGCCAGGAATGAGTCCTGGTGCTTAAAAACCCAGGCCATGGTTCCCAGCTTCCTCCCTTTTCAGTCCAAGGTCTGCATCGTCCTGCCATCCACTCTCAATGCCTTAATTCCTAAGATCTGCTTGGAGTGTGCTGGTATTCTTGATGGTCTGGTCTGTCAGTGGGTGAAGCTCTTTCTGTCTGCATTTACTCAGACATCTCGGCATCTCCAGTCCACTGGAGCAGAAGCCCAGGAGTAGAGCCTGACTGGAACCAGTACTGATGGAAACATTTAAATTATCATTAGTAAATTTATGAAAGTTCAGTGTGAATGAGCTCAAAAACTTCAGGGGCCCAGTTTTGTTCGGGAGAGGTATCCAAGTCTAAGAACTCTTCACTAAGCCCTAGGTCCTGAGATGTTCTCCTATGTTTTATTGTAAAATTTTAGAGTTTTATATTGTACATGACTTATTTTGAGTTAATTTTTATATATGGTATGAGGTTCAGATGAAAGTTTTTTTTTTGTCTATGCATATGCAATTGCTCCAGCACAATTTGTAAAAAGACTTTTCTTTCACTATTGAATTCTTTTCATACCTGTATGTATTACTTCCTTCTCATGCTGCTATGAAGAAGTACCCAAGACTGGGTGATTTACAAAGGAAAGAGGTTTAATCAATTCACAGTTCCACAGGGCTGGGAAGACCTCAGGAAACTTACAATCATGGTGAAAGAGGAAGCAAACACATCCTTCTTCACAGGGCGGCAGCAAGAAATGCCAAGCAAAAAGGGGAAAAGCCCTTTATAAAACCATCAGATCTTGTGAGAACTCACTCACTATCATGAGAACAACATGAGGGTAACCAACCCTCATGATTCATTTACCTCCCATTTGTTCCTTCCCACAAGTGGGGATTATGAGAACTACAACTCAAGATAAGATTTGGGTGGGGACACAGCCAAACCCTATCACTTTGTGAAATATCAGTTGACTATACTTGTGTTGATCTATTTCTGGTTCTCTATTCTGTTCCATTGATCCATGTGTCTACTATTCCACCAATGCACTTAGTGTTGATTATTATAACTATATAATAAGTGTTAAAATCAGGTAATAATTCTTTCCACTTTTTTCTTCTTTTTGAAAATCAGTTTTAGGTATTCTAGTTCCTTTGCCTTTCCATAGAGTTCACGAATAAGTCTCCATACACCAATAAAAAATTTTGCTGGTTTTTGATAAAGATTGTATTAAATATGTTGCATTAGTCAGGGTTTCTAGAGGGACAGCACTAATAGGAGATATATATGTATATATATATATAATATATATCTTATTAGTTTATTAAGTATTAACTTACATGATCACAAGTTCCCACAATAGGCTGTCTGCAAGCTTGAGGAGCAAGGAGAGCCAGTCCGAGTCTTAAAACTGAAGAACTTGGAGTCTGATGTTCAAGGGCAGGAAGCATCCAGCATGGGAGAAAGATATGGGCTAGGAGGCTAGGCCAGTCTTCCTCCTTCCCTTTATTTTTCTGCCTGCTTTAAATTTGCTGGCAGCTGATGAGATTGTGCCCACCAGGTTAAAAGTGGGTCTGCCCTCCCCAGTCCACTGACTCAAATGTTAATGTGCTTTGGCAACACCCTCACAGACACACCCAGGGGACTAATACTTTGTATCCTTCAATCCAATCAAGTTGACACTCAGTATTAACAATCACATGTCCACCTCTTGTCAACTTGAACCCATACACATTTCCTGAGATTATACATAATCTTCAAATAAAGACAATAATAAGGCCATAGTTACCCCTAACATAACACAACTATCCTTCGCACAACCAGTAATGCATCATTTTCCAACCCAGATACTATTACATAAAGTTAACAATACTTAAATACTGATATGAAGTCAATAAATCTTACATCACATGATAAAGGAATAGGAAATAAAATCAAGATATTTTCTTAGTACAAGTGTATACATGCACAAACATGTTTTTAACAAAAGAAGGAAATACTCATGACAGTTGCAGTCCACGTTTCTGCATCTGGTCACGTGATCATAGCTGGAATTGATGACTACCTTCTTCTACTACCCATTCTGCATTCCCTTTGCCTTCAGCAAGCACCTCAGCAGGTCCTGGGTTTTTTCCTATTGAAGTGACCCAAACCTTTATTCCTGAGGGGTCTGGACCATTTGCAGTCCTGCCTGGATTGGGCTGTTGTAGTTTCCCATTGACCTTAATCACAGGGCATGGTAATACTAAGAGATGTCCTAATGGATATCCTGTATTCCATGCATACTCCTCCTTACCTCCATTGTGGAGTAGTAGACTGATTTTATCTTGGTGGTCTCAGTCAATAACCTCAGCCAACAGTGTAAATCCCTTCTTAGCCTATTGACTTAAAGGTAGGAGCCCAAAGTGGCCAGGTGGTAAACTTAATTTACAGTTTAATGGAATCGTTGTTGTGTCTTCTGGTGGCAGCATTCTTCTCTCTGGAAAGAAGACCTCTAGGCCAGCAGAATGTAATGTCGCGGGAACAGGAAGCAAACATTTTGCTAGTGAATCACTAGGGGTAACGGTGAGTGGTTCCACTTCCACGTCCACCCCTTGATTCCTGGACCTGTGAATCCTGGCTATGGGAGAAACAGTAACATATATTGAACGCTGATTCGGAGCATACATGGTCTTCTGGAGAGCTTTGCCCCAGCCCCGCAAAGTCACCTAGTTGGCATTGTACTTGTGATTTCAAAAGGCCATTCCACCATTCTATCAATTCAGCTGTTTCAGGATGATGGGGAACATGGTAAGAACAGTGAATTCCATGAGCAGGAGCCCACTGCCTCACTTGTTTAGCCATAAAGTCAGTGCCTTGGTCAGAGGCAATGCTGTGTGGAATACCATGATGGTGGATAAGACATTCAGTGGGTCCATGGATGGTGGTCTTGGCAGAAGCATTGCATGCAATATAGGCAAACCCATATTTGGAGTAAGTGTCTATTCCAGTGAGGACAAACCTCTGCTCTTTCCATAATGGAAGAGGTCCAGTATAATCAACCTGCCACCAGGTAGCTGGCTGATCACCCAGAGGAATGGTGCCATATCAAAGGCTCAGTATTGGTCTCTGATGCTGGCAAATTGGGCACTCAGCAGTGGCCATAGCTAGGTTAGCCTTGGTGAGTGAATGTCGATGTTGCTGAGCCCATGCATAACTTCCATTCCTGCCGCCATGGCCACTTTGTTTATGGGCCCATTGGGTGATGACAGGGGTGGCTGGGGAAAGAGGCTGAGTGGTGTCCACAGAACGGGTCATCCTATCCACTTGATTATTAAAATCCTCCTCTGCTGAGATCACCTGTTGGTGAGCACTCATATGGGATATGAATATCTTTACAGTTTTTGACCACTCAGAGAGGTTCATCCACATGCCTTTCCCCAAATTTCTTTGTCACCGATTTTCCAATCATGCTTCCTCCAAGTCCCTTATCAACCAGCCAAACCATTGGCTACAGCCCGTGAATCAATATATAATAGCACATCTGGCCATTTCTGCTTCCATGCAAAGTGCACAACCAGGTACACTGCTCGAAGTTCTGCCCACTGGGAAGATGTCCCTTCACTGCTGCCCTTCAGGGATGTCCTAGAAAGAGACTCTAGTGCTGCAGCTGTCCACTTTCAGCTGGTGTCTGCATATGGTGCAGAACCATCTGTGAACCAGACCCTAGTCTTTTCTTCCTCTGCCAACTGATCATAGGGAACTCCCCATAAGGTCACTGGTGCAGGCTGGGGGAGAGAAGGAAGGGTGGCAGGAGTGGAGACCAGGGGCATTTGAGCCACTTCCTCATGTAACTTACTTGGGCTTTCAGGACCTGCTGGAGCCCGATCATGTATATACCACTTCCATTTGATGATGGAATGCTACTGTGCATAGCCAACTTGTGGCTAGATGGTTCAGTAAGCATTCAGTTCATGATAGGCAGTTCAGTTCACAAGGTGACTTGATGATCCATAGTCAAATGTTCAGTTTCCATCAAAGCCCAGTAACAGGCCAAGAGCTGTCTCTCAAAAGGAGAGTAGTTTTCTGCAGAAGATGGCAGGGCCTTGCTTCAAAATCCTACAGGTCTCTGCTGTGATTCACCTATGGGAGCCTGCCAAAGGCTCCAAACAGCATCTCTATCTGCCACCAACAACTCAAACACCATTGGATCTGCTGGGTAATATGTCCCAAGTGGCAGAGCAGCTTGCACAGCAGCCTGGACCTGTTGCAGAGTCTTCTCCTATTCCCGACCCCACTCAAATCTGGCAGCCTTTTGGGTCACTCGATAAATGGGTCAGAGTAACACACTCAACTGAGGAATGTGTTGTCTCCAAAATCCAAATAGGCCCACCAGGTGTTGTACCTCTTTCTTGGATGGAGGAGGGGCCAAATGCAGTAACTTATCCTTCATCTTAGAAGGAATATCTCAACAGGTCCCACAGCACTGGAACCATAGAAAATTTTACTGAGGTAGAAGGTCCCTGAATTTTAGTCAGATTTTTTTCCCCACATCTGTCATGCAAATGTCTCACCAATAAGTCCAGTGTGTTTGCTACTTCTTGCTCACTGGATCCAATCAGTATGTCATCAGTGTAATGGACCAGTGTGATATCTTGCAGAAGCAAAAAGCGATCAAGGTCCCTCCTAATAAGATTATGACACAAAGCAGGAGAGTGGATGTACCCCTGAGGTGGGACAGTAAAGGTATATTGCTGGCCTTGCCAGCTGAAGGCAAATTGATTTTGGTGGGACTTATGGGCATTAATGGAGAAAAAGTCATTTGCCAAGTCAATGGCTGCATACCAGTTACCAGGAGATGTGTTAATTTGCTCAAGCAATGAAGCCACATCTGTTACAGCAGCTTCAATTGGAGTCACAACTTGATTAAGGTTATGATAATCCACTGTCATTCTCCAAGATTTATCTGTCTTCTGCACCGGCCAGATGGGAGTGTTGAATTGGCATGTGGTGGGAATCACCACCCCTGCCTCTTTCAAGTCTTTGATGGTGGCACTAATTTCTGCAGTCCCTCCAGGGATGGAATATTGTTTTTAATTTATTATTTCTCTAGGTAGAGGCAGCTCTAATTGCTTCCCTTTGGCCTTTCCCATCATAGTAGCTCTCACCAGTCAGGGAGCCAATATGGGGGTTCTACCAGCTGCTAAGTATGTCTGTGCCAATTATACATTCTGGCATTGGGGAAATAACTGCAGGATGAGTCCGGGTACCCACTGGATCCACTGTATGTCGGATCTGACCTAAAACTCCATTAATTACCTGACCTCCATAACCCCTATTTTATTTTATTTTTATTTTTTTTCTTGGTACCAACTCTTTTATATATATATGTATATATTTATTATGCTTTAAGTTCTAGGGTACATGTGCACAACCTGCAGGTTTGTTACATATGTATACATGTGCCATGTTGGTGTGCTGCACCCGTTAACTCATCATTTACATTAGGTATACCTCCTAATGCTATCCCTCCCCCCTCCCTCCACCCCACAACAGGCCCTGGTGTGTGATGTTCCCCTTCCTGTGTCCAAGTTTTCTCATTGTTCAGTTCCCACCTATGGGTGGGAACATGCGGTGTTTGGTTTTTTGTCGTTGCGATAGTTTTCTAGAATGATGGTTTCCAGCTTCATCCATGTCCCTACAAAGGACATGAACTCATCCTTTTTTATGGCTGCATAGTATTCCATGGTGTATATGTGCCACATTTTCTTAATCCAGTCTATCGTTGTTGGACATTTTGGTTGGTTCCAAGTCTTTGCTATTGTGAATAGTGCCACAATAAACATACGTGTGCATGTGTCTTTATAGCAGCATGACTTATAATCCTTTGGGTATATACCCAGTAATGGGATGCATAAGCCCCTGTTTTAACTGGAGGACCACAATGATGTTTTGGGTCCGCCGGAATCAATGTCAGCTCAGAGCCTGTGTCCAGCAGTCTCTGAAATGTCTGATTATTTCCCTTTCCCCAGTGCACAGTTATCCAGGTAAAAGGCTGGAAGTGTTCTTGGGGAAGAATGGGAGAAATATTCAATGCATAAATTGTCGGTAATGTAGTTGGGTCCTTCCTCAAAGGGACCCAGCCTCCGCTTCATTCAAAGAATTCTGCTTCTGTAAACTGGCTCAAGTCGAAATAGATTGAGGGACCATGATTTTCTATTTTTATAATTCAAATTAGTCTTTTGTCCATTTGACCTAGAAGTTTGCTGCTTATATAAATTAAGTAGAAATGCAGTAGGTTTCCTATCAGTTTCACTTCTAGGGACACCGTGATTAATTAGCCAATGCCAGAGCTCTATAGGAGTCAGAGTATTCTGATTGCCGCTTTGTCTCTGCTGTCCATTACAGTACCTATGGCCACCTTGCATTTGATGATTGACTGCTGCCACTTGGTTCCTGCCCCCTCAGGATCCAATTATTCCCATTGTACTTAAATTTTATAGTTGACTATGGTTCCCACCGTTAGATCTGAAATTCAGAGAAGAGTAATTAAAGGGCCCTTCAAAGATGCAAGTGTTGCTCTCACAAATATATTTCACAAGGCATTGGACAAGGGCATATCTTCTGGACCCTCCCAGCTGAGATGACTATGTCTAAAGTGACTAGTCCACTCCACCATCCCAATCTCCCTAAGCCTTTTGATCCCCTTCTCTACATTAAACCAAGGGAGACCAGGCATTATCATTATCAACTCACTCACAGTGGGCCATCTTTTAATCCATATTTCGGCTAACCAAGCAAATCAACTATTAGAACCTTTTTTTAACTCCACAAGCTGCAACATTAAATGCAGAGTCTCTACTTAGTGGGACCAAATCAATAAATTCAGCCTGATTCAACTCTATGTTTCTTCTACCATTATCCCACACCCTTAATATCCATTCCCATTCTTGTTCTCTGTATTTCTGTTTATATAAATTAGAGAACTCAAACAGTTATTTTCAAGTGTAGTGCACCTCCTCATGGGTCACATGCTCAACCTCACCTCTAGGGTCTTGCAAGGACTTTAGTCTAGTTATAAGTCTAGAAGCAAACAGGGATGATGGGGGTGGCTTCTGAAGAGAATCGACATCATTTTGCGTGGCAGCTGCCTCAGGAGAGGCCATCACTGTTGCCTCAGGCAGCGATAGATTTATCTCCTCAGATAAAGGTGGAAAGGCTGATGGCAGCATGGGTTAGGGAGGGGATGTTGTCATTACTGGGGATGGGGAAGATATTCCTTCTGGCAAAAAAGTTTCTTCAGAGTTTACAAACTCAGTGTCTCCATCTTCATCACGGTCCTCCCACACGTCCCCATTCCAAGTTGCAGTGTCCCATTCTTTTCCAATCAATGCCCTCACTTTAACAGTAGACACGTGGCGAGGCTGTGCATGCACCTTTCATTACAGGTCAGCCACTCTCATGATGAGAGCTTGTGTTTGTTTTTCCACAATTTCAGCTCTGTCTCTTCAGGTGATGACTCTCACTGAGAGCAATCTTAGCAGATTTGAGGCTCAGGATCTGCTTCTGAAGCTGGGAGACAGAATCTCTGAGTTCATCATTTTCTTTCATCACTTTGTCCACCGGAGCAACCAACCAGCTTCATTATGTTCCTTGGTTCTCCACATATAGTCAAAGGTATTATGAATAGAGTCACTAAACATTTTGCCTCTCCTGAGTGGTGAATCAGGAGTGTCAAAGGCATATATATATATATATATATATATATATATATATATATATACACACACACATATATATATATATACACATATATATATACACACATATACTCATATATGTGTATATATATACACATATATATGTATATATATACACATATATGTATATATATACACATATATGTGTATATATATGTGTATATATATGTGTATATATATGTGTATATATATGCACATATATGAGTTTATAAAGTTTTAGCTTACATGATCACAAGGTGTCACAATAGACTGTTTGCAAGCTTGAGGAGCAAGGAGAGCCAGTAGAAGTCTCAAAACTGAAGAACCTGGAGTCTGATGTTTGAGGGCAGGAAACATCCACCACAGGAGAAAGATGGCAGGGCCAGTAAAAAGCTCATGCTGATTGACATGTGGGACACCCAGTTTTGGGCAGGAACTGACACAGGAACTGTTGAACTACAGAGCTGAGAGAAGAATCTTGGCAGACTTACTGCAAAGGAGATAATGTGCTAATTTATTTTGAGGAATCCTGGCCAACACACTTTGCTATACTGCAGGCCATTCCAGTTGGATTTGGCAGAGAATTATCCAATAGAAAACACATAGGTAGCAGAGATTAGAAAATGTCACTATCAGGTCCCCCCTGTCCTTGTCAAGCTTGGCTGTGTGGCATGTTGAAGTCTGGTTACTTTAAGAAAACGAATAGCTATAGGGCTGTGAGATATTTTTTGGGACCTGCAAATGGAGGTTAGGAGCTATTTCTTCTTTGCCTAGAGTGCACCTAGAGTGTTTAGGCTGAGCTTTCTTCCTCTTTTTTTTCTTCTTGATCTTAAACTCTAAGTCCTCAAGGTATGTTAGAGCTTGACTTTAGAGACCTCCTGGTCTAATCACCTTTCCTTGCTTTTCCTTTCCTTCCACTTTCTTGGCTCACCCTCACCTCAATTTTAAAGATGAGGAAAATAAACCACATAGAAGGAAAGAAAGTACTGTATATTAGATGATACATCCAGTGAGTGGAAGAACTGGGACTAGAAGCCATGTCACCAGACTATTTGTGCCATATTCTTTCTACTACAGTGCTGCCTCCAATATTTTCTCAACTGAATACCAACTGAGATACTTGCTTTTTTTTTCCTCCAGACATTTTTCTCTCACTTCATTTGTGCTTATGACAAATCAGTAGCAAACCCACTGTGTGGGCTTAGGTCCATCTAGAGCAGAGGTGAAGAACCATTCATGTCAAGGGCTGTTGACATGGAAAAAACATGGACTCAACAAAAAAATCAATAAAATTCAGTATTAGTGAAAAGTAACCTAGTTTTTACTACTAAAAGCAAAACAAAATATCTAAGGCATGCAACTCGTTCATTTTTCAAGCTAGAGACCAGGAGCATAAAATTTTATTTAATAAACATGTCGTGGTAGTGAAAATATAACATCTGCTTTTGACAAGTCAAAGGGTATATTATTTTTCCTACCAATTTTTTTTGAAGAAGAAGTTTTAAAGAGCCAATCTGGATTTTTAAAGCAAGGTAAATGTTTCTAGATTTTTTTTTTTTTTTTAAAATGCGTTCTATTTTCAACCTGAGGACTAGAACTGCATGTATTCTTGAAATCTTTTCTGTTGTTCATTATTCTTGATGAAAAGCCCTTATTTTCTTCTCTGAAATGTGGGGGTGCAATTGAAAGGTGCTATTCCCTTTCACAAAGAAAGGACCATATATTTCTATGGTATTATATCTTTTGTATTCTTTAAGATAGCATTGCTAAAGATATTTATAGTTGTATTATACTCCTATGCCTTGGGTGTTTATTATTAAGAGGGTATTGGAGTAGATGATATATAGATAAGTTCTGGGCCATGTTAGTGAGTTTGAGGTTCCCCACTGTAGGAACAATGAGACAAAATACTGCCTGTTGTTCTTTGGAGGTAGTTCTATTTGCAATCCCTGAAAAGCAATGTTTTGTAGCTGTTATTCTTACCTATCCTGACTCCCTTTTTGAATTACACTGGAAAGTGAAAGAGATTATGTAAATGTGGGGGAAAGAAGACTGAGGCTGGGAAGTGTGTTGTAAGAAATACCTTTGTTCTTTGACAAGATGAATTGGTGATAGTCTAAGGGATTGTGTTCCTATTCCCAGATCTCATCTTCCCTACCTCCCACCCCTAAAACATACACACACACACACACACACACACACACACACACCCAGGCTTCCCGGAAGGGCTTAAAACAACACCATTTAGTCCAATAGTCCAAAGTCTTGTTAGCAAAGAAGAATCCCTTGAGTAGATAAACCTGTGTGGCTGTGCATTTTTATCATGCTTTGCTTCTAGGTGGAGATTCTTAGGCTCTACCTTTTCCCAGGGTGCCATTCCACAGGCAAAACTCTAGTTTTACTCTGTAGATACGCTGATCTGATGAATACCTTCTTCTAGAAGAAACGAGCCTGTTGCATAGTAAGCTAATCAAAAGATGAAGAAAAGGGTTTGCATTTCTAAAGGACTCTCCTGTCATTGCAGTAGTAATATGTCCTGGGCTTTAGAAAGAGACCAATTTTGTTGGAAGACTGACTCAGATAGTAAGGAATATTCCTTATTAGCTTGTGTGACTTAAAAAAATAACTTACCTTCTCTGATATCATTTTACTTGTATATAATATGAATATAATTGACCACGTTACAGGGATTGTTACTCTGGTATAGTCAATACTGAGTAACTTGGAGTTTATAATTATTAATATTTCCATCTGTGCATAAGAGTGCATGAATGACCAATGGTTATCACAATCTCCTTTTTTGTCTCCCAAAACTTGTTCATACGCAAGTGAACTTGTAAAAATCTCTAACTGACTTTACTGCCTATTCCTCTTGAAGCTTTTCTAGTGATTTGGCCTTAATCGAGGAATTTAGCAGATGTGCTTACCTTTTCTGTGAAATGCCGGTCAAGCTCCCAGGTCTTTACTGAGTACACACTATGTAGCTAGCCTGCGCATACAGTCCACATCATTTGGAATATTCAGAGATACCAAAGAGTGAAAATATGTTATCAAATGTCTGCCTAGTTCCCGTGTGTAGAGGGTAAGTAGACCTTTCCTTTGGAGGGTTGAGGAGTGGCTCTGTTAAAAGTGGAGACTTTGGTCTGCGACAGTCTGGCTAGGGAGTCTGAGCAGATGATGTCACTTCTTAAGTGAGTTATTTCCAAACATTGCTGTCTGTCAAAATCTGAGGGACTTTCCAAACATAGTGAAACAGAATCTCTGAGAGTAAGATTTGGCATCTGTATTATTAACAAGCCCACTAGATAATTCTTATTTAGCCAACACTGAGACCAGAGTTTGTGAGAGCAGGGTTTCATGGTTAATCATAGAGATGGAGGTGTAATTTCTTCATGAAAGCAAGACAGAGATGGGTGCATAGGAGGAACAGTATACTCCAAATGGAAAAGGCTTTGAGGTTAGTGTCTTTGGGGTCTGAGCAAAAGACAATGATTCAGTATGAACTAAAATGTTGAGCCATTGATGTTGGTTCCTGATGAGAACAGGGAGATCTGAGAGGGAATGAATCACATTTCTTAGCTACAAAGGGAAGATCTTTTAATTGTTTGCCAAAGCCTTACCTTTATCTTCTCCTTAAACTGAAGAGCTGCATGGAACTTGGTCGCTTCTTTTTTAGTTGATTAAAACCTCCTCTATCTAAGTTGACGATATAGGTTGAAAACTCTCTGCCCTTGATTCTTTCATGAGGAGCGCATATTCAGCTGCAAATCTAGGCTCTGGCCATGTTGATGGTCACTTTCTTTCACCGTAGCTCTAAGGGTCTTGTTTTGTTTTTCTGTGTGTTCTTTCCCTAAATTGGGTACATAATTCTGCTTGGTATAGGTGTGTGTCTTAGTCTGCTAGGGATACTATAACAAAATACCTTTGACTTGATAATTTATAGACAACAGAAATTTATTGCTCACAGTTCGGGAGGCTGGGAGGTCCAAGATCAAGGCATCAGCAGATTCCGTTTGTTGAAGGCTTGCTCTCTGCACCAAAGATAGCACTTTTTGGTGTGTTCTCACATGACAGAAGGAAGGGTCAAGGTAGTTTGCTCCAGCCTCTTTTATAAGAGCACTAATCCCATTTATGGGGATGAAGACCTCATGACTTACTTCCCCGAAGCTCCACTTGTTAATACTATCACCTCAAGCATTAGGTTTCAACATGTGAATTTTGGGAGACATCAACATTCAGACACTAGAAGTGAGCTTAGGAGTATTCTTTCATCTAAAATAAAATCTGAGGAATTGCTTTTAGGTACTCAATGACCTACTTGTCCATGAGTGACCATTAGAAGTGTCTGGAACCAAAACGGCATGCTGCTAAAATAATTATACAACGCTGCATATTAGTGCTTGAGAAAATTCCCATTTCAATAAGGCCTATAGCACTGTCCACAATCCCACTAATTAAGATGTCCAGTATTGGAATTTCTCAAACCTTGAATCCTATCCTGCAGAATAACTGAGGGGTAGATACAGAGGGAACACTGCAGTCAAATGCACATGTCAGTGGTAACTAGTGCTTTGACTCTCTAAATCATGATGTATTGTTCTACTCTGGGGAACTGAGCTAGACTCTGTTTGAGCTTTAAAGATTGTTTACCTGGGCTAGTGGTTCTCAAACTTGAGTATGCATCAGAATTATCTGAGGAGTTCGCTAAAACACAGATTTCTGGGTGCCACCTCCAGAGTTCTGATTCAGTAGGTCTGGCAGTGGCTGAGGATTTGTATCTCCAAAGTTCTCAGGTGACACTGATTTTATTAGCTTGGGTAACCAATATTGAGAACCATGGGCCTAGGCTATAAAAAAGGTGGAGTGGCTTGCTCATTCATCTCTTTTTCTCAGGAACATACTATAGACTTCTCTATATTGAACCATTGTCAGTACTGTGAGGCAAGGATTGAAACATCAAATGAGAAGCCTTCTCCCTTAACTGCCTGTCCTAGGCCTCCTTTCTCTCTGGTCCTGCTGGGTTATTCAAAGGTGGTGGTGTTGATGGGGCTTTTTCTAAGCAACCCTGGACCAATTTTATTGTAAAAATCATATGAGAGGGAAGAAAGAGAAAGAATCCAACTTAATAATATCCTAAGGAAGACAGAATTTTGAATCTTCATGCCCCTACAATGGAAAGCTACAATCCCTACTAACAAGGTCTCCTTGACCCACATCAGAGCTGTTTTTCTTTTGGATATTGGAAAGAATGATGGTTGGTTCTCAAATAAAGATGGGAATGTGGGGCCAATCATTTGCTACGTTTTATTTATTCTCTGTTAATTCAAATGGCTTTCAGCTAGGTCTGTGATCAGCCAAATTTGTTGCTGTCCCATTGAGGGAAGCGATCAGCATTATCTCAGGAAAATCTTTCTTGTAGCTCATGAGACTACTTTCTATTCCTCAGTTTTGCTTTGTCAATCCACCTGGGACCAATGGAATCTGTAAGACAGTCCTTTAAGGCATTTTACTAACATATTATTTAATGTTGGGCTTCAGAAGACACTGTATAAGAATAGTCCTGAGGAGGTGGAGCAAGATGGCTGAATAGAAGCCTCCACCAATGAAACAACAAATTTGACAACTATCTAAACAAAAAACCACCTTTATAATAACTAAAAATGGAGTGAGTGATCATAGTACCTGGTTTTAACTTCATATCATTGAAAGAGGCACTGAAAGGAGTGGAAAAGACAGTCTTGAATTGCCAACACCACCCATCCCACACCCCCCAGGAGCATCTATATGGCAGGATAATCTGTGCACTTGGGGGAGGGAGAGTGCAGCAATTGTGGGATTTTCCATAGGAACTCAATGCTGCCAACACCAGGCAGAACTCAGTTGATGTTCATGGAGGTAGCATTTAGACCAGCTCTAGCCAGTGGAAAAATATTCATCCCATTGGTAGGAGCTTGAGTTAATCCCCCAGGAGCAATTATGTGGCAGGGGAGAGAATCTGTGTACTTGGGGGAGGGAGAGTGTACTAATTGTGGAATTTTGCATAGGAACTCAGTGCTGCCAACCCTAGGCATAACTCAGCTGATGCTCACAGAGGTAGCATTTAGACCAGCCCTAGTCAGAGGAAAATGCTCATCCTAGTTGTCAGAGCTTGAGTTTGAGCCAGCCTTGCCACCTTGGACTAAAGTACCCTGAGGTTCTAAATAAACTTGAATGGCAGTGTAGGCCACAAGGACTGCAATTCCTTGCCAAGTCCTGGTGAGTGCTGTGTTCATCTTGGAGCCAGCGGACTTAGGGGGCACATGACCTATTGAGACACCAGCTGGTGTGGGTAAGGAAGTGCTTTTACCACTCCTTCCCCAACCCCAGGCAGCACAGCTTGGAACTCCAAAAGAGACTCCTTCCTTCCACTTGAGGAAAGGAGAGAAAAGAGTAAAGAAGACTTTGTTTTGAAACTTGGATATCAACACAGCCACAGTGAAGGATAGGGCGCCAGGCAGAGTTGTGAGGCCCTCATTTCAGGCCCTAGCTCCAGGATGGCATTGCTAGACACACCTTGTGCCAGAAGAGAACTCACTGCCCTGAAGGAAAGGACCTAGTTCTGGAAGGATTCATCACCTGCTGACTAAAGAGCCCTTGAACCCTGAATAATCAGCAGTGATAACCAGGTAGCACATGCCCTGGGCCTTGAGGGAGATCCTGAGATGTGCTGGTTTCAGGTGTGACCCTGTATATTCACAACTGTGGTGGCTATAAGAGACTCCTTCTGCTTGAGAAAAGGAGAGGGAAGAATAAAGAGTACTTTGTCTTATAGCTTAGGTATTAGCTCAACCATAGTTAGGAAGGGCATCAAGCAGGCTGTTGGGGTCCCTGACTCCAGGTCTTGGCTCTCAGATGACATTTTTGGATCTACCCTGGGCCATAGGAGAGCCCACTGCCTTGAAGGATAAGTCTCTGGCCAGGTTGCATTCACCACAAACTGACTAAAGAGCCACTTGGCCTTAAGTGAACATCAACAGTACACTCTCAGTTCTCCCTGTAGGCCTGTGGTGGTGGTGGACATGGGGAGAGACTCCTCTGCCTGGGAAAAGGGGAGGGAAGAGTGGGAAAAACTTTCTCTTGTGGTTTTGCTGCCAGCTCAGCTGCAGTAGAATACAGCACCAGGTAGATGTCTAAGGTTTCTGACTCCAGGCCCTGGTTCTCAGACAACATGTATTCCCCAGTTTCTCCTGGAGGACCTCGCTACCCTGAAGGAAAGGCCACAAGACTGGCTGGTTTCATTACCTGCTGATAGTAGGGCCTTGGGTACTTCAGTGAACACAGTGGGCTTTGGGTGAGACTCAGTGCTGTGCTGGCTTCAGGTTTGTCACAGTGCAGTTTCATGGTGGTGGCAACAGGGGTGCTGTGACACAATTTCCCCAGCTCCAGGAAGCTCAGCACAGAGAGAGACTCTATTCATTTGGGAGAAAGTAAGAGAAGAGAACAAGAGTTTCTTCCTGGTAATCCAGAGAATTCTTATGGATCTTTTGCAAGATCATCAAGGCAACACCTCTATGAGTCTGAAAGAATCACAGTGTTACTGGGATTGGCATGCCCTCTAAAGCAGATACAGCTTAGATCACAACACCCAGGTACCTTCAAATACCTGAAAAGCCTTCCCAATAAGGATGGATACAAATAAACCCAGACTGTGAAGAGTACAATAAATACCTAATTCTTCAGTATCCAGACATTGATGAACATCCATTAGCATTTAAGGCCGTCCAAAAAAATGTGACCTCACCAAATGAACTAAATAAGGCATCAGGGACCAATCCCAGAAAGATAGAGATATGTGATGTTTCAGACAGAATTCAAAATAGCTGTTTTGAGGAAACTCAAAGAAATGCAAGATAACCCAGAGAGAAATTCAAAATCTTTTTTTTCTAATTTGATTGTACTGTGGTCTGAGAGACTGTTATGATTTCAGTTATTTTGCATTTGCTAAGGAGTGCTTTACTTCCAATCACGGGATCTATTTTAGAGTAAGGACCATGTGGTGATGAGAAGAATGTATATTGTGTTATTTTTGTGTGGAGTGTTCTGTAGATATCTCTCAGGTCCATTTGATCCAGTGCTGAGTTCAGGTCCTGAATGTCTTTGTAATTTTCTATCTTGATGATCTGTCTAATATTGTCAGTGGGATGTTAAAGTCTCTCACTAGTGTTATGTCGGAGTCTAAGTCTCTTTGAAGTTCTCTAAAAACTTGCTTTATGAATCTCAGTGCTCCCCTGTTGGGTGGATATATATTAGGATAGTTAGCTCTCCTTGTTGAATTGAACACTTTACCATTATTTAATGCCTTTCTTTGTATCTTTTCATCTTTGTTTGTTTAAAGTCTGTTTTGCCAGAAACTAGGATTGCAACGCCTGCTTTTTTCTGTTTTCCACTTGCTTGGTAGATTTTTCTCCATCCTTTTATTTTGAGCCTATGTATGTCATTGTATGTGAGATGAGTCTCTGGAAGACAGTATACCAATGGGTCTTGTTTTTTTTTTATCCAGCTTTCCACTCTGTCTTTCCCTGGGTCCATTTAAATTTAAGGTTAGTATTGATATGTGGGGATTTGATCTTATCATGATGTTAGCTGGTCATTTTGCACGCTTGTTTATGTGATTGATTTACAGTGTCACTGGTCTTGTGTACTTCATTGTGTTTTTGCAGTGGCTGCTAACAGTCTTTTCTTTCCATATTTAGTGCTTACTTCAGGAGCTCTTGTAAGTCAGGTCTGACGGTAACCAGTTCTCTCAGCTTTTGCTTTTCTGAAAATAATTTTATTTATCCTTCACTTATGAAGCTGAGTTTGGCCAGATATAAAATTTTGGGTTGGAATTTATTTTCTCTAAGGATGTTGACTATTGGCCCCCTATCTCTTCTGGCTTACAGGGATTCAGCTGAGAGGCCCACTGTTAGTCTGATAAGCCTCCCTTTGTAGGTTACCTGGCCTTCCTCTCTGTCTTTCGTTAACACTTTTATTTCATTTTGATCTTGGAGTATCTGATGATTATGTGTCTTGGGGAGGATCTTCTCGTGGAGTATTTTACTGGGATTCTCTGCATTTTCTGAATTTGAGTGTTGGCCTCACTAGCTAGGTTGAGGAAGTTGTCATGGATGTTATCCTAAAATATATTTTTCAAGTAGTTTTCATGCTCCCCATCTCTTTCAAGTACATCAATCAGTCATAGATTCAGTATCTTTACATAATCCTGTATTTCTTGGAGGTTTTGTTCATTCATTTTCATACTTTTTTATGTATTTTTATCTGCCTGTCTTATTTCAGAAATTCAATCTACACTTTCTGAGGTTTCTTCCTCCACTTGATCTATTCTGCTATTAATATTTGTGATTTCATTATGTAATTCTTTTAGTGTATTTTTCAGCTCTATCAGGTCAGTTACATTCTTCTCTATACCGGCTATTTTGTCTGTCAGCTCCTGCAATGTTTTATCATGATTTTTAGCTTTCTTGCTTTGGGTTACAACATAGTCCTGTAGCTCAATGAACTTCATCCCAATCTACATTCTGAATTCTACTTCTGTTATTTTAGCCATCTCAGCCTCAGCCCAGTTATGATCTTTTGCTGGACAGATAATGTCATTTGGAGGAAAGAAGACACTCTGCGCTGACTCTTTCTCATCTTTGTGGGCTTATCTACCTTCAGTCTTTGAGGTTGCTGATCTTTGGATTTATTTTTTTGTAATTTTAACAGTCTGGCCCCTTTTTCATATGGTTGCTGCAGTATGTTGGGATCCACTCCAGTCTCTAGTTGCCTCAGATTTTTCAGTACTTGGAGGTATCACCAGTGAAGGCTGTGAAACAGCAAAGGTGGCAACTTTACCCTTCCTCTGGGAGTTTTGTCCAGGGAGTTACAGATCTTTTGCTAGCCGGAATGCACTGGTGGGAGGTGGCTGGAGACCCTGGATGTAAGGTCTCACCCAGTCAGGACTTGGTTAAAAATGTAGTCTGGTCACATTTTCATAGAGCAGCTGTGCTGTGCTGGGGTTCCTCTTTAGCCCCTGGTCACCACGGACACTCTGAAGCCCAATGGCTGGGCCAGCTAAGTCAACCAAAAGCAAAGATGATGGTCTGCCTCTCCTCTTGGGAGCTCCATCCCAGGGAGGCCTGAAACCTCTGTCAGCTGAAGAACACCAGTGGAGGTAGTCAGAGACCCTCATTTGGAGGCTCCAATCAGTGAAGCGGAATGGTGTCAGGAATCTGCTTAAAAAGCAATCTGGCCATGTTTTCATGGGGCCACTGTACTGTTCTGGGGTACTGCTTCCATGCCTGTTTGATTTGGGCTCTCCAAAGCCCAAAGGCTGAAACTGCTATCTCACCCAAACACCAAAGATGGCAGCTTGCCCCTCCCACTGGGAGTTCTGTCTCAGGGAGTTTTTGAATTTCTGTAGGCCAGATGACACCGGCAGGGGTGGCTGGAGGCCCTGGTTGGGAGGTTCTGCCCAGTGAGGAGGAGCTGGTTCAGGGACCTGCTTAAAGAAGCAGTGTGACCACACTTTCATAGAGCAGCTGTGCTGTGCTGGGGTATCACTTCTGCCCCAATTGTCTTTGGCTCTCCAAAGCCTGCAGGTTGGAATTGCTAAGTCACCCAAATGGCAAAGAGGGTGGCCCACCCCTCCCTCTGGAAACTCTGTCCCAGGGAATTTGAAATCTCTGTCAGCTGGAGAACACTGGCAGGGTTAACTTGAGGCCCCAGTTGGAAGGTCCTGCCTGGTGAGGAGACATAGATTGGGGACCCAATTAAAGAAGCAGTCTTGCCACGTTTTGTTAGAGTAGTTGTGCTGTACTGGGGGATCTTTTTCACCCCTGTTCAGCTTGGGCTCTCCAAAGCCTGCAGCCTGGAATGGATAAGTTGCTCAAACAATAAAGATAATGGCTCACCCATTCCCCTGGGAGCTCTGTACCAGGAAGATGCAACACTGCTACTGGTGGCTGGCTGGAATTCCAAGCCAGTGGGTCTTATCTTGTGAGGTGCCATGGAAGTGGGTACCACAGACCGTTGCTGCACTCAACCCCTTGAATTCAGCCTCTTTCCTAGGGTTGTGTAAAGAAGTCTAACTTCCCTCTTTGCTGGTGTTGCAGTTCCTTTTCCTGGAAGTCCAGGGCCAGAATATCTAAAGCTCTGGAGTTTTCATGTGTGCCTGAGCAGATGCTCTGCTGATACTCCATGTAGTTCTGTGTGTCAGACTGAAGGTCCTGGAGATGTTTGTTCACGAGGGAACCTCCTGACTCAAGGGTTGCAAATATCCATGGGATAAGAGTAGTTTCCTAGATTGCACATTCACTCATCACTTCCTGGGATGGGAGAGGTTCCCTTGGCTCCATGTCGCTCCTGGGTGGGCTGTCATTCCGCCTTGCCTTTCTCTGTTCTCTATGGGTCGAGTTGTGTCCTTGATTAGTACCAATGTAAGTACCTGGATGTTTCTGTTGAAGGAGCTGTGTTTACTTTCCCTTTTCATTCCTCTCTGTGAGAGCCACAAGCCTAAGATTCTTCTAGTCAGCCATCTGGGCCACTGTCCACTTCTTTATTCCTGTATATTTTAAAATAAATAAAAGAGTGAAATTAGATTGTTCGTAACACAAAAAATAAATGCTTAAGATGATAAGTACCTCATTTACCTTCATGTGATTATAACACTTTGTATATCTGTATCAAAATATCTGATATACCCCATAAATATATACACCTACTGGGTACAAAAAAGAATATTTCTTCAATTACATTTACTTCAAAGCTACCTTGTATACTTAGTCAGAAAGTGACATTTAGTGTATTGTATTATACATATTTATTCAACCAAACTTGCTAATTAGTTATTCAACATGCACAATATAATAGCATCAATATAGCCTAAGCCATAAAATGCCAGCACTATATAATGCCCCCCATTTTGTCCATCACATTGTAAAATGTATTTATATATCTTCATTTCATTTATTTATTTTCATTCATATATTTTTCCAGCTGTATTGAGGTATGAGTGACACGGATATTATATATTTAAGATGTATGAAATAATTTTTAATATGCATATATTGTATGAAATAATCACATTAATCTAATTAAATTATCCATCACCTCGATAAGTTATCATTTTAAAAATCATTAATTTTTACATTTTAAAACTTAAAGTATAGCTGACAAATAAAAATTGTACATATTTATGGTGTAAAATGTAATGTTCTCATGTATGTATACATTGTGAAATTGCTACATGAAACTAATTAACATTTTATCACCTCACATCTTTATTTTTTGTTGTAGTAACATTTAAGATCTACTCTCTTAACAATTATCAAGTGTACAACGCATTATTATTAACTATAGTCCCCATGCTGTAATAAAGATCGCCTGAACTTATTCATCCTAACTGAAACTTTGCACCGTTTAAGCAACATCTCCTCATCACCCAACCTCACTCCTACCTGCTGACAACCAGCATCCTACCCTCTGCTTTCATATATTTGATTTTCATTAGATTTCACATGTAAGTGAGACCATGCAGTATGTATGTTTCTGTATCTGGCTTATTTCACTTAGCATAAACGTCTCCAGTTTCAATTTTTTGTTGCAAATAGCAGAATTTCATTCTTTTTAAAGGCTGAATAATATCCTATTGTATTTATATAACACATTTTCTTTATCTGTTTATCTGTTGACAGACACATAGGTTCTTTCACATCTTGGTTATTATAAATAATCCTGCAATAAACATGGGAGTGCAGACATCTCTCCAAGATAGTGATCTTATTTCCTTTTAATGTATACCTGAAAGTGGGATTCCTGGATTATAAGGTAATTCTATTTATAATTTTTTTTGGGAAGCTCTGTACTGCTTTCCATAATGGCTGTACCTCTTTACACGCTCATCAACAGTGCATAAGGGTCCCCTTTTCTCTACATTCTTGCCAACTGTTATCCTTGGACATTTTTTTGATAACAGCCATTCTAACAGGTTAAGAGGTGATATCTCATTGTGGATTTTGATTTGCAATTCCCTGATGATTAATGATGCTGAGCATCTTTTCTTATACCTGTTGGTCATATTTATGACTATTTTGGAAAAATGCCTGTTTGGGTCTTTTGCTTATTTTAAAATTGGGTTATTTATTTATTATGCTATTTAATTGCCTGAGTTCCTGACGTATTTTGAATATTAACTCCTTACTGTATATATGGCTTGCAAATATTTTCTTTCATTCCATAGGTTGCCTTTTTCATTTTGTTGGTTGTTTCTTTTGTTGAGCAGAAACTTTTTGGTTTGATGTAGTTTCACTTGTCTATTTTTACTTTTGTTTGTTTTGCTTCTGATGTTATATTAAAAAATTATTTCTAAGAGCAATGTCAAGGAGATTTTTCCCTATGATTTTTTTTCAAGGAGTTTTTACAGTTTTAGGTCTTAGGTTTAAACTTTTAATCCAGTTTGAGTTAATTTTTGTGTATAGAGTAAGATAAATGTCCAGTTTTATTCTATTGCAAGTGGATATTCAGTTTTCTCAGTACAATTTATTGAAGAGACTATCTTTTATCCACTCTATATTTTTGGCATCTTTTTCAAAGATTATTTGACCACATATGAGTCAATTTATTTCTGGTCTTCTTATTCTGTTTCACTGATCTGTATGTGTGCTTTTAACCACTACCATACTGTTTCAATTACTATAACTTTGTAATATAGTTTGAAATCAGAACTATGATGCCTCCAGCCTTTTTCCTTCTTGCTCAAGATTGCTTTAGCTACTTGGTAGTGATCATAATTCCATACAAATTTTAGGACTGATTTTTCTGCTTCTGTAATAATTGCCATTGGAATTTTGATAGGAATTGCATTGAATCTGTAGTGTGCTTTGGGAAGTATGGATTTTTGATACTATTGATTTTTCTGAACTATGAACATGAGATATCTTTTTATTCATTTGTGCCTTCAATTTTATCAATTATAGTTTTCATTGTACAGGTCTTTTACTTCCTTGGTTTATTTCTAAATATTTTATTATTTTGGATGTTTTTGGAAATAAGATTATTTTCTTAATTTCTTTTTTGGATGCTTGTTAGTGTATATGAACACACCTTATTTTTGTATGTTAATTTTGTATCCCACAACTTTACTGAGTTGGTGGGTCTGTTTTTGAGTTTACTGAGTGAGTTTGGTGGAGTCTGTTGCACTTTCTACATGTAATATCACAGCATCTGCAAACAGACACCTTTACTTCTTTCTGTCAGTTTTGGATGCCATTTATTTATTTTTCTTGACTAATTGCGCTGGACAGCACTTTTAATATTGTGTTGAATACAAGTGACCAGAGTAGGCCTCTTTATCTTGCCCCTGATCTTAGAGGAAATTATTTCAGTTTTAAATTTTTGAGTATAATTTTACCTTTGGGCTTTGATATATGGCCTTTATCTACTGAGGTACATTGCTTCTATACCTATTTTGTTGAGTTTTGTTTTATTATGAAAGGATGTCTTATTTTGTCATTTTTTTCTGCATTTATTGAGATGATTATGTGACTTTTACCCTTATTCTTTTTTTGTTTGTTTGTTTTTGAGATGGAGTCTCACTCTGTTGCTGAGGTTGGAGTGCAGCTGTGTGATCTTGGCTTTCTGTAACCTCTGCCTCCTGGGCTCAAGCAATTCTCCCATCTCAGCCTCCTAAGTAGTTTCAACTACAGATACATGCCACCAAGCCTGGCTAATTTTTGTATTTTTAGTAGAGATGAGGTTTCACCATGTTGCCCATGGTGGTCTTGAACCCCTGAACTTAAGCAATCCACCCACCTCAGCCTCCAAAAATGCTGATATTACAAGTGTCAGCCACTGTGCCCAGCCTAATTTTTATCCTTATTCTGTTAATATGGTGTATCACATTTATAAATTTGAATCTGTCAAGTCATTTTCAATCCCAGGAACAAATCTTACTTGAGTATGTTTTATAATCCTTTTAATATGCTGCTGAATGTCATTTGCTATGTTTTTTTTTTAAGGACTTTTATGTTTATGTTTGTCAGGGATATTGGCTTGCTATTTTTTATAGTGTTATTTTCTATTTTTGGTATGGAGGTAATATTGGCCTTGTAAGATGAGTTTGGAAGTGTTTCTACCTCTTCACTTTATTTGGGAGAGTTTGAGAGAACTCAATATTAGTATTAGGTATTCCTTAAATGTTTGGTAAAATTAACCAGTGAAGTGATTTTGTCTTGGGTTTACTTTGTTGGGATATTTTTGAGTACTGTTTTAATCTTACCTGTCATTTGTTTTTTCAGATTATTTAATTCTTCATGATTCAGTCTTGGTGAATTGTCTGTTTCTAGTAATTTATCCATTTCTTCTAGGTTCTTTGATATATTGGCATATAATTATTCATACTAGACTCTAATGTTTCTTTTTATTTTTGTGGTATCAATTATAATATCTCCTCTTCATTTTCATTTTATTTATTTGAGTCTTATCTCTTTTTAAATTCTAGCTAAAGTTTGTTAATTTTATGTTGAGTCTTATCTCTTTTTTTTACTGTAGCTAAAGTTTGCTAATTTTATGTTTTCCAAAAATCAACTCTTAGTTTATTGATCTTTTCTATTGTTTCTCTAGTTATTATTTTAACTTGCTTCTGTTCTGATCTTTGTTGTTTTCTTCATTTTGTTATGTTTGGGCCTAGTTTGTTCTTTTTTTAGCTCTTTGAGGAGTAAGTTATTTTTGAGTTCTTTATTTTTCTTAATGTCAGCATGTATTTCTATAAACTTTCATCTTATAACTGCTTATGCTACATCCCATAAGTTTTGATTTGGTATGTTTCTATTTTTGTTTGTCTCAGGATATTTTTTAATTCTACTTTTGATTTATTTGACTCATTGGTTGTTCAGGAACATGTTGAATTTTTACATTTTTGTGATTTTTTTGCTTCTCATCGATTTCTAGTTTTATATCATTTTAGTCATAAAGGATACTTGATATAATTTCAGTCTCTTTAGATTTGTTAGGACTTGTTTTGTGTCCCAACATATAATCAATCCTGAGAATGTTCTGTGTGTGCCGCAAATAATATGTCTTCTGTTGTTGTTGGATGGAATATTTTCTATATGTTGGGTGTATTTGGTCTACAATGTTCAATTTTACTGTTTCCTCATTGATTTTTTTTCTTGAAGATCTGTTCATTGCTAAAAGTGAAGTATTGAAGCCTCCTACTATTATTGTACTGCAGTCCAGCTCCCCCTTCAGATCTATTAATATTTGCTTAATATATTTCAGTGCTCTGATGTTAGGTGCATATTTGCCTCTTGTGACAATTTTTGTCTTAAAGTCTATTTAGTCTGATGGAGGTATAGCTATCTCTCCTCTCTTTGATTACCATTTGCATAGCATATCCTTTTCCATCTCTTAAATTTCAGCCTATTTGTATTCTTACAAGTGAAGCAAGTCTCTTGTAGTCAGCATAGAGTTGGGTCCTGCTTTTTGCTTTTAAATATCTTTCAAGCCACTATAAATCTTTATATTGGAGAACTTAATTTATATACATTTGAAGTGCTTATTGATAGGTAAGGACTTACTATTGCTATTTTGTTGTTTTATAGTTTTTTCCCCTCTCTTGCTGTCTTCCTTTGTGATTTGATACCTTTTATTTTGCTGCTATACATTGACTTATTTATCTTTTATGTATCACTATAGGTTTATGAATATTGGTTACCATGAAGCTTACATAAAGGATCTTATAGTTGTAACAATCTACTTTATGCTGATAACAGCTTAACTTATTTTTTTTTGCTTTTTGATTGCCTGCTTAGGATTTTAACAGCTTAATTTTTATCACATACAAAAACTCAATACTTTTATGTCTCCCTTCACATTTTATGTTATTGATATCATAAATAACATAACATACAACATCAGTAACAATGTTACATCAGGAGTTTACATTTTTCATATTATGCATCCTTTGTCAAGTTATTGTAAATAAAATTATTTTTAATACTTTTGTCATTTAACCTATGCAGTAGCATTGATAGTGATTTTCACACCACCATTAGGTATAGGGAATTCTGAATTTGAGTGTATACTTATCTTTATCAGTGTGTTTCATACTATCATATGTTTTTATATAACTAGTTGGTGTTGTTTCAATTTAGCTTGAATAACTCTTTTTAGCATATTATGTAAGGCAGCTCTACTGGTGATGAACTCCCTCAGGTTTTGTTTGTCTGGGAAAGTCTTTATATCTCCCTCATTTTGTAAGGCAGATTTAACAGGTTATGTATTATTGGTTTGCAAGCTTTTCTTTTCTCTTTCAACACTTTTAACATATTATTCTACTCTCTCCTGATCTGTAGTGTTTCTGCTGAGAAATTTTCTAGTAGTCTTACAGGGATTTTCTTGTATGTGACTAGTGTCTTTTCTCTTGCTCCTTTCAAAATATTCACTTTGAATGCATATGCACTGCTGCTTGGAATGTAAATTAGTCCAACCACTGTGGAAAACAGTTTGGTGATTTCTAAAATAATTTAGAAGTACCATTTGACTCAGAAATCCCATTACTGGTTATGTACTCTAAAGAATATAAATCATTTTATCATAAAGACACATGCACACATATGTTCACTGCAGCACTATTAACAATAAGAAAGACATGGAATCAACCTGGATTCCCATTAATAGTAGACTCAACAAAGAAAACGTGATACATTTACACCACAGAATATTATGCAACCATAAAAAGAATGAAATAATGCCATTTGCAGCAACATGAATGCAGCTGGAAGTCATTATCCAAAGTGAATTAATGTAGGAATGAAAAACCAAATACTGCATGTTCTTACTTGTAAGAGAGAGACATTGGGAGCTAACCATTGGGTACACAGGGACACAAGAAAGGAAACAATAGACACCAGTACCTACTTAGGGATGGAGGGTGGAAGGAGGGTGAGGATCAAAAAATTACCAAACAGGTACTATGCCCATTACCTGGATGACAGAATAATCTGTACACCAAACCCCCATGACAGGCAGTTTACCTATGCAACAAACCTGCACATGAACCCCCTGAACCTAAGCTAAAACATGGAAAGACAAAAACAAAACAAAATAATATGTTTCTTTTATTATAATTTGATAATAATGTGTCTCAACAAAGTCCTCTTTGGGTTGCACTTATTTATACACTTTCAGATTCATGTATGTACCTGGATGTCACTTCTCAGATTTGGGAAGATTTTAGCCATTATTTCTTTCAATAAGCTTTTGCCTCTTTCCCTATCTTTTCTGTCAATCACTCCTATAATCTAAAAATTAGTTCTCTTGATGGTGCCCATCATTTCTATAGGCCTCCTTCTTTCTTTTTCATTCCTCTTCTTATTGGATAACTTCAAATGACCTATCTTTGAGTTTACAGATTCTTTCTGTGGAAAGATTTTTTCTTTGTGCAGTTTTTTGAGGCTTGAAATCTGTGGGTTTCATCATAGAATAATCTAACTTGAGCTTTTCCTTAAGAAATACCCAATGCTGACACTTGGAGGTGGAGCCAAGATGGCCAAAGAGAAACAGCTCCAGTCTACAGCTCCCAGCATGAGTGACACAGAAGATGGGTGATTTCTGCATTTCCAACTGAGGTACTGGGTTCATCTCACAGGGGAGTGTCCGACAGCAGGTGCAGGACAGTGGGTGCAGTGCACTGAGCATGAGCCAAAGCAGGGTGAGGCATTACCTCACCCAGGAAGCATAAGGGGTCAGGGAATTCCCTTTCCTAGTCAAAGAAAGAGGTGACAGATGGCACCCAGAAAATAGGGTCACTCCCACCCTAATACTGCACTTTTCCAATGGTCTTAGCAAACAGCACACCAGGAGATTATATCCCGTGCATGGCTCGAGGGTCCTACTCCCAAGGAGCCTCACTCATTACTAGCACAGCTGTCTGAGATCAAACTGCAAGATGGCAGCGAGGCTGGGGGAGGGGCACCTGTCATTGCCGAGGCTTGAGGAGGTAAACAGAGGACTGGAAGCTTGAACTGGGTGGAGTCCACTGCAGCTCAAGGAGGCCTGACTGCCTCTGTAGACTCCACCTCTAGGGGCAGGGCATAGCCAAACAAAAGGCAACAGAAACCTCTGCAGACTTAAATGTCAGTGTCTGACAGCTTTGAAGAGAGTAGTGTTTCTCCCAGCATGCAGCTTGAGATCTGAGAATGGACAGATTGCCTCCTCAACTGGGTCCCTGAGCCTGAGTAGCCTAACTGGGAGGCATCCCCCAATAGGGGCAGACTGACACCTCACAGGGCCAGGTACTCCTCTGAGACAAAACCTCCAGAGGAACGATCAGGCAACAACATTTGCTGTTCACCAATGTCTGCTGCTCGACAGCCTCCACTGCTGATAGCCAGGCAAACAGGGTCTGGAGTGGACCTCTGGCAAACTCCAACAGACCTGCAGCTAAGGGTCCTGACTGTTAGAAGGAAAACTAACAAACAAGAAATCCACACCAAAACACCATCTGTACAGCACCATCATCAAAGACCAAAGGTAGATAAAACCACAAAGATGGGGAAAAAACAGAGCAGAAAAACTGGAAACTCTAAAAATCAGAGCACCTGTCCCCCTCCAAAGGAATGCAGCTCCTCACCAGCAACAGAACAAAGCTGGACAGAGAATGACTTTGATGAGTTGAGAAAAGAAGGCTTCAGATGATCAAACTCCTCCAAGCTAAAGGAGGAAGTTTGAACCCATGGCAGAGAAGTTAAAAACCTTCAAAAAACAATAGACGAATGGCTAACTAGAATAACCAATGCAGAGAAGTCCTTAAAGGACCTGATGGAGCTGAAAACCAAGGCACAAGAACTATGAGACAAATGCACAAGCCTCAGTAGCCAATTTGATCAACTGGAAGAAAGGGTATCAGTGATGGAAGATCAAATCAATGAAATGAAGCAAGAAGAGAAGTTTAGAGAAAAAAGAATAAGAAGAAATGAACAAAGCCTCCAAGAAATATGGAACTATGTGAAAAGACCAAATCTACGTCTGATTGGTGTACCTGAAAGTGATGGGGAGAATGGAACCAAATTGGAAAACACTCTGCAGGATATTATCCAGGAGAACTTCCCCAATCTTGCAAGGCAGGCCAACATTCAAATTGAGGAAAGACAGAGAATGCCACAAAGATACTCCTTGAGAAGAGCAACTCCAAGACACATAATTTTCAGATTCACCAAAGTTGAAATGAAGGAAAAAATGTTAAGGGCAGCCAGAGAGAAAGGTCGGGTTACCCACAAAGGGAAGCCCATCAGACTAACAGCTGATGTCTCAGCAGAAACTCTACAAGCCAGAAGAGAGTGGGGTCCCATATTCAACATTCTTAAAGAAAAGAATTTTCAACCCAGAATTTCATATCCAGCCAAACTAAGCTTCATAAGTGAAGGAGAAATAAAATACTTTACAGACAAGCAAATGCTGGGAGATTTTGCCACCAACAGGCCTGCCCTAAAAGAGCTCCTGAAGGAAGCACTAAACACGGAAAGGAACAACCAGTATCAGCCACTGCAAAAACATGCTAAATTGTAAAGACCATCAAGCCTAGGAAGAAACTGCCTCAACTAATGAGCAAAATAATCAGCTAACATCATAATGACAGGATCAAATTCACACATAACAATGTTAACCTTAAATGTAAATGGGCTAAATATCTACAACTATCTGATCTTTGACAAACCTGACAAAAACAAGAAATGGGGAAAGAATTTCCTATTTAATAAATGGTGCTGGGAAAACTGGCTAGCCATATGTAGAAAGCTGAAACCGGATCCCTTCCTTACACCTTATACAAAAATTAATTCAAGATGGATTAAAGACTTACATGTTAGACCTAAAACCATAAAAATCCTAGAAGAAAACCTAGGCAATACCATTGAGGACATAGGCACGGGCAAGGACTTCATGTCTAAAACACCAAAAGCAATGGCAACAAAAGCCAAAATTGACAAATCGGATCTAATTCAACTAAAGAGCTTCTGCACAGCAAAAGAAACTACCAACAGAGTGAACAGGCAACCAACAGAATGGCAGAAAATTTTTGCAATCTACTCATCTGACAAAGGGCTAATATCCACAATCTACAATGAACTCCAACAAATTTACAAGAAAAAACAAAGAACCCCATCAAAAAGTGGGCAAAGGATATGAACAGATACTTCTCAAAAGAAGACATTTATGTAGCCAAAAGACACATGAAAAAATGCTCATCATTACTGGCCATCAGAGAAATGCCAATCAAAACCACAATGAGATACCATCTCACATCGGTTAGAATGGCGATCATTAAAAAGTCAGGAAACAACAGGTGCTGGAGAGGATGTGGAGAAACAGGAACACTTTTACACTGTTGGTGGGACTGGAAACTAGTTCAACCCTTGTGGAAGTCAGTGTGGGGATTCCTCAGGGATCTAGAACTAGAAATACCATTTGACCCAGCCATCCCATTACTGGGTATATACCCAAAGGATTATAAATCATGCTGCTATAAAGACACATGCACACATATGTTTATTGTGGCACTATTCACAATAGCAAAGACTTAGAACCAACCCAAAAGTCCAACAATGAAAGACTGGATTAAGAAAATGTGGCACATATACACCATGGAATACTATGTAGCCATAAAAAACGATGAGTTCATGTCCTTTGTAGGGACATGGATGATGCTGGAAACCATCATTCTCAGCAAACTATCGAAGGACAAAAAACAAAACACCACATGTTGTCACTCATAGGTGGGAATTGAACAATGAGAACACATGGACACAGGAAGGGGAACATCACACACCAGGGCCTGTTGTGGAGTGGGGGGAGGGGGGAGGGATATCATTAGGAGATATACCTAATGCTAAATGACGAGTTAATGGGTGCAGCACACCAACATGGCACAGGTATACATGTGTAACAAACCTGCACGTTGTGCACATGTACCCTAAAGCTTAAAGTATAATAAAAAAATAAAAATAAAAGTAAACTGAAAAAAAAAGAAAAAAAAAAGGAAATACTCAATGTCAGTACCTAACATCTTTCTTTATGGATGAGTCAAATTCTCCACATAAATCTCTCAAAATCTCCTGTCTTATGAAAAATGTCTCATTCTATTATTTAACTGGATTTTTGGAAGGAGATGAAGGTAAATGTATTTACTCCTTCATCTTTACCCAGAAGGGAAAATTGGTATATTTATAAGCATGTTGATGGGCAGTGGTATTCTCTTTACCACTGGACACGTTCTGTAATTTTTAATACTTCCAGGAAAAACATAAACTTATCCTTTTGAAATGGTCAATGATAGTGTCTGGGAATGGGTTGAAGATGTTGTGTATACCTTAGCTGGTAATAGCTGAATGACAAGGCTTGCTTCTAGCATTACTAGAAAGAGAATACAACCTGTGTTTCTAACCAGCAGAGGACAAATAATAAAAGCAAAGAATGAATGAAGTCCGGTGGATTACTTTCTCTTCGGACCTTGTGAACATTTGTAATGCTTGTACTTTGTGCATTGTTGTTCCCTAGACAAATAATTGGTCTGAATGAGAACTTAACCTAGGTAGATAGGAATCCATTCAACAAATATTTATTGCATTCCTACTTTGTATTTATTTTCCAAAGAAATAGTTATTGTATACTTACATATGCCAGGCACCATTCTAGGCCATGGAGATATAATAATAAAGATATCAAAATTATGCCTTTATGGCAGTTACTAAGTGCTAGACACTGTTCTAGTGGTAGGGAATACAATGTTGAACAAGATTTACACCGTCCTTATTCTTGCATAGTGTAAATTCTAGTTTGTTATGGGAGCACACTGATAATAAACAAGGAAAAAATGTTAATGATCAACGTTAAGGTTAAAGAAAACAAGATGATATGATATAGAGTACCTAGTTGACATTAAGCTGAGATCCAAATGACAAGAAAACTCAGCTAAGTGAAATCTAGCGGAGGTACCTTTACAGACAGAGGGAACAACTACAGTGAGTGTCACATGTAAGTGGGACAGAGAGGCCAGTATGGAGGAAGCATAGTGATAAAGAGAGAGTGACATGAGATGAAATGGGTAGGGACAGATTATGTAGGGTCTAGTTAATTGTATTAAAATGTTTAATGTTATTCTGAGAATAGTATTAAGCTATTGGACATCTTTAAATAAAAAATTAAATGATCCAAGTTATATTTTAAAAGAATGACTGACAGCTCTTGGAGAATAGTGGGGCAAGAATATATGCAGGGAGACATATGAGAAGGCTGTTGTGGTAATCTAGGTAAGAAAAATAATTTTTGTAAAGTGTTAGCAGTGGATATAGAGGGAAGTAGTTGGATTTGGGATATGTCTTCAAGGATTAATTTATAGCAAAATCTTATGAATCAGATGTAACCCATATGAAAAGTAAAGAATCAAGGATGACTCCTTTTTTGCCTTATTTCCTGACATGGGTAAAACTTGAGGAGGGGCAAGTTTTGTGTGTTTGGTGGGGGGAACAAGAGTTCTGTGTTGGAAACATTGAGTTTGAGATGGCTATTGAAGGTGCAAGTGGTGAGGTCAATTAAGTAGTTGAATATACCAGTCTGTATTTAGAAATATAGTTAAAATATACAACTCACCCTTATATAGTTGGTCTATATAAAGCCAAAGGATTGGATAAGGTTTTCTGGGAAGAGAATGTGAATAAACAAGAGAAGTATCCTGGGACCATACCTGAGGACATACCGACATTTAGACATGGAGCAAAGAAAGAGAAACTAGTAAAGAAAAATGAAAAGGAGATGCAAGGGAATTAGGAGAAGACCAGGTGAACATGGTGCCAAGAAGATGAGAACAAAATACTTCAGGAAAAAGAATAGAGATTAACCATATAGAAGACCAGAGGTTTCTACCCATTAGTACTATGGATGCCATTAGTGATTTTGAGTAATTTTAGTAGAATTTTGGAAACATAAGCCCAGTTCGAGTGGGTTAAGTTTAGAAACAGAGGTAAGAAAGTAGGAGACAGTGACTTTAGACAATACTTTGAAGAAATTTTCCTGTGATAATGAGCAGAAAATTTGGGCAGTAACAGAAAGTGTGCTGGGTCTTGAGAGGGTTCATTTTTTTTTCTTGTTTGTGTACTGGTGGGAAGGAACCACTAGGGAAGAATAAATTGGTTATGCAGGAAAGAAAGCTCAGATTACAGAAGATCTCAAGCTAGAAAAAAACTTGAGGACTTCAGATAGACCATTAAAAAATCCTTTGGGGTTTCCCTGTATTCAGCCCATGCCATGATTTCTTTCATTATTCTACTCCTTTTACCTCGGCACCTCTAATTTTCATAATAAAGAACACGGCAGTCCTGCTCCGTAATTTCTACCAGGCCTGAAGTATAATCACTGCTTTTGACTTGCTCAACCAACTTTTTAGTACTGCAAACTTTACAAAGTGGGTCCTTTTGGGGCTAACAGTGTTATCTGTGGACTTTTAAGAGGGTGTCCTAAATCAGATACAGGCACTGTCGACATAGATTTATGACATGTGGTCTCTATAATGTTCTACATGTGCATTTAAGCCTTACATATTTTGTGACCTAATAAAGAGATAGTCATTTAAATGATAATAATACTAATTACCATTTACTGGGTGGTTACCATGTGCCAGAAACTATGTTGAGTTATATATGCATCATATATATATATATCTACAACAAATTTAATATATATATATGGATATATACATATATATATGGATATATATATATACATATATATATATATATATGTATATATATATATATATCCCTACAACAAATTTAATACATTGGTACTTATATTAGTCCATTTTCACACAGCTATAAAGATACAAACTAATACAGGTAATTTATAAACAAAAGAGGCTTGACTCACAGTTCTACGTGGCTGGGAAGGCCTCATAAATCTTACAATCAGGGCAGAAGGCAAAGAAGAAGCAAGGCATCCTTACGAGGTGGCAGGAGAGAGAGAGAACGAAGGGAAAAGCGCCCATTTTAAATCCTTAGATCTCGTGAGAACTCACTATCATAAGAAGAGCATGGGGGAAATCATACCCATGATCTAATCACATCCCACCAGGTTCTTTCCTTGATACATGGGGATTAAAATTCGAGATGAGCTTTGGGTGGGGACACAGAGCCAAACCATGTCATTCTGCCCCTAGCCACTCCCAAATCTCACGTCTTTTTCACATTTCAAAATCAATCATGGGTTCTCAACGTTCCCCAAAATCTTAACAAATTCCAGCATTAACTCTAAAGTTCAAGTTCAAAGTCTCATCTAAGACAAGGCAAGTTCCTTCCACCTATGAGCATGCAAAATCAAAAACAAGTTAGTTACTTCCAAAATACAATAAAGGTACAGGCATTGGGTAAATGTTCCCATTGCAAATGGGAAAAATTGGCCAAAACAAAGGGGCCATACGCCCCTTGCAAGTCTGAAACCTGGCTGGGCAGGCATTAAATCTTAAAGCTCCAAAATCTCCTTTGATTCCATGTCTCACATCCAGGGTATGTTGATGCAAGGAGTGGGCTCTTACAGCCTTGGGCAGCTCTGCTTCTATGGCTCTGCAGGGTATAGCCCCTGTGGCTGCTTTCATGGGCTGGTGTTGAGTACCTGCAGCTTTTCCAGGAGCATGGTGAAAGCTGTCAGTGGATCTACTTTTCCAGCCCTCTTCTCACAGCTCCACTAGGCAGTGCCCTACCTGTGGAGTCTCTCCAACTCCACATTTCCCTTCCACACTGTCCTAGCAGAGGTTCTCCATGAGGGTTCTCCCCTTGCAGCAGACTTCCGCCTGGACATCTGAGCATTTCCATACATCCTCTGAAATCTAGGCAGAGGCTCCCAAAGCTCAACCCTTGTCTTCTGTGCACCTGCAGGCACAACACCAAATGGTGGTTACCAAGGCTTGGGGCTTGCGTGCTCTGAAGCAATGGGCTGAGCTGTACCTTGGTCCCTTTCAGCCATAACTGTAGCTGGAGTGGCTGTGACTCAGGGCACTGAGTCCTGAGGTTGTACAAAACCATTTCTCTGTCATATAATATCAGTACTATTATTGTTTCCATTTTACAAATCAGAAAACTGGTATATACCTCAGCTTAGTGTGCCACACCTTACACTGTGTAATACAAGAAAACTTTTCGGTTTGACTATGAAATTTATGTACTTAATTGCTGAAATATCTTCCTTTATTTATTCTAAGGGACTGACTAGGCTCAGCACACTCATGGCAATTCAAATCCTTAACTAAATTTGAAAAATGCAAATTTGATCAGGCCATTGTTATGATTTTGGTACAGACTATCTCCCCCTAGATTATTGTGATGGGCTCCCAACAAATTAATACATATTAGAGCTTCATATGTCACTAAACCCCAAGAGTTCGAACATTTCTTTGGAGTCTCATAAGATTTTGGAAAAATCACCTTATAGTTCTTCGATTTGACTAACAAAACCCTTTTGAAAATGCTATAGATAACTGGTCTTTTTTTTTTTCTGCTTTAAAGCAAAAAAGTTTATTTCTTGCTCACTCACATTTGTGTTCACTGCAGGTAAACTGTGTCTTCGTGGACTTTATCTCATGACCCAGGCTGAAGGAGCAGCCTCCGTCTGGAATATTTCTTTTTTTTTTTTTTTAATCATACTTTAAGTTTTAGGGTACATGTGCGCAATGTGCAGGTTAGTTACATATGTATACATGTGCCATGTTGGTGTGCTGCACCCATTAACTCGTCATTTAACATTAGGTATATCTCCTAATGATATCCCTCCCCCCTCCCTCCACCCCACAACAGGCCCCGGTGTGTGATGTTCCCTTTCCTGTGTCCATGTGTTCTCATTGTTCAATTCCCACCTATGAGTGACAACATGTGGTATTTAGCTTTTTGTCCTTGTGATAGTTTGCTGAGAATGATGGTTTCCAGCATCATCCATGTCCCTACAAAGGACATGAACTCATCATTTTTTATTGCTGCATAGTATTCCATGGTGCATATGTGCCACATTATCTTAATCCAGTCTATCATTGTTGGACATTTGGTTTGGTTCCAAGTCTTTGCTATTGTGAATAGTGCCGCAATAAACATATGTGTGCATGTGTCTTTATAGTAGCATGATTTATAATCCTTTGGGTATATACCCAGTAATGGGATGGCTGGGTCAAATGGTATTTCTAGTTCTAGATCCCTGAGGAATCGCCACACTGACTTCCACAATGGTTGAACTAGTTTCCAGTCCCACCAACAGTGTAAAAGTGTTCCTATTTCTCCACATCCTCTCCAGCACCTGTTGTTTCCTGGCATTTTAATCATCGCCATTCTAACTGGTGTGAGATGGTATCTCATTGTGGTTTTGATTGGCATTTCTCTGATGGCCAGTAATGATGAGCATTTTTTCATGTGTCTTTTGGCTGTATAAAAGTATTCTTTTGAGAAGTATCTGTTCATATCCTTCGCCCACTTTTTGATGGGGTTGTTTTTTTCTTGTAAATTTGTTGGAGTTCATTGTAGATTGTGGATATTAGCCCTTTGTCAGGTGAGTAGATTGCAAAAATTGTCTGCCATTCTGTAGATTGCCAGTTCACTCTGATGGAAGTTTCTTTTCCTGTGCAGAAGCTCTTTAGTTTAGTTAGATCCCATTTGTCAATTTTGTCTTTTGTTGCCATTGCTTTTGGTGTTTTAGACATGAAGTCCTTGCCCATGCCTACGTCCTGAATGGTATTGCCTAGGTTTTCTTCTAGGGTTTTTATGGTTTTAGGTCTAACATGTAAGTCTTTAATCCATCTTGAATTAATTTTCGTATAAGGTGTAAGGAAGGGATCCAGTTTCAGCTTTCTACCTATGGCTAGCCAGTTTTCCCAGCAACATTTACTAAATAGGGAATCCTTTCCCCATTTCTTGTTTTTGTCAGGTTTGTCAAAGATCAGATAGTTGTAGATAAGCAGCATTATTTCTGAGGGCTCTGTTCTGTTCTATTGGTCTATATCTCTGTTTTGGTACCAGTACCATGCTGTTTTGGTTACGTAGCCTGTAGCATAGTTTGAAGTCAGGTAGCATGATGCCTCCAGCTTTGTTCTTATGGTTTAGGATTGACTTGGCAATGTGGGCTATTTTTTGGTTCCATATGAACTTTAAAGTAGTTTTTCCCAATTCTGTGAAGAAAGTCATTGGTAGCTTGATGGGGATGGCATTGAATCTATAAATTAACTTGGGCAGTATGGCCATTTTCACGATATTGATTCTTCCTACCCATGAGCATGAAATATTCGTCCATTTGTTTGTATCCTCTTTTATTTCATTGAGGAGTGGTTTGTAGTTCTCCTTGAAGAGGTCCTTCACATCCCTTGTAAGTTGGATTCCTAGGTATTTTATTCTCTTTGAAGCAATTGTGAAGGGGAATTCACTCATGATTTGGCTGTCTGTTTGTTGTTGATGTATAAGAATGCTTGTGGTTTTTGTACGTTGATTTTGTATCCTGAGACTTTCCTGAAGCTGCCTATTAGCTTAAGGAGATTTTGGGCTGAAACAGTGGGGTTTTCTAAATATACAATCATGTCATCTGGAAACAGGGACAGTTTGACTTCCTCTTTTCCTAATTGAATACCCTTTATTTCCTTCTCCTGCCTAATTGCCCTGGCCAGAACTTCCAACACTATGTTGAATAGGAGTGGTGAGAGAGGGCATCCCTGTCTTGTGCCAGTTTTCAAAGGGAATGTTTCCAGTTTTTTTCCATTCAGTATGATATTGGCTGTGGGTTTGTCATAGATAGCTCTTGTTCTTTTGAGATACGTCCCATCAATACCTAATTTATTGAGAGTTTTTAGCATGAAGGGTTGTTAAATTTTGTCAAAGGCGTTTTCTGGATCTATTGAGATAATCATGTGGTTTTTGTCTTTGGTTCTCTTTATGTGCTGGATTACATTTATTGATTTGCATATGTTGAACCAGCTTTGCATCCCAGGGATGAAGACCACTTGATCATGGTGGATAAGCTTTTTGATGTGCTGCTGGATTCAGTTTGCCAGTATTTTATTGAGGATTTTTGCATCGATGTTCATCAGGGATATTGGTCTAAAATTCTCTTTTTTTGTGTGTGTGTCCCTGCCAGGCTTTGGTATCAGGATGATGCTGGCCTCATAAA
Organism: Homo sapiens; assembly: GCF_000001405.40. Taxonomy (NCBI): domain Eukaryota; kingdom Metazoa; phylum Chordata; class Mammalia; order Primates; family Hominidae; genus Homo; species Homo sapiens. Next base: position 77,092,900 of record NC_000023.11, on the reverse strand, counting down.
ATGAGTTTGGGAGAATTCCCTCTTTTTCCATTGATTGGAATAGTTTCAGAAGGAATGGTATCAGCTCATCCTTGTACCTGTGGTAGAATTCGGCTGTGAATCCATCTGGTCCTGGACTTTTTTTGGTTGGTAAGCTATTTATTATTGCCCTAATTTCAGAACCTGTTATTGGTCTATTCTGAGGTTCTACTTCTTCTTATTTTAGTCTTGAGAGGGTGTATGTGTCAAGGAATTTATCCATTTCCTCTAGATTTTCTAGTTTATTTGGGTGGAGGTGTTTATAGTATTCTCTGATGGTAGTTTTTATTTCTGTGGGATCAGTGGTGATATCCTCTTTATCATTTTTTATTGTGTCTATTTGATTCTTCTCTCTTTTCTTCTTTATTAGTTTTGCTAGTGGTCTATGAATTTTGTTGATCTTTTCACAAAACCAGCTCCTGGATTCATTGATTTTTTGAAGGGTTTTTTGTGTCTCTATTTCCTTCAGTACTGCTCTGATCTTAGTTATTTCTTGCCTTCTACTAGCTTTTGAATGTGTTTGCTCTTGCTTCTCTAGTTCTTTTAATTGTGATGGTACTGTGTCAATTTTAGATCTTTCCTGCTTTCTGTTGTGGGCATTTAGTGCTACAAATTTCCTTCTACACACTGCTTTGAATGTGTCCCAGATATTCTGGTATGTTGTGTCTTTGTTCTCCTTGGTTTCAAAGAGCATCTTTGTTTCTGCCTTCATTTTATTATGTACCCAGTAGTCATTCAGGAGCAGGTTGTTCAGTTTCCATGTAGTTGAGCAGTTTTGAGTGAGTTTCTTAATGCTGACTCCTAGTTTGATTTCACTGTGGTCTGAGAGACAGTTTGTTATAATTTCTGTTGTTTTATATTTGCTGAGGAGTGCTTTACTTCTAACTATGTGGTCAATTTTGGAATAAGTGTGGAGTGGTGCTGAGAAGAATGTATATTTTGTTGATTTGGGCTGGAAAGTTCTGTAGATGTCTATTAGGTCTGCTTGGGGCAGAGCTGAGTTCAGTTCCTGGATATCCTTGTTAACTTTCTATCTCATTAATCTGTCTAATGTTGATAGTGGAGTGGTAAATTCTGCCCTTATTATTGTGTGGGAGTCTAAGTCTCTTTGTATGTCTCTAAGGACTTTCTTTATGAAACTGGGTGCTCCTGTATTGGGTGTATATATATTTAGGATAGTTAGCTCTTCTTGTTGAATTGATCCCTTTACCATTATGTAGTGGCCTTCTTTGTCTCTTTTGATCTTTGTAGGCTTAAAGTCTGTTTTATCGGAGACTAGGATTGCAACCCCTGCCTTTTTTGTTTTCCATTTGTTTGGTAGATCTTCCTCCATCCCTTTATTTTGAGCCTATGTGTGTCTCTGCATGTGAGATGGGTTTCCTGAATACAGCACACTGATGGGTCTTGACTCTTTATCCAATTTGCCAGTCTGTGTCTTTTAATTGGAGCATTTAGCCCATTGACATTTAAGGTTAATACTGTTATGTGTGAATTTGATCCTGTCATTATGATGTTAGCTGGTTGTTATGCTCATTAGTTGATGTAGTTTCTTCCTAGCCTCGATGGTCTTGCAATTTGGCATGATTTTGCAGCGGCTGATACTCGTTCCTTTCCATGTTTAATGCTTCCTTCAGGAGCTCTTTTAGGGCAGTCCTGGTGGTGACAAAATCTCTCAGCATTTGGTTGTCTGTAAAGTATTTTATTTCTCCTTCACTTATGAAGCTTAGTTTGGCTGGATATGAAATTCTGGGTTGAAAATTCTTTTCTTTAAGAATGTTGAATATGGGACCCCACTGTCTTCTGGCTTGTAGAGTTTCTGCCAAGAGATCCGCTATTAATCTGATGGGCTTCCCTTTGTGGGTAACCCGACCTTTCCCTCTGGCTGCCCTTAACATTTTTTCCTTCATTTCAACGTTGGTGAATCTGACAATTATGTGTCTTGGAGTTTCTCTTTTTGAAGAGTATCTTTGTGGCATTCTCTGTATTTCCTCAATTTGAATGTTGGCCTGCCTTGCTAGATTGGGGAAGTTCTCCTGGATAATATCCTGCAGAGTGTTTTCCAACTTGGTTCCATTCTCCCTGTTCCTTTCAGGTACACCAATCAGACGTAGATTTGGTCTTTTCACATAGTCCCATATTTCTTGGAGGCTTTGTTTGTTTCTTTTTATTCTTTGTTCTCTAAACTTCTCTTCTTGCTTCATTTCATTCATTTGATCTTCCATCACTGATAACCTTGCTTCCAGTTGATCGAATTGGCTACTGAGGCTTGTGCATTTGTCACGTAGTTCTCGTGCCATGGTTTTCAGCTCCATCAGGTCCCTTAAGGAATTCTCTGCATTGGTTATTCTAGTTAGCCATTCATCTAATTTTTTTTCAAGGTTTTCAACTTCGTTGCCATGGGTTCGAATTTTCTCCTTTAGATCAGAGAAGTTTGATCACCTGAAGCCTTCTTATCTCAACTCATCAAAGTCATTCTCTGTCCAGCTTTGTTCCATTGCTGGTGAGGAGCTGTGTTCCTTTGGAGGAGGAGAGATCCTCTGATTTTTAGTTTCCAGTTTTTCTGCTCTCTTTTTTCCCCATCTTTGTGGTTTTATCTACCTTTGGTCTTTGAAGATGGTGCTGTACAGATGGGGTTTTGGTGTGGATGCCCTTTTTGTTAGTTTGTTTTCCTTCTAACAGTCAAGACCCTCAGCTGTAGGTCTGTTGGAGTTTGCCGATGGTCCACTCCAGACTCTTTTTGCCTGGGTATCAGCAGCAGAGGCTGCAGAACAGCAGATATTGGTGAACAGCAAATGTTGCTGCCTGATCGTTCCTCTGGAAGTTTTGTCTCAGAGGAGTACCTGGCTGGGTGAGGTGTCAGTCTGCCCTTAATGGAGGGTGCCTCCCAGTTAGGCTACTCGGGGGTCAGAGACCCACTTGAGGAGGCAGTCTGTCCATTCTCAGATCTCCAGCTGCATGCTGGGAGAGCCACTACTTTCCTCAAAGCTCTCAGACAGGGGCGTTTAAGTTTGCAGGGGTTTCTGCTGCCTTTTGTTTGGCTATGCCCTGCCCCCAGAGGTTGAGTCTATAGAGGCGGGCAGGCCTTCTTGAGCTGCTGTGGGCTCCACCCAGTTGGAGCTTTCAGGCCACTTTGTTTACCTACTCAAGCCTGAGCTATGTCAGTGGCCCCTCCCCCATCCTCACTGCTGCCTTGCAGTTTGATCTCAAACTGCTGTGCTAGCAATGAGTGAGGCTCTGTGGGCGTAGGACCCTCAGAGCCAGGCGTGGGATGTAATCTCCTGGTGTGCCGTTTGCTGAGACCATTGGAAAAGTGCAGTATTAGGGTGGGAGTGACCCGATTTTCCAGGTGCCATCTGTCACCCCTTTCTTTGACTAGGAAAGGGAATTCCCTGACCCCTTGCACTTCCCAGGTGAGGCAATGCCTCACCCTGCTTTGGCTCATGCTCGGTGCACTGGCCCCACTGTCCTTCACCCACTTTCTGACACTCCTCAGTGAGATGAACCCAGTACCTCCATTGGAAATGCGGAAATCTCCCACCGTCTGCGTCACTCATGCTGGGAGCTGTAGACTGGAGCTGTTCCTATTTGGCCATCTTGGCTCCACCCCCGAAAACTGGTCTTTTAAGTTGTCTCCTGAAGTCTGGGAAGGTAAAGAACTGGCTCCAGCTTAATTTTAATTGCTTTTTGCTTAGTATCAATTCTTGATGCAAATTTAGCTGGCATTCCTTGGCTATTTGACACCTGACTGTAGCATGTTTCTAAGTAAAAATTCACTCCAGTGTTTTACCACAGAGACGTATATTTTGGCTTCTCTATTTCCACCTCCTGGAAGGGGGCAGCCCTCCCTCAGTTAGATAGCTAGATAACTAGCAGCTAGAGGGCAAAATCCTTTTAGTGGTAGAGCAGACTATTCACATAAGTTACGGACAAGTAAGTAGCCCATTCAGTTATAGGTTAATCAGGAAGAATTCTTCACCTGAGCAGATGGAAACATTTTTAGGCCCTAGTTCCCTTTATAGCTCCAGGTATAACTCAGACTGAAAAGCTGTTAGATATAGTGTAACTAGAACTAAGCTATGTAGCTGGGCAAATTCTCTATGCCTCTGTCATATTGGGAGTGCTGATGCGACAAATATGTGGTGGAGAGAAAGGAAAGAGATCAGTCAAGGTAGTCAAGCAGTAAGACATTTTGCTTCCAGAGTTATAAGAAATGTTATTGATCAGGATGAAAGGCAGATTAGACAAGGATTAAGTATGAAGGGATAGAAGTTGAAGGCAAGAAATGAGCAATGAATATTGCTTTTCACCCATTGTTGGATTTTACAATGGCCTCTGGCTAAGTCCAAAAAACAGTGGTCCAGTTACACAGCTGAGCTTCCCTGATGTTTCCATTATCTTTTTTTTTTTTCCTGGTGGATTCTCTTCTCAGGCTCTGTGGGCTGGGTGACCTCCTGTCCTCTGTCCCCAGGCTTAAGAATCTTCGAGCAGACAAAATGGAACATTTATATGCAAGTTTGGTGACATAAATCAAGTGAGGAAAAGTCCATTTTCATGTGGTCATTGTGTCAACTGTTATTATTTCAGTTCAGCCTGGCCACATATATAAATCTCCTTTAAGAAACCAGAAAAGGAATATGTGAAATAACATTTCTAGTATGCATGGTCACTTGCTTCTATTAATAATTACTACTTGTAAAGCCTGGAAATGCTTAAGTTGTTCATATTTTTTGAGCGATTGACTGGCTCTTTTATTTATACATACAAGAAAAAAAGCCAAGTGGAGAGAGGAAATCATCTGTTGCTGCAGAAACATGAAAGTCACATTTTTGGCACTGTTCCCTGGTTGACGTAATTCTGGGGAATGTGCTAAAGGCCATGATTTTCCAGAGGGAGCAAATATTGTTTCATGACTGGCTGTTTGTGGGCACTTTTTGTCCCCCTCTGAAGTCAGGCCAAAACCAAGCTGGGGCTCTTTCTGCCTTGTTTGTCGGTACAGGTCAAGCCCACTTTGAAGCAGAAGTCTAAAATATTTGCTGGTCATTGTGCTCAACCACACCCTATGCCCTTTTATACCTTCTGAATCTTTTCTCCAGGGCCCTCTAAGCTGCTTGGCCTTTGCACAGGCTGCTGGGAAGGTTGCTTTTTCCCTGCTGTGTGGAAACACTAAGGGCTGCCAGTGATGTGTGTGTATGTAAGGGCCGTTCCTGAGCTGACTCCTTAGGTAGACCACAGCACAGTGTGGATTGGGATTTGGACCTAGTTGTTCTCATTCTCTCTTACATCCTAAATGGTCCAAAGCAAAATGGGCTACAGGTCCCAATGCCGTCTGTGAGTAGGCCGTATCCCTATCCGTTCATCTCTTACCCAGCCCAGTCTTCATGCTCCTATATGGAGCTGCCAAGAGACCCTGTAGTAGCTGCTTGTTATGGTCTTCAGGACTTTACTTGGATCCATTTGTCATAAAAGAAAGAAGCCTTTGTATCATGAAATTGGCTGGCAGTTCAGTCTGCGTCCCACAGGGTCATGCCTGGGTTCTCACTAGTTCCCCCACCTCCTCAACATATAGGTAGTCTCATGAAATTTAGGATAATTCCCACCTCTATGCCTTTACTCCAACGATAATGAACACTTGTTTTGCTATGTCCCTTGTACAAAAGTAATTGTTATCCCCCAATCTTGCTCTCATTCAGTTCAAGCCTCTCTGCTAAGTGTTTAAGACCCTCCAAGATTTGACTCTAACTTTTATCTCCTACTGTTTCTAACACATCCTTTACCTTATTTATAGCCATTTGTTCATTTCAGAAATGAAAAGCTAATTCAGAATTATTAGTGCTATAATAGAGGCATTTATAACAAGCATAGAGATGGCCTAAAGGAAGATGTAATCAGTTTTTTTCTGGGGAGTCAGAGAAGACTTCACAAATGATATGATGCTTAAAGCTGAGTCGTAAAGGTTCAAAAGTTGTCCATCAGAAAAACATGGTCCATTGAGGAGGGGAAGAGTAATTTTCTGAGTAATTTTCTGAGCAGGGCCCTGATCCTTGTCTTGGGGGACGGTGACTAGAGCTTTTCTTGTAGCCTCATTATCCCTGCATTCTGCCATAAGTTTGAATGGGGCTGACCACACCAGGAGCTCACGCTCAGAGAAAGGAGTGTAGCTCAGAATAACATCTCATAGAGCATCTTCAGTAAGGAACAAGTAGATAATGTGAGAGACAAACTCACCTGTCCAATCCCAAAAAATGGACTTAGATACCTGGGGAACAGCGAAAGCGAGATTTTTAATGACGATCTTGCAAGATTGGGTGTCTCATGACACCCAGCACAGTTTCAACAAGCAATTTATCCCCTAGTGTGCAAGTCCCTCCTCTGGTTCCTTATAGACCGAGTACTATGGGGTTACAATCTTCCCGGACGTTGTCTATTGATTGTAGGGTAAGGGGTTTCATGTGATTTTTTTAGGGTTGTCTTGCTGCATTTTGTTGCAGCCCACAGTGCATTGCAATCCTAGTTAGCTCTGGGGCTCTTCAGATATTTGACTTATGACCTAAGTAGCTGGGCAGGTTGATAAGAACAGACAAAATGAGCTATTTTGCAGGCTAGTAAACTTTCATCTTAGACTAAACTTCTTCGGTTTGGGTGAAGGCAACTAAGTGGGGGGAAGAAGGGGGAGGCCGATGAGCAGGCATCAGCTATCCAAGCAGGGGCCTAACATATCCTGTTTCTTCTGTAGTTTGCTGACCTAAGCCAATTCAAGGCATTTTGTCTTGGAAACGGAGCACCGTATACATTATTTCCTTCAATTTCCTCCTGTTTTTCTTTTTACTCCTATTGGTTCTATTTCCACACTTATTTTTGTGTTCTTTCATTTTTAAATTTATTAGTTACTCCTTTAGGGACTCCTATTGAGTTAATATAAATGTTGGGATTGAAAGAATTTGTTAGATCTCTCCAACTTCAGTGGCCATGTGGATTCTCAGGGATTTTATAGAATGCCAAGGTGAATGGAATGGAGCTAAGGCACAAGTCCCAGTCCAATTGGGTGGTAACAGGTCATGGAGGTTCCTCTTCCCACAATGCCAGCAGACGTTAGCTTGGGGTATATAAAAAGCCGAGTAGTTGCCTTTGTTTTACTCACCAGTAACATTTAGAATGTGGGTCCAAGTTGAGAATTTTCCCATGGGCTTATTGAACTCTGCCCCCTGCCTAGATAGGAAAGAAGAATGGTTCACATTCTCTATGGAGAATGAGGGGATTGCTCTAGGATCTGACCTCAGTAAGGCAGGAAACAACAATAATAAAATTTGCAAGTCCCATTTCCCCATGCATCTCTGTCCTGGTGTAGAGCCAACATGCCACACATTCCTCTGGGATTGGTATCCCTTCCTAGGGGAAACGGAACTACCTGTACCTGAGGCCGCCCAAGAGAGCATGCATAACAGTTGCTCTTATTAAGAGCTAGTACTGAAAATTTGACCCATTCAATCCAGGCGTTTACATCCCCATATCCAGTCTCAATTTCTAAAGTCTGCTTCAAGTCAGTTATTTTAATTATATTTACTCTCTTAGGGTCATTGTCTGGTGGATTAAAGGAAGTAGAGGGACCGGGAGTTATAATAATCCTGGGTGGGCTTGGGATGGAGTTGGTGACTAGCCTAAGAGCTAACCATGCTACAGGATCCTTTCCTGAGATATCTGTTCCTAATCTATACCTTCAAGGTTCCTGGTCTATAGTAGCTGGGTTGTTTATGGTAATTAACATATGATTGCATTTTAAATTACTACAGTTATGTAGTATAGGGCCCTTATACAAATATATTTTGTTCTTTAAGGGTTTGTTTTTGGAAGAATGACTTACCCAGCCTCAAAATTGGGTGGTCCACCAGACCTCATTCCAGCTAGAACAGGTCTTTCCCCAATAGTGACAAATTTCAGGACATAGATATTTGTTTGCTTGTGACAGCTGCCTTTGGTTCCCTAAATTCCCACAAAGTAAGACTTGGCAGGCATTAAATTATATAGTTTGGGGGCGGAGTAGAGGTCTTAGTTATGTTGACTATTAGTTTGATTGTATATTCCTTACTTTCTACCCCTAGTACTGGGCTCTATTCAATACTTAGGTTTTCTTTTACCCCTTGTGTTAGGATTAATCCTAACCATATCCACCCCCAATGATGAACCCTGCTTATAGCTTCTTTTTAGGTTTTTCTTAGAGCTAGCTTTAAGTGTTTCTTAGGTGATTTATACACTCCACATTCACCCTTTTCCCTTTCTTCCAGGGGTTCTTTTACCAGGGTTTTGACCCGTAGGTAATATGTTCACCCCCATTCAGCTGTTTGTACGGCTGTCTCAGTGATTAGATGCACTTGATAGGGACCTTCCCAGCTTGGGTGGAGCATATCTTCTTTCTAAGTTTTAATTAGCACCGAGTCACCAGGCTGGAAATGGTGTACTGTGAACTGAAGAGGCGGGGTTTGAGTTAGAAGTCCTTTTTTTTTTGAGACTGTCTCTCTCTGTCATCCAGGCTGGAGTGCAGTGGTGCAATCTCGGCTCACTGCACCTCTGCCTCCTGGATTCAAGTGCTTTGCCTGCCTCTGCCTTCCAAGTAGTTGGGGTTACAGGTACCCACCACCACACCCACCTAATTTTTGTATTTTTGGTAGAGACGGGAATTCATCATGTTGGTAAGGCTGGTCTCAAACTCCTGACCTCAGATGATTCGCCAGCCTTGGCCTCCCAAAGTGCTGGGATTACAGGCATGAGCCACCTTGCCTGGTCTTAGAAGTTCTTTTAACCTAAGAAATGACAGGGTGGAGGATATGGCCAGTATATAATGTCTTAAAAAGTGATCTTTTGTTTCCATAGTAGGAAGGTCAGTAGTCCTACCTAAATATGGGAGTTCATATAATAACTTGTAAGGGAACAATCCCCTAGTCTTTCCTTGGGGATGTCCTAATCCTAAAGAGTGCTATTGGGAGACATTTGGTCTAAGGCATTTTAGTTTCTAAGATTAGTTTAGTAATATGCTTTTTGAGAGTTTGATTTATTCTTTTGACTTTTCCAGAGGAAGGGAGATGCCAAGGGGAGTGGTAATTCCATCTAATGTGTAAACTTTTCATAATTCCCCTTAGCACACTTGAGGCAAAATGGCTCCCACTGTCTGAATCAATATTTTCTACCAGGCCAAATCTGGGTATAATTTGTTCTAAGATTATTTTGACCACATTCCTGGTGGTGGCAGTTAGGAGGGGGAAGACCTCCACCCAGCCAGAGAGGTGGTGTATCATTACCAGTAGATACTTTAGTCTCCCTATTTTGGACATTTCTGTAAAATCTACTTAAACGCTTTGAAATGGCCTTAACCCAGGAGGTCTCCCTCCAGTAGTCTGTTTTCTAACTATCTTTTTGTTTATTTTCTGGCAGGTCCCACAACCCCCACACACTTGTTTAGCAAGGGTATAAATCCCTTTACAGCCATAATTCTTGAGTATTGCATTACACATGGCCTGGGGACCTCAATGACTTCCCTTATGCAGTATGGACATCCGTTCTGTCATTATGGCTTTTCTTGTCATTCCTCTCCCGTCAGGGAGCATTCACCTCCCATCTTCAGGTTGAATGGCCCCTATCTTGCCCAGCTGTTCCTCCTCCTCTTTAGAAAATTGGGGTTTTAATACCACTTTAGGGATATCTGGGATTAGGCTAAACAGTCTAACTTCTTCCTCCAGGGAGGCTGGCTTGGCAGCTTCATCTTCAAGCCTGTTCCCACAGCTTCTATAGTGTTTCCTTTCTGATGGCCATTTACATGAACTATGGCTATCTACGCTGGAAGCAGGAGGCTTTCTAAAACTTGTTTGACCAGCTCCCCATGTACCAATTCTTTTCCCTGCTACTTATGTATGCCCTGTTTTGTCCAGATCTTTCCAAAGGTGTGTACTACTACATAGGCATATTGGAAATTAGTATATATAGTAACTTCTTGGCCTTTTAGGAGCTTTGGGGCCTTGTTAAGAACATGTAATTCACAGGTTTGTGCTCACCAGTTATTGGGTAATTTACTTTTTTCACATAAGGATTGTTTGTCTTTATTAATGACAACATAGCTATTGTGTCTTTTACCATGTATTACTTGGGATGACCCATTCACAAGCAGCCTCATCCCATTACATAGTGGAGTTTCTTTAAGGTCTGTTTTAATTTTAGTTTGATGTTCTATGACATTTAAACAATTATGTTTTGATACCTTCTTATCCTCCTCTTCTTTCCATAAGAAACCAGCTGGATTTAGGTTAGGAACCTCCCCAGGGCCCACTGACTCCAGGAGGAACTTGGGGAGGCAAGGGACTGACCAGCAGGCATCCCAGGATGCCTTGGACCAAACCCAGCTGGGTCTGGCTCTGAGCCAAGAGCTGCTGGTTTGAAGAGCTACCAGCCTGTGGTGACTCCCCTGACAGGCACTCTTATCAGCAAAGGCATCCCTGGCTCTGCCTGCCCTTCCTTTTTTTTTGCTTTGAATCCACCATCCATCTTTCTGGCAGACTGAGAGCTGCACTGTTAATATTCCATGCCACCCCTGATGGTGACCCAGCAACTGCAAAGGGTCTCCAGTTTGTCCCACTCTGGGAGGTGACTCAGTGACTTTTCCTCCTCTTCAGCTGCAAGGATCCTCCCCCAGCCCAGCCAGGCTCTGGGAAACAGAACTTTCATAGATCCCACTTAAGGCATTTTGGCTGATATCTCCCCAACACAGGCCCTCTCTACTTCAGGGATGGCAAACTGACATCGTCATTTGTCTGTATTGGGTTTTAAAGGTTTTTGAACTGATTACCAGCATTTAAAAATCCAATTTCCTGCTCTTCCTCTTGCTTCAGTCATGTAAGACATGCCTTCATCCTTTTTGCCTTATGTCATGATTTCTGTTGATTGATTTTTAAATATTGATCCAACCTTCCATCTGCAAAGACCAGCTCAGTCGGGGAGACCCTAACCCAGCGGCACTAGAGGAATTAAAGACACACACACAGAAATATAGAGGTGTGAAGTGGGAAATCAGGGCCCTCACAGCCTTCAGAGCTGAGAGCCCTGAACAAAGATTTGCCCACATATTTATTAACAGCAAGCTAGTCATTAGCATTGTTTCTATAGATATTAAATTAACTAAAAGTATCCCTTATGGGAAACGAAGGGATGGGCCAAATTAAAGTAATAGGTTGGGCTAGTTAACTGCAATAGAAGCATGTCCTTAAGGCACAGATCACTCATGCTTTTGTTTGTGGCTTAAAAATGCCTTTAAGAGGTTTTCCACCCTGGGCGGGCCAGGTGTTCCTTGACCTCATTCTGGTAAACCCACAACCTTCCAGTGTGGGCGTTATGGCCATCATGAACATGATACAGTGCTGCAGAGATTTTGTTTATGGCCAGTTTTGTGGCCAGTTTATGGCCAGATTTTGGGGGGGGCCTGTTCCCTACATGTCCCCCTTATTTGATTTGCAAAGCGATAAAAGCAAAGGCAGCTTTGTCATGGTGAGCTACTTCTCACAGGAGTCAGGATCCACATCTGCAGACTATACAAAGACAAACAACACAGATTAAAAGCACAATCATCATTGAAATTACAGAGCTTCCAAGTATTTTTATCCATTTTAATGGGTTACTAGCTGCTAATCTGTCTGCAGCTCCTTTAAACACTCCAGTTCCTGGCATTAAGGCCATGTGTGCTTGAGATGTTTTAAATATTTGTTCTTCTAATTTTGCCATATCCAAAAACAAGTTTGTAGTGTGTCCTTCTAGATACTTTTTTATTCTTTCCCAAATTTTGATCTTATTAAGAGCTATTAATAGTTTCCACAAATCCTTCATGTTTACCTCCTACAATAAGCCATATCATTTGAGGTTGAGGTGCCACTATACTGCCATGGTTTCAGATAATAGGAACTTTTGCCATACTTCTTATCATTTCTACCATCTGACCATTTTGTTTAGATCAGCTGAGCATAGTGTGGCCATGGCATGCAGACTGAGAGGTGCAATTTAGGTTAAACATCCCTTTAGGGGACCAATCAATAAAGATTCCATAGGAATCGTTATGCAGCCCCTCTGCCTGTTCTGTAAAGCAATCTTCCTAAACAAGTACATTCATTATTTCTGGCCAGGTTCTATTTTGTTTACAAATAGGTTTTTTAAGGTGGTATGCCTCAATTATAGGAACAAATTTATTAGGGTAAATACTGAGATCAGAAAGCATGTGTAACTGTGTCATAGAGTGATTATATTCAGGCATTATTACCATCCAGGATTGATATATATGCCCAGTAAGTATAATTGTTCTCTGTGTCAGCCCTTGTTGAAGGAATACTCATGGCAGGGTGATAACTGCTATCATAGCTACCATTAAATTACTCATTGTGACTGGTTGTCCTGCTTTTCTCAGGTTTTCTTCCACAATCTGTGACAGCTTCGTGATCTCTCCCCAGGTGGGTGGCTGTGTTAAACGGGTGTTGCTCGTGAAAGCTGGGGTCTTCCTCAACGTCAGTCTTGACATGGCTTCAACTGAGGGGTCCTCGGGATCCTCCCAGAATCTGGCTCATGATAAGGTTTCATTTGTCTTGATGGTATCCAAATTGGCTGTTGATTTTGGCCTGGAGAAACACAAGCATAATCTCTACCCCAAGTTATGATTTTACCTATTTTCCAACTTTTTGTTATTGGATCTCTCCACCAAATCAGTTGTTCTGCTTCTGTCTTTGCAGCTGGTTTCTGTAGATGCTGTTCAGCTGCTGATAGCATCTGGCTTTTGGGCAGGCTCAAAAAATATAAAGTTAATAATGCTAGATTCAGTTGCATCTGTGGGGTTCCATATTCTCTATTTCCCCCTTTCTGCTTTTGCAACTGCTGTTTTAGGGAAATATTCATTCTTCCCACTATGGCTTGTCCTTGAGAATTGTATGGGATACCAGTAATGTGTTTAATATTTGACATACAGAAAAATGTAGCTAGAGCTTGGCTTGTGCTCTCCATTGTTGTAATAAATATCTCCCCCATAAATTTATAGGTACAGAAGTTATGATTGGTTGAATAGTTCCAGGTGGTCTGTTAGGCCCTTCACAATGCAAAATATAACTACTGTGATACACTTTAGGGGCTTTACCAACTCCAACTATGTTAAATTGAGTGGTTGAATTGGCCACATGGACAGCCAGTGCTGTAGAGAAATGATTGAAATGTCCACTCCCGTATCTACCAAACCTTTAAATTTCTTTCCCTGAATAGTTATTTCACAGACAGGACATTTATCAATAATTTGATGTACCCAGTAAGCTGCTTTGCCTTGTTTATTTGTGATTCAAAATCCTCCTGTTCATTTAATTTCACTTTTCCCATTCCCACATATGGCACAATCAGGAGCTGTGCTGTGCACTCTCCTGGCTCTGTTTTCCAGGGAACAGAAGTAGATATAATGATTTGAATTTCCCCATTATAATCTGAATCAATGACTCCTCTATGTATTTGTACCCCTTTTAAACTTAAACTAGACCTGCCTAGAAGTAATCCTATTGTCCCCACTGGCAAGGGTCCACAGACTTCTGTTGGGACCTTTTTCAGGGGTTCCCCAGGCAGAAGACTCACAACTTTTGTGCAGCATAAATCTACTGTGGCACTACTGGCTGAGGCGGGGGACAGACATCGTACAGGGGTGAGGGAATGGCCTCAGCTGGAAATGCCCCAGTTTGGAACAGGGCCCAGGACGGGCCCCTCATGACGTTTCCTGAAATCAGGTTCCCTTCTTTATCAAACTTAGAGTGCACTGATTAGCCCAATGTTTTTCTTTTTCACATTTTGGACATACTTCAGGCTCAGCAGTTTTCACTTTTCCCCTATCTGGTGGCCTGACTCACTGATTTTTTCTACATTCTTTTTTAGTATGAATAGCTTGTTTGAATTCTTTGAGTAATTTAAAAGGAAAAGCCTCAAATGTAGCTATAATATTTCCCTGTTGATCTGGGGAGTGTATTCTAACAGGGAATTGCCATGCTCTAAATCACCCTCTCTTCTACAGTCACTGGAGCAACTACTTTTGGCCCAGTGTCCTCTGGAAAAGAAAGATCTGGAGGGTCAGGCCACTCTTTTTCTTCAAAATAATAATGAGGGGGTGCAGAAGGGTAGGGATGAACCTCTCCCTCCTTTGCCGCTTTAGCTTTAGCTGGCAAATAAACCTGGTCTGTAACCTCTTCTGTTACTTCATTATACTCTCCTTCCTCCTCATAATCAGTGTGAAAAAGTTCCAAGGTGGAACCAACCACAGCCCACACTTGTCCCATTGTTACCCTGATGCTTCTGAGCTCCCCTTCTTTTTTTTTTTTTTTTTCGATATGGTGTCTTGCTCTGTCACCCAGGCTGGAGTGCAGTGGTGCAATCTTGGCTCACTGCAAGCTCCGCCTCCTGGGTTCACAACATTCTCCTGCCTCAGCCTCCCAAGTAGCTGGGATTACAGGTGCCTGCCACCACGCCTGGCTAATTTTTTGTATTTTTAGTAGAGAGGGGGTTTCACCATGTTAGTCAGGATGGTCTTGATCTCCTGACCTCGTGATCTGCCCACCTCAGCCTCCCAAAGTGCCAAACTCCCCTTCTTACTCACCACAGGGATTGCTTTAAGAGTACTCAGGTGTCCTCTAGCTAGTTCCATGTTCTCCAACCATCCCTCTGGCAAACCTTTGACCTGGATTTGAGTCCCCATGATGGATGCCATTTGCTGATACCAGCTCAGTCGGGGAGACCCTAACCCAGCGGCACTAGAGGAATTAAAGACACACACACAGAAATATAGAGGTGTGAAGTGGGAAATCAGGGCCCTCACAGCCTTCAGAGCTCAGAGCCCTGAACAGAGATTTACCCACGTATTTATTAACAGCAAGCCAGTCATTAGCATTGCTTCTATAGATATTTGGTTAACTAAAAGTATCCCTTATGGAAAATGAAGGGATGGGCCAAATTAAAGGAATAGGTTGGGCTAGTTAACTGCAGCAGGAGCAGATTGCTCATGCTATTGTTTGTGGCTTAAGAATGTCTTTAAGCAATTTTCCGCCCTGGGTGGGCCAGGTGTTCCTTGCCCTCATTCTGGTAAACCCACAACCTTCCAGTGTGGGCATTATGGCCATCATGAATGTGTGACAGTGCTGCAGAAATTTTGTTTATGGCCAGTTTTGGGGCCAGTTTATGGCCAGATTTTGGGGGACCTGTTCCCAACATCCTTCTCTGGAATGAACCTCACTTGGTCATGGGTGGGGCCAAGATGGCCAACCAGAAGCTGCAGTGTTCAGAGACTCCCATCAAAAAAAACCTTAATAAGCATGTGAATGTTTCACTGGCAACCAAAGTATCTAGGTTCTCTCATCAAAATTGACTAGAAAGCTGGCATGAAACATGGAGAGAAGGAAGAGCATTGTGGTGTGGTGGCTCACTTGAGAACCACATGGGGAAGGGGAACCCCCTCCCCCCAGCCAAGGGAGGTGGTGAGTGAGTGCACTACCCAGTCAGGAAAATTGCTTTTTCCACGGAACTGTGCAACCCATGGATTGGAAGATCCCACCCATGAACCCATGCCACCATGGTTTAGTGTCCCGTGACCTATTGTCCCAATCTGTGTAAGAATGCACAGATTCTTACAGCCTCTCAGCTGGAATCTGCTAAAATATACCAAACTCCTGTGGGGAGGGACCCTAGCCTGTGACCAGCACAGGCTGCAGCTGCCAGTTGTCTAAGCCCTTTGAGCTCCTTGGGGGAGGGGCAGCAGCCAGCACTGGGACTGGCAACTGCCTAACACGTTAGGCTCACTGGGTGGGGGAAGGGTGGCACCCACTTCTATAACTCCAGGCTGTGCTTTTCCCCTGCTAGAGCCAGGGAGGCTGGATTGCTTGGCCCTAAGGCTTGTCCCCACAGCCCAGCAAACAGGCTGTGGCAGTCTGTGGCCAGAGTGACTCTTCAGGCCCAACCCTGACCCATCCTCCCTCAATGGGTGAGCCTTCCTGGCAGAATCTTCAATAACTCCAGCCAGAGGCTCAGGGACAGAATTTGGATCTCAATGGGCCTGAGCCCCTAGAGGGAGGGGTGGCTGCAGTCTGTGCAGATGAGCAGACTTAGCCTATCCTCCTAGTAGTTCTGAGAAATCTAGACAGCCCAGATGAGTGAGTTTCCCCATAGAGAAACAGATCCTTTCCACTGAGGGAAAAGATGCTTCATTAAATGGGTCCTGCTCCCTGTGCCACCCAATGGGGTTACACACTTTAACAGGGGTTGTCAGACGACCTATATAGAAGAAATCCTACTGGCATCAGTTTGGTGCCCCTCAAGGTCAGAGGTTTCACAAGAAGGAGGAGGCATCCATCATTGCTTCTCTCCAGCCTCCTTGAGTGACATCTCCAAGCATGAGCGTGAATCAGATGAACAGAGCCTGAGGTGAACCCCCAGCCAACTGCAGCAGCCCTACAGAAGAGGGACCTAACTATTGAAAGAAAAACAAACAAGCAGAAAGTGACAAAAACAACATCAACAACAAGAACAACAACAACAACAAAAAGACTCCCACAAAAATTCCATCCAAGGGATAGCAACCTCAAAGACCAAAACTAGACGAACTCATGAGTATGAGAAAGAATCAATGAGAAAATTCTGAAAACACAAAAGGCCAGAATGCCTGTTCTCTTCTTAATGATTGCAACATCCCTCCATCAGGGGCACAGAACTGGGTGGAAAATCAGATGGATGAACGGACAGAAGTAGGCTTCAGAAGATGGGTAATAAAAAAACTATGATGAACTAAAGGAGCATGTTCTAACCCAATGCAAATAAGCTAAGAACATTGATAAAAGGTTAGTGGAATTGCTAACTAGAATAACCAGTTTAGAGAGGTACATACATGACTTAATGGAGCTGAAAAACACAGCATGATAACTTTGTGAAGCATACACAAGAATCAACAGCCACATCAACCTAGTAGAAGAAAGGATATCAGAGTTTGAAGACCACCTTACTGAAGTAAGAAGTGCAGAGAGTAATAGAGAAAAAAAGAATGAAAAAAATTGAACAAAGCCTCCAAGAAATATGGGACTTCATAAAAAGACTGAACTTACGATTGATTGGAGTAACAGAAGGAGATGGGGAGAATGTAAACAAGCTGGAAAACACACTTCAGGATGTTATCCAGGAGAACTTCCCCAGCCTAGCCAGACAGACCAACATGCACATTCAGGAAATACAGAGAACACCATTAAGATACTCCATGAGATGATCTACCCCAAGACACATAATCATCAGATTCTCCAAGGTTGAAATCAAATAAAAACTGTTAAGGGCAGCTAGAGAGAAAGGCCAGGTCACCTCCAAAGGGAAGCCCATCAAACTAACGGTGGACTTCTCTGCAGAAACTACAAGCCAGAAGAGATTGGGGGCTAATATTCAACAATTAAAGAAAATAATTTCCAACCTAGAATTTCATATCCAGCCAAACTAAGCTTCATAAACAAAGGAGAAATAAAATCCTTTCCAGACAAGCAAATGCTGAGGTATTTTGTTACCACCAGGCCTGCCCTGCAAGAGATCCTGAAAGAAGCACTAAATGTGGAAAGAAAAAACCTGTACCAGCCACTGCAAAAACACACCAAAATATAAAGACCAATGACTCTACGAAGAAACTGCATCAAATAGTGTGCAAAATAACCAAATAGCAGCAGGATGATGGCATCAAATTCACACATAACAATACTAACTTTAAATGTAAATGGGGTAAATGCCATAATTAAAAGACACAGAGTGGCAAACTGGATAAAAGAGTCAAGACCCATCAGTGTGTTGTATTCAGGAGACCCATTTTACATGCAGAGACACACACAGGCTCAAAATAAAGGGATGGAAGAATATTTACCAAGCAAATGAAAAGCAAAAAAACAGCAGTGGTTGCAATCCTAGGTCCTGATGAAACACACTTTAAAACAACAAAGATAAAAAAAAAAAGGAAGGCATTATATAATGGTAAAGGGAAGAATTTGACAAGAAAAGCTGACTATTCTAAATATGTATAAGCACCCAATACAGGAACACCCAGATTCACAAAACAAGTTCTTAGAGACCTACAAAGAGACTTAGTCTCCTACACAATAATAGTGAGAGATGTCTACAGAACTCTGAACCCCAAATCAGCAGAACATATTCTTCTCAGTGCTACATGGCACTTATTCTAAAATCGACCACATAATTTGAAGTAAAACACTCCTCAGTAAATGCAAAAAACTGAAGTTATAACAGTCTCTCAGACCACAGTGCAATCAAATTAGAACTCAGTATTTAAAAACTCACTCAAAACCACACAATTTAATGAAAATTGAAAAACCTGCTCTTGTTTGACTCATGGATAAATAATGAAATTAAGGCAGAAATCAAGGAGTTCTTTGAAACCAATGAGAACAAAGAGACAACATACCCCTATATCTGGGACACAACTAAAGCAGTGTTAAGAGGGAAATTTATAGCACTAAATATTCAATCAGAAAGCTAGAAACATCTCATATTGACACCCTAACATCACAATTAAAAGTGCTAGAGAGGCAAAAGCAAACTAATCCAAAAGCTAGCAGAAGACAGGAAATAACCAAGATCAGAAAAGAATTGAAGGAGATAGAGACATAAAAAACTCTAAAAAAATCAACGAATTCAGGAGCTAGTTTTTTAAATTAACAAAATAGATAGACTGCTGGCTAGATTAGTAAAGAAGAAGGGAGAGAAGAATCAAATATACACAGTAAACATTGATAAAGGGGATATCACCACTGACTGCACAAAAATACAAATTACCATCGGAGAATACTATAAACACCTCTATGCAAATAAACCAGAAAATGAATAAGAAATGGATAAATTCCTGGACTCATACACCCTTCCAAGACTAAACCAGGAAGAAGAAGTTGAATCCTTGAATAAACCAATAACAAGCTCTGAAATTGAGGCAGTAATTAATAGCCTACCACACACACAAAAAAAAAACACCCACAACCAGATGGATTCACAGCTGAATTCTACCAGAAATACAAAGAGAAGTTGGTACCTTTCCTTCTGAAACTATTACAAACAATTGAAAAGAAAGGACTCCTCCCTAACTCATTTTATGAGGCCAGCATCATCCTGATACCAAAGCCTGACACAGACACAACAAAAAAAATTTCAGGCCAATATCCCTGATGAACATCGATGCAAAAATCCTCAATAAAATACTGGCAAACTGAATCCAGCAGCACATCAAAAACTTATCCACCATGATCAAGTCAGCTTCATCTCTGGGATACAAGACTTGTTCAACATATGCAAATCAATAAACATAATCCATTACATAAACAGAACCAAAGACAAAAACCACATAATTATCTCAAGAGATGCAGAAAAAACCTTTGATAAAATTCAATATCCCTTCATGTTAAAAACTCTCAATAAACTAGGTATTGATGGAATGTATCTCAAAATAATAAGAGCTATTTATGACAAACCCACCTTGTCTATATTATATTGAATGGGCAAAAGCTGGAAACATTCCCTTTGAAAACTGGTACAAGACAAGTATGCTCTCTCTCACCACTCCTATTCAAGATAGTATTGGAAGTTCTGCCCAGGGCAATCAGGGAAGAGAAAGAAATAAAAGATATTCAAATAGGAAGAGGGGAAGTTAAGTTGTCTCTGCAGATGACATACTTTTATATTTAGGAAATTGTATCATCTCAGCCCAAAAACTTCTTGAACTGATAAACAACTTCAGCAAAGTTTCAGGATATGAAATCAATGTGCCAAAATCACAAGAATTACTTTACACCCACAATAGGCAAATAGAGAGCCAAATCATTAATGAACTCCCCTTTACAATCACTACAAAGATAATAAAATACCTAGAAATACAGCTAACGAGGGATGTAAAGGAATTCTTCATGGAGAACTACAACCCACTGCTCAAGGAAATAAGGGAGGACACTAACAAATGGAAAAACATTCCATCCTCATAAATAGAATCAATATTGTGAAAGTGGCCATATTGCTCAAAGTAATTTATAAATTCAACACTATTCCCATCAAACTACCACTGACATTGTTCACAGAATTAGAAAAAATTACTTTAAATTTTATACAGAATCAAAGAAGGCCCCACATAGCCAAGACAATCCTAAGCAAAAGGAACAAAGCAGGAGGCATCACACTACCTGAATTCAAACTATACTACAAGACTACAGTAACCAAAACAGTATGGTACTGGTACCAAAACAGATGTATAGACCAGTGGAGCAGAATGGAGACCTCAGAAATAGCACCACACATCTACAATCATCTGATCTTCAACAAACCTGACAAAAAAAAGAAATGGGAAAAGGATCTACTATTCAATAAATGGTGCTGGGAACACTTGCTAGCCATATGCAGAAAGCAGAAACTGGACCCCTTCCTTACACCTTATACAAAAATTTTCTCAAGATGGATTAAAGACATAAATGTAAAACACAAAACCATTAAAAAAAGCTAGAAGAAAACCTAGGCAATACCATTCAGGACATAGGCATGGGCAAAGACTTAATTACAAAAACACCAAAGTCATTGCAACAAAAGTCAAAATTGACAAATAGGATCTAATTAAATAAAAAGCTTCTGTACAGCAAAAGAAACCAGCATCAGAGTGAACAGGCAACCTACAGAGTGGGAGAAAACTTTTGCAATCTACCTATCTGACAAAGGTCTAATATCCAGTATTTACAAGGAACTTAAACATGTTTACAAGAAAAAAAAACAACTCCATCAACAAGTGGGCAAAGGATATGAATTGATACTTCTCAAAAGAAAACACGTGGCCAACGATCATATGAACAAAAGCTCAACATCACTGATCATCAGAGAAATGCAAATAAAAACCACAATGAGATGCCATCTCACATTGGTCAGAATAGCGATTATTAAAAATTTAGGAAACAATAGATGCTGGAGAGGCTATGTAGAAATAGGATCACTTTTACACTGTTGGTTGGAATGTAAATTAGTTCAGCCATTGTGGAAGACAGTGCGGCGATTCCTCAAGGATCTAGAACCAGAAATACCATTTGACCCAGCAATTCCATTACTAGGTATATATCCAAAGGAATATAAATCATTCTACTATAAAGACACATGGACATGTATGTTTACTGCAGTACTATTTACAATAGCAAAGACATGGAACCAACCCACATGCCCATCAGTGATAGACTGGATAATTAAAATGTGGTCCATATACACCATGATATACTGTGTAGAAATAAAAAGGAATGAGATTATATTTTTTTGCAGGGACATGGATGAAGCTGGAAGCCATTATCCTTAGCAAACTAACACAGGAACAGAAAACCAAACACCACATGTTCTCACTCATAAGTGGGAGTTGAACATTGAGAACACATGGACACAGAGAGGGGCACAACACACACCAGGGCTAGTTGGGGGATGGGGATGAGGGGTGGAAACTTAGAGGATTGGTCATTAGGTGCAGCAAACCACCATGGCACATGTATACCTATGTAACAAACCTGCACATGCTGCATGTGTAACTGCCACTTTTTTTTTAGAAGAAATAAAGAAAAAAAATCCAATTTCACATAAAACATCAGAACTCTGGCCTCTGACAAAGCATGCAATTTGGTAACACAGGGCCATTACTGTAGAAACAGTTGAGCAGCCATGGCCCCTCTTCAGGGTGTGCCCTCTTCAGTTAGCCACAGTCCCCACACAGCCCTGCAGCCCTCCTCATCATTTGCCGGTTCTATACTCACTTGTTTACAACAGTAGTTCTGATCTTCCCTGTGTAGCTCTCCAGCCCCTCTGCAGCCTTAGTGACAGCTTCCCCTGGTGGATTTACAGCCTCTCAGTAAAACAACAAAACCTTAACGGTCATCTTATCGGTTTACCCTTTCATAACCTGAATCCTCTCTATTTACCTCCTGACATACAGCCATCTAGTCTTTGCTGTAGGCAGCCTACTATTCCTCAAGCAGCCTGATTCTACACTCTCCTCCACATCCCTTTCTCACTTGCATCCTCCAGTTCTCTGGCTCTGTCTCTCCTCAGTGGCCATGCTCCACCCTTTCCCTGCACCTCCTTGTTGCTTGAGCCTCTAGATCCTTTTCTCAGCCCTGCCAGCCTCTCTGCATCCTCTCACTTCCTCTTGTACTCTTTCTTCCTTTTACATTATCTCTCTCCCCAGTCTCACCTTCTGTGTCTCTCTTTGATCTCTGTCTTTCCCAGTCTCTCTCTTGCTCATTTTCTTTTTCTATCTCTCTCTGTCAACCCCTGTTTTCTTTCTCCCTTAGTTAGTTTCTTCCTCTTTTTGTCTCTGGGCACCTGGCTCCTCCCATCTGTCTGCAAAGACAGACAGCTCTGCCGAAATGACAAAGGTTCAGCAGCAGCTTTTATTAACAGCTTTCTCACACTGTCCACTTTTATCTCAACTGTCTGGTCCAGCTCTGCAGCTTCTGCCAGCCCCATGCCTGCAGCTGCATGGCCAGCTCTCCGCTGCTTTCAGGATCAGCAGCTTACCTCTTTCTCTCTCTGTCCTCTGTGTTTGCCGTTTCCTCCTCTTTCTCTTTCCAATTTCCTTTTTTACTTTTTCTTTTTCTTTCTTTCTCAGTTTCTCTTTTCTTTCTTCTTACAAAAACCTTTTGGGCTTCCCTCAGTAATTCTTAATCGGTTTTTCATTCCATCAATCAATCTTTTGCAGTTTCTTAGTAACATTAGACCAGCTTTCAGTCACAAAATTAACCTTTAAAAGGCCTTGCCTTACTTGGTCCTCTGCATCTAATCCTGAATATTTTCTCATTTGATCTCTGAGCCTCTGCAGAAAGGCAGAGGGAGTCTCCTCTTTTTCTTGTTGGGTCTCAAATGCTTTTGAGACATTTTGTGTCCTAGGAGTGGACTTTTTAATCTTTTAAATCATTGGTTTCCTTAGGTTCTGCATTTGGGCCCGATCTCTGGGGTTATTGTTATCCCATCTGGGATTCACATTTGGGAATTTCTACTTAGCTGGCAGGACTCCTTGCCTCAGAGGATGCTGCCTCTCCCAAATGGTTATGGTTGTCCTTCTAATCATTCCCCTCTCTTCCCCAGTAAACAGAATATTCACGATTGACATCATCTCATTCCAAGTATAAAAATTGGGTCCTAAAAACTGATTTATCTGCTCTGCTAAACTGAGGGGATTTTCCAAGAGTGGCCTCACTTCCTTTTTTCAAGTTCCTAACCTCACTACTTGTTACTCAAAAATCCAACTTCTCCCTGTCCCATAGGGCCTTCTCTAAGAGGGTACATGTTAGATACCTGCGGTTTAGAAGGAATAGGGAAATTTGTAATGTCCTTCTTATATTGTTCTAATTCTTTCCTCAAGTTTGGAAAAGGATTTAAGAAAGCATTGGGTTTAGCTCCTTCATGACCCCCAGATTCCTGTTTCTCTGACCTTTCTGATGCCCTCCGATCTCCCTGTCCTCTACTTTGTGAGATGTATGGGGGGAGGGAGAAAGTATGTTGGAGACTCCAGGGCTTTATATTGTGTGAGGGCTTTTTACTATGCTCTTTTTCTTTCTTTTTAAGGGGGAACATGGGGGTTAATTCACTAATCCAGCAAAGAGCATAACCCATCTCCTCTTGTGAGGATGGGGTTTTAGTATTCACATAGAGAATTAAAGCTTGGCACACCCAATCCTCATCTGAGCCAAACTCAGGCCAAAAGACCAAGGGCTGATGAATGGGCTTTTTGGGCCAGATAAAACAGCAATATTTTATCATCTTTTGCTTTTTCTTGTCCCTGGTTTGAGGATTATCCCTTCGAATCTGCAACATTCTCCTCAATGGACTATCTGGGAGAATGTCAGAGGGGGTCTTTTTAGTTCCCTCTTTCCTTTGTTCCCTTAGGCCTAGAATTCCTGTTTCCCAATTTTTTGTTAGTCTCTGTGTCTGAGTCTTTCCCTGTGTAATCAGCCCCCCTAACTGGAGGTTTCTTGCACACCCTGAAACCTCCAAGAATGCCCAACCACCAAGGCAGTACTTATAGTCCAATTTTCCTACCTTGGCTCATGCACGAGGTTGCCTGGTTGCCATGGCACCTGCTTTTCTCCAGGTGTCACTTTCGTTATTTCCTGAATAACAGCCTTGGCTTTTTCTATGGCTTCTATGGGGGGCTGGCACACCTGGGCAGAGTGGGCCACCTAAATTGGCTGGGACGCATCTCCCCTCTCAGTCGGAGTCTCACTCCACAAAGGCAGAGAGATCCCCATATGGCCCACCAGGTTGTGAGAAACAAACTCATCCATCCAAACCCAAAGAAAGGACTCAGAGAGACTCCGAGAACAGTGAAAGCGAGACTTTTAATGATTATCTTGCAAGATTGGGTGTCTGATGAGCAGGTAGACCCAGCACAGTTTCAACAAGCAATTTATCTCCTAGTGTGCAGGTCTCTCTCCCGGTTCCTCATAGGCTGAGTACTATGGGGTCACAATCTTCCCAGATGTCGTCTATTGATTGTTGGGTAGGGGCTTCAGGTGTTTTTTTTTGGGGGGGGGTGTTGTCTAGCTGCATTTTGTTGCAGCCCACAATGCATTGCAATCCTAGCTAGCTCAGGGGCTCTTCAAGTATTTGACTTGTGACCTAAGTAGCTGGGCAGGCTGATAAGGACAGAAAAAATGAACTATTTTGCAGGCCAGTAAACTTCCATCTTAGACTAAACTTCTTTGGTTCAGGTGAAGGCAACTAAGGTGGAGGGAATGGGGAGGTCGGCAAGCAGGCATTGGCTATCCAAGCAGGGGTGTAGTATATCCTGTTTCTTCTGTAGTTTGCTGACCTAAGCCAATTCAAGGCACTTTGTCTTGGAAATGGATCACTGTATACATTATTTCTTTTAGCAAATGTCTAGATCATTTATATTACTGATGAGGAATCTGAAACCCTAAAAGGTGAAGGGAACTGTCCAAGGCCACACAGCTAGTTAGTAGCAGAAGTAGACAGACTCTTGAACTCTCATTCCAGTGACCTTTTTACTAGGCTGCTTTGTGGCCTTAGCATGTCCCAATTGCCCCTTTTATCTCCTGTGAGGAATCCCACGAACCTCAATTCACTCACAGTGGTTCCCTTTTGATTCTAGACAACAATATTTATTGCCACTAGCTGTGTGATTATTGCCATTCTCTGTGTGACTTTAGGAAAATTACATTTCTTCTCTGGACCTTAGTTCTTAGTTTCTCCATCTAAAATGAGTGGGAGTTAACTAATAGATTTTTATATATAAGCCTTATCAAGAGGAGCACAGAGCCACTAATTTTCATAGTAGCTTCACTTGTTTGTACAATTGTTGTAGTGAAGTACAGGAATCTGAACTATCCTGCTAGAAAGTGGTGAAAAAACATAGTGGGCACTGAGACTCTGAAGGCTTCCTACTGGCTTAGGAACAGATACATTTTCCCAGTGCAACCATCTTATTTTTAATGTGATGAAACTGAGACCTGAGCTGGGAGTGGGAGTAATTTTCACAGAATGTTAGTGAGGCTTTGGGTCTAGAACCTAGGTCTTCTGACTCTAAGCCCAGTACTTTCCATGCACCCATACTGCTTCACTGAGCTGGGTATGTCCTGTTGAGGGCAGTTCCAAAAGGATTAAAAGCTCAGGAATCTGCTACAAATAGAGTACAGTTTTAAGATAGGCCAGAGTGTTTGCAGATGGCCATTATGAGGGAGGAGGGTTTAAAGCTTTGAGGGAAGGGGGTTGCAGTTGTCTCCACACACCCCATCTGAGTCTTTTGGAGATTTCCTTGGGCCTAAGCCCCAAGATGTGTGGGGGCTCAGGGACTCTTTATTCTCACTTTCTTCCATTCTAGTTGCTTCCTGATCATACTGTCTCTCTTCTCATAACTGCCTCCATTCCTAGCCCACCTCCTTCTACTCTCAGATATCATCAATCTCTGGGCTGGTTTACCTGTTTTTTATTAACATCCTTCATAGTCACTTCTTATTTATTTATTTAAAAAGCCTACAACACCCAGTATTCCCAGGAGGTCTCTCATCCAAGTACTAAACAGACCTGACCCTGCTTGGTTTCAGATATCAGACAAGATTGGGCACATCCAGGGTAGTACGGCCATAGACCATAGTTACTTTATTTTTTATTTTGTATTTTTTTTTTAGTATTTATTGATCATTCTTGGGTGTTTCTCAGAGAGGGGGATGTGGCAGGGTCATAGGATAATAGTGGACAGAAGGTCAGCAGATAAATACGTGAACAAAGGTCTCTGGTTTTCCCAGGCAGAGGTCCCTGCGGCCTTAACGGAGCATGCTGCCTTCAAGCATCTATTTAAAAAAGCACATCTTGCACCGCCCTTAATCCATTTAACCCTGAGTTGACACAGCACATGTTTCAGAGAGCATGGGGTTGGGGGTAAGGTTATAGATTAACAGCATCCCAAGGCAGAAGAATTTTTCTTAGTACAGAACAAAATGGAGTCTCCTATGTCTACTTCTTTCTACACAGACACAGTAACAATCTGATCTCTCTTTCTTTTCCCCAAATTTCCCCCTTTTCTTTTTGACAAAACAGCCATCGTCTTCATGGCCCTTTCTCGATGGTCGCTGTCTCTTCGGAACTGTTGGGTACACCTGCAGAAAGGCTGTCACTTCACACTTGGAAGATTGAACAGCAGCCAGGCAGAGGCGCTCCTCATTTCCCAGACAGGGTGGCGGCCGGGCAGAGGCACTCCTCACATCCCAGATGGGGCGGCCAGGCAGAGGCACTCCTCACTTCCCAGACGGGGTGGCCGGGCGACCATAGTTACTTTAAAAGGAGCAAAACATCTCACAAACCACTTTTGCATTTGCTTTTATTTCATGCTGTTTGGAATTAATTGATTTTGTGCTCTCCCAGAATGCTCTGGTGGAGAAAGGAGACAACTAAAGGCCAGCTTCTTTTTTGGAAAATAACTTAGCTTCTAGTTTTGGAACCCTGAGGAATTTGACCCAGTGGGTATATATCCAAAGGATTATAAATCATGCTGCTATAAAGACACACTCACAGTTATGTTTATTGCGGCACTATTCACAATAGCAAAGACTTGGAACCAACCCAAATGTCCAACAATGATAGACTGGATTAAGAAAATGTGGCACATATTCACCATGGAATACTATACAGCCATAAAAAAGGATGAGTTCATGTCCTTTGTAGGGACATGGATGAAGCTGGAAACCATCATTCTCAGCAAACTATCACAAGGACAAAAAACCAAGCACTGCATGTTCTTACTCATAGGTGGGAATTGAACAATGAGAACACATGGACACAGGAAGGGGAACATGACACACCGGGGCCTGTTGTGGGGTGGGGGGAGGGGGGAGGGATAGCATCAGGAGATATACCTAATGTTAAATGACGAGTTAATGGGTGCAGCACAGCAACATGGCACGTGTATACATGTGTAACTAACCTGCACATTGTGCACATGTACCCTAAAACTTAAAGTATAACTAAAAAAAAGAAAAAAAAAA
Source organism: Homo sapiens (assembly GCF_000001405.40). NCBI lineage: Eukaryota > Metazoa > Chordata > Mammalia > Primates > Hominidae > Homo > Homo sapiens. The sequence goes on along the minus strand of NC_000023.11, from coordinate 77,065,316 downwards.
GAAAAAAAAAGAACTTAGCTTATACCATATAGTCAACCTCTCATTGTCATTGTACTTACCAACAACTTTTATTCTTTGGGTTGGTTCAAATGGCCTCCAAGTTATTGGTGTTTCTTCCCTGTGGGTGGAGCAGGTGCTCTTTTTGGAAGGTGGAAGGGATCAGGAGTTTAGTTTTGGACATGTTGAATTGAAGTCTATTCAACATCTAAATGGAAATATTGAATCGGAAATTGCATATATGAATCTAGAATCTGGAAACAGTTTTGGCTGGAGATATAATTTTTGAGTGTTTGGCAAATAGACGGCATTTTATGCTGTCAGAACAGATGAGATAAATTAGGGACTAAGTGTATAGAGAAAAGAGAGTTCTGCAAAACTTCTCAGACAAATCCTATGCGAATGGTATAGAACTGCCATTGCTATGGTTATGTCCTACTTTATTTGTGGGATATTGATGTGTAAAGAGCACTGACTGGGGAGTCAGCACATCTAGGTTCCTCTCCTGGTTCTGGCTCTGAGTTGATATGCCACCTTGAATCTGACCTTTATCTTCTTTGGTCCTCAGTTTTCACATCTATAAAGTGAGGGACTTTGCTTTCTGCCAGTGACTTTCAATATTTTTAAAAGTGGAGAAACCCATTAAAAATGAAATTCATTTAGTTTCTCTGGTTGGAAAAGCAGATTGAGTAGATGGGGGAGGGTGTGGAAGCTCAGGCCACCTCAGAGTCATCCTCTGAATCAGTTCTAGAACCCCATGACACCAAGGAATGCAGTTTGATTCTCAACTTGGTTCTCTAGCTCCTTTTAGTTCTGATATTCTGTAGTTTGAGGGTTCCCTTGGCATCAGTTTATTGATCCAATTTGCTGATCAGTTTGCTGATCCAGGGGGTCAGCAAATATTTTCTGCAAAGGGCAGTATGGTAAATATATGAGCTTTGTGGGCCATTATGTGTCTCTCATCACTGCTGCTGCCTTGTCTTCCTCCACCCATTCTACTCCTCCTCCTCCACCTCCTAAAATTCTACTAAAAGTGTAAATAACCATTCTTAGCTCATAGGCATTACAAAACAAGGACTTAGACAAAATTCAACCTGTGGGCCATAAGTTGTCAATTCCTAGATAATCTATGGTGTGACCCAAGAACTAAGACCCCTGTACACATGACCAGGTGCACAGTGGGGAGAGTGTAGACCATCCTTGATCCCCAATAAGACCTGTGTATAGCCTGTAGTTTCCAAGCTATTCCTGGATGGGCCTGGAGATGGAGTAGGTGCAGTTCACTGGTGGACTCTGAGCCTCAGGCCCCTCTGGGACTATGCTTGAAGCAACCTAATGCCCCTCCCCCACAATCTCCTTGGCTGAGCTGGGCCATTTCATGGGCACATAGCCTTAGGGAAGGCACAGCTATTTACAGTGGCCCAAACTGTCTTGGGGCCAGGAAGTGGCTCTTGGTTTTCCACACAGCTGGGAGAAGGGAGGGGCAAATGGGATCATACAAATATCAGACTCCAGGCAAAGAAGAGAGGAGACCTAATTGCTATCAGACGTCTCCACAGAGCAATAACACTGCCACCTGGTTATGAGTATCTTAGTTTTGCAGAATACAAAGAGCTTTTCCAGACAGCATGTAATTTGTCTTCACAGCACCACTGGGAGGGAAGAAAGAAAAGGAGGAGGTTTAGCTGTGGTAGTGAAAAAGGACCTCTGGCTTAAGAGTCAGGAGTCACAGCTTGGTCACTGACTTGTGAGGTAACCTTGGAGAACCCTCTTCCTCTTTCTGTGACTCACTGGTAACGTGGACCAGTAAAGTAAGATAATAAGATTGGATCAGATCAGTGGTTCTCAATGTGTGATCCTCAGAGCAGCAGCAGCAGAGTCACCTGCAAACTTTTTAGAAATGCCAATTCTCAAGCTTTATCCCATACCAAGTGAATCAGATGCTCTGGGAGTGGGGTCCAGAAATGTATGTTTTAACAAATGCTCCAGGCAAGGTGAGCCACTGGACTGAAATCATCTAATGCCTTTGTAGCTTTGATTATCTGAATGTGTAAGATAACAAATGTACAAATACATTTTAAATCACACCCTAAATATTTCAGGGATGATGGTGGTGATGATGAGGATGATAAAATGATGTTGCTGTTGACTGTGCCATACCTTAGCAGCCAGGTTCCTACTCTATGCCTACCCTGCCCACCTGTCATGGCACTGCGCTCCATCACTGCCAGCTGGGCAGGACAGCTCCCTTCATTCCTCATCCCCTATGGAGTTTCTCTCAAAGCCTATAAGATAGAGAGATATCCTCAGGAGGGAGCTTATACATGGTATGAATAGGTAAGCTAGATAAGGCAAGCTCTTCCAGATGGTTGACAGAGAGGAAGTCACAAGATGACTCTTTAACAGCCAGTAAATAGACACAGCTAGTGTTAGAGATTAAAGGGAAGTGAATTCTCACTGTGGGCTGGGGAGTTGTGGCATTTGAAAGAATTCCTAGTATTAGTGGTGGTGGTAGGGTCTTGAGTTAGGTCTTGAAGTATGGGGAAGATTTAAACACTTTTCAGGAAGGCAAGAGAATGTTAGAAGAAGTGAATGTAAAGGAGAAGGCGCAGTGGCAGAAAAAAGCATGTGACCTCAGCATACTATAGTCTTAAATATGGAAGGAGCCTTACATTTATCAAAAATTCTGGGTGATTATGTGGGTGTTGGCTGTAACTCCAGTCATTTTTTTCCACTCTGGAAAACATATTTTTTAAAAATTGAATATGGTTGACATTATATGGAGAATCTAGAAGTCACTCAAAAAACATTTATACTTTAATTTAGTAACAAATTGATTTTGACACACTTCCTAAGTAATGTAAATACTCCCCAAATTATAGTTGAATGAATTACTTATATAAAGTCATAGAGAAAGTCAATGAATGAGCTGGGACTGAAACCCAGTTCTTCTGACTTCTGGTCTAGTATGTTTCCCTTGTAATCTGTATTTGCTCTGAGGCTTCTGGAATGAAGCAGTTTGGTGAAAATACAAAGGTACAGCTGGAAGGAGACTAAGGCATGACTATAGAGAACTTGGAATGCCAAGCTGAAGCTTTTGAATTATTTCCTGTAGGTAATGAGATGCTGTTGAAGATTCTGCAGCTGAGGTGTGGCACCATCTACAATTTAGGAAGATTATTCTAATGGAGGTAGGCAGCAGTACCTGACAGACTGGAGTGGGAAAGTACTTGGAGAGAGTAAAGCAACTAATAAGTAGCCCCAGATGTGGGTGGAAATGACACAGACCTGCTCCCCTTTTCCATGCCATGTGTGCATTTATATTTTTAACGGAAGAAATGATTTAGCTGAAAAATCCAGCTTTTCTTCTGGGATTTCAGCCATTAGTGATGGGGATATGTGGGAGCTGGAGCCTTCCTGCCCTGGAATATAATGCTGTGGATTTCTCCTCCCTGGACTACACTCAGACGAGCCCTTGCTAAAGCGCAGTGCTGCTCTCTGGTTTCATTTTGCACTTAAGTTTCTATGGGATATGAGTCCAGTGGCCAAAGTTTAGGGAGTACAGAGCTCCGCCCTTTACTTCTCTCACAAAGCCCCAGGCCCTGGGAGACTGCTTGTACATGTCATCATGCCAGTTTCATCACCTAGTCTGCTCCAAGAAACCCTAGCTACAACAAAGGGCCTTACAGTTCACAGCTTCTAAGGCTCACTTATAATCTCATTTGGTTTTCACAACAGTATTGTGAGGTGGGCAAGACTTATACTCATAATTTAATGGAATGAAACTGAATACCAGGGTCAGCTAAGTAAACTGTCATGCAGCCCAGTGAGTGGCACAGCTCACTTCTTCTGCCTTCCAGGCAATATTCCATGCACCCTTTTGTGTTGTTGGGGTTGTGGTGGTCATTTTTATGAGCATACCAAAAGTTGTCTCAGATTTCTGACAGGGCATGGAAGGAAAAAGTCAGGAGGCAAGATTTCTCTTTATTTCCAGTCCAGGTCCTTTGCCTCAATATCATATTGCCTCCCTTGACCTTGGTGAAAAAACCCTTGGCCCTGCCTGCCCACATCCTTGTGCCCTCCCCCTGTCTGATGCCAGTGATACTCTAGGTGAGAATGTGTCACCTTAGTCTGCAGTTTCCTTTTTACAATTTTCCCCTTTGTGTTGGGTCTCTGGAGCAAGGGTGCAACCAAGGGGCCCCCCTTCCCTGGGCTACTCTAAGTGGTGAGGCTCACAATCCCAGATCTTCCTTGGGCAGTATAAAAAGTCAGTCATTAACTCAGAGACCAGGTCAGCACTACACACAGATAGCTTTTAAAATATGGATGGCACAGGGTCTTTGGCTTAAGCTGCTTTGGCTGATCTTTTCTAGGACTCTGACTGTGTCTTCAGTGTGAGCCAAAGGCAACACCAACCAGAGTAGCATCAGCCTGCCTTTCAGAGTTCATACAATGTCATGCTGTCTAGATTTTCATCATGAATGTTCCCAAGACTCAAATGCAAAGGGAATTGAGTTGATTTCAACTGGAAAATATTCCTGCCATCTCAACATTCTCTGGAATAACCTGCTTGCAGCTGTCATGGGGCGGCCCCCTCCCTGCAGTGCATGGTTCTTCCAAGGCTCAAGCTCCAGGGATTTGGAGGGAAAAAGGAGGAGAGGACCAGATTCTGTACTGCCACCCTCTCCAAGCCTGGGTGGTGCTTACATTTTTCTGGCCTTGAATTGGATCTCTGTGGTTGGGGTCGGAGGTAGGGAAGAGGGGCTCATGGAACAGGACCCTGCTGGGTGGATCCCTGCTTGCAGCTGGTTGTATTTCTTTAATTGATTGGCTTCCAATAGGAAGAAGTCATCTTCTGATGAAGAAGCAGATTTCCTTGGACAGAGACTCTAGCTGGCTAGGTTGCAGGAGAAGTGGGTTTAGGTCCTGGATCTGCCATCAACTTGCATTTTGGCTTTAGGCAAGTCAGCCATCACCTCTCTGTATTTCAGCTTCTTCCCTTTAAAGTGGAACTACTAATACCTGCCGTTCACATATATGGAGTAAGAACAGAGTGTGAGGGACATTGATGAATGTGCTAGAGGAAATGAAGGAATATCAGGAATGTATTCTTACCTCTCTTCCTGACCCAGGGAACTAAACTAGTTGTACTTCTTTCCTTTCACACTGTCCCATGGTGTTGGCAGAATATCAGGTGATATAGTTTAGATATTTTTCCCCTCCAAATCTCATGTTGAAATTTGATCCCCAATGTTGGAGGTGGGGCCTAGTGGGAAGTATTTGAGTCATAGGGATAGATCCTTTATGAAGGGCTTTGTGCCATCCTTGCACTAATAAATGAGTTCTTTGTTAGTTCCTGCAAGAACTGATTGTTAAAAAGAGCCTGGCACCTCCCTCCTCTTTCTCTTCCTTCCTCTCACCATGTAACATGCTGGCTTCTCTCTGCTTTTCCTTCAGGTTTCAGACATGGCCCAGGTTGAGGTATGAAAGGACAAAGCCAGGAGACCACATTTCTCTTTATTTCCAGTCCAGGGTCCCTCCCTCAATATAAGTGGAGGATTCCTGAGGCCCTCACCAGAAGCAGATGCTGGTGCCATTCTTCTTGTACAGCCTGCTGAAGTGTGAGACACATAAAACTCTTTTTAAAAATAAATTACCCAGTCTCAAGTATTCCTTTACAGCAATGAAAAGTCAACTAAGACAGCAGGGTATGGGAAACTCTCCAGAGATTTAAATGGTCAGAAGGCAAGGGGAAACATGGTTGTAAAAGTGGTAACATAACCTGGAATGAAAGTGAGGATACCCTAAAATCTTATTAGGGAAATGATTACAGCCAGCTGGAAACAAAGTCCTGTGATAATGAGAAACTAGATATTGGAATTAGAGGTGAAAGCTAGGGTGCCATGAAGGTGGAGAGTGCTGCCAAGCTCCCACCACTCTTGCATTCTGAGCACTTAAAGACTTAGCACCATGTGGATGGCACCAAGACTTACTCTATGTGCCCTCTGGAGCAGTGGCCCAAGCAGTACCTGAGAACATTTAAGCCGTAATTAAAGACCCAGTGATTGGGATTTGGGGAGGAGTGTCCCAAGGTGGTACAGGTCAGTAGTGTCCCAGGCTGTTCTCCTGAAGCCATTCTGTCCTCTATGGTCTCTGGGTCTGTGATGGGAGCAGTGGCTTTGAAGATCTCTGAAATGCCTTTTGGACCTTTCCCCTATTGTCTTAACTATCAGCATCTGGCTCCCTTTTATCTATCATATAGTAAGTGGTTACTCAGCAGCACCTTTGGATTTGTCTCTTGAAAATGCTCTTCTTTCTGGCCAGACATAGTGCTCATGCCTGTAATCTTAACACTTTGGGAGGCTGAGACAGGTGGATCATTTCAGGTCAGGAGTTTGAGACCAGTCTGGCCAACATGGTAAAACCCAATCTCTACTAAAAATACAAATACAAAAAATTAGACTGGTGTGGTGGTGGGTGCCTGTAATCCCAGCTACTTGGGAAGCTGAGACAGGAGAATCACTTGAACCCTGAAGGCAGAGGTTGCAGTGAGCTGAGATTGCACCACTTAACTGCAGCCTACGTGAAAGAATGAAACTCCATCTCAAAAGAAAAAAGAAAGAAAAAGGAAAAGAAAGAAAGAAAATGCTCTTTCCATCTCTACCAAATGGCCAGCCTGCAATTTTTTTAATTTTTGAGATTCTGCTTCCGTTTTAATTATAAATTCCAATTTTAGATTATCCTCTTGCTTCTATATGTGACTGTAAGCTGCTAAAAGCAACCACACCATTTCTGGAACACTTGGATGCTTAGAAATATCTTTTGACAGATCTCCTAGGTCATTACTCTTGTTTGTCCTTCCGCAAAGCCCTAGGGCACGGACACAATGCAGCCAAGTTCTTTGCTAAGGTGTAGCATGGATAACCTTTGCTCTAGTTCCAAATAAGTTCCTCATTTCCATCTGAGACTTTGTCAGCATGGCCTTTACTATCTGTATTTCCATTAGCATTTTGGTCACGACTACATAACCAATCTAAAAGAAGTTCCTGGTCTTCCTGTCTTATTCTGAGTCCTCCAAACTCTTTCAACCTGTGCCCATTACCCAGTTCCAAAGCTATTTGCCCATTTTCAGGTACCTTTATAGTAATAACCCACTCTTGGTACCAATTTTCTCTCTTAGTCTGTGTTGCTGTAAAGAAATACCTGAAGCTGTGCAATTTATTAAAAAACAGGTTTATTTGGCTCATGGTTCTGCAGGTTGTACAAAAAACATGGTACCATCATCTGCTTCTGGTGAGAGCTTCAGGCTGCTTCCAATCATGGCAGAAGGATAAGGGGAGCCAGCATGTTCAGGGATCACATAGTGAAAAACAAGCAAGAGAAAGAGAGATGAGACATTCCAGGCTCTTTTTAACAACCAATTTTCATGGGAATGAATAGAACAGAAAGTTACTCATTACTGCGAGGACAGCACCAAGCCATTCATGAGAGATCTTCCCCCATGACCCAAACATCTCCCATTAGGCACCACTTCCAAAATTGGGAATCAAATTTTAACATGAGCTTTGGTTGGTCAAATATTCAAACTGTAGCAGATGGCTTAAGAAAGTACAGCTTTTCTGTGAGATCTGAGAGCTCATATCCTCCCAGGAGTAGAGTAAGGTGCTTATTCTTTACAAGAACTCTTTTATGAATCTTTGTTTTAAAAAAAAAAGAAAGAAAAGAAAACCTGGGAGAGTCTGATTGGACTAGGTTTCATGTTTTCTGTTGAGCACATGCTTACTTTTGCAGTGACGGTAAGCCCATGGGTTATCTTCTGGCCTGGTTCATAGCACTTTGTATGTTGGAAAGAGCATTCATAGCCCTTCTTTCACTTGAGTTGTCCAATATTGTGAAGAGAAATAGGACCAGATTTATCATATTTATTTGACACATAAAGATACTGATGCTTAGCAAGATAAAGTGATGGAGAAGAGCCCCTAGTTATTAAATGATAACATCAGGCTGATAATTGAACAAATTTGGACAGCATGCTTTCCTCCTTTCCCGCTATTTCCAGTCTACTGTCAAGTCTGGATGATTCCCTTTCCTCTGTTGTTCTGTTTTTTTTTTTTGTATAAATTTAGGGAGTATAATACAGTTTTGATATAGGGATATACTGTTAGTGGTGACCTCTAGGCTTTTAGTGTAACCATCACATGAATAGTGTACATTATACCGTTAGTAATTTCTTATCCCTCAACACCTCTCACCCTTCCAAGTCTCCAATGTCTACTATTCCACACTCTATGTCCATGTGTGCACATTATCTATTAATGGCAAAAACTGCACTTACATTTGCACCAACCTATATAGCCCCTGATTATAAGTGAAAAAATGTGGTATCTGACTTTCTGTTTCTAAGTTGTTCACTTAAAATAATGGCCACTAGTTCCATCTGTGTTTCTGCAAAAACCATTATTTTATTCTTTTTTATGACTGAGTAGTATTTCATGGTATACATATACTACATTTTCTTTATCTAATCCTCCATTGATGGACACTTAGTTTGATTTCATATCTTTGCTATTGTGAATAGTGCTGTGATAAACATGTGAGTGCAGATACCTTTTTGATATAATAATTTGTTTTCCTTTTGGTAGATACCCAGTAGTGGGATTGCTGGACGAAATGGTAGTTCTATTTTTAGTTCTTTGAGAAATCCCCATATAGTTTTCCATAGAGGTTGTGCTAATTTACATTTCCCCCAACAGTGTGTAAATGTTCCCTTTTCTCTGCATCTTTGTCAACATCTGTTGTTTTTTGGCTTTTTAATAATAGCTATTCTGACTGTGTACCTACCTTGTCTTAATCAGTCTACTTTTCTCCATCATCATTGTCACTGTGTCCCAAGCCCTTCAATCCACCCTTCAATCTATTTTCCATGCAGCAGTCAGAATAGTCTTTCTAATATGTAAAGCTGGTCATGACACTCTCCTATTTATTACATTTCCAGTTGCTCTTAGGATAAAGAACAATCTCTTGAACCCAGCCTATACATCTCCACATGGTATTACTAACTTAGCTCTCCACCCCTATCTCTTTCCATCCCTCCTTTGCATTCTTCTGTTCAATAACTTTGACATTTTTAAGGTTTTTGAAGATTCTTGGCTTTCTTCTGACTCCAATCTGTGCACTTCCTGTTCCCTCTGCATACCATGCTCTATTCCCCACTCCTCTTCACTTGGCAACCTTTTACTTGTCCTTCAAGACCTATCTCCAGCATTGCCTTCTCAGGGAAATTTTCACTGAAATTTCTTTCTACCCAAGCTGAGTTAAGTGTTCCTTCTCTGAACTTCCATGATACCCAGAACTTCTTATTAATATAGCTGTTATTATGCCATATTATAATCATCCATTGATATGTATTTTCCAGTAGATTGTGAGTACCATGAGATCAAGAGCCATGTCAATTTTAACTGTCAACAATTCCTCAGCAGCTAGCATAGGGTGTGGTGCAAAATGGATGCTTATAGGTATTTCTTGATTAATTGGATGAATGAGTGCATGAAGAAATGTGAGAATAAATGAATGATGAATACCATGTCACCCACCCTGCACCCTAGTGTTTTTTCTACTTGGAAGCAACATATTGGAATAAAAAGATAGTCATTTCGCCTTCTGGTTATCATTCTCAGTGAATATTTAGGGCACGTTTACTAGTAATAGGGCCTTAATCTTGGAGGAAGAGGCCTGGCATCTGTTGTGTGCCAGGCACACCCCTAAACTATCCACATACAATGCATTCATTCACCAGTTAAATCTTTAGTACCTACCCTATGCCAGTGGAAACTATGATTATCCTTATTTTATGGATTAGGAAACTGAAGATCAGAGAGGCTAAGTCATTTGCCAAAGACCACACAACCATTAAGTGGTAAAGCTGGGATTTAAGTGGTAAAGCTGGGATTTAAGTGGTAAAGCTCAGAAGCTGGGATTTGAATCTAACCTTGGGTGATTCTAAAACATACCTGCTGTATTGAACTAACCCAGACTATGGTTACTTGAGAACAAGATCTGTTCCCTATTCTCTGCATTATAGGATACCCAACAAAAGATTAACACTTAAATAATGATGTTATCAATGACTCATTAAGGCAATAGCTTTTCAGCAGTTCATAGATTTACAGAATGGAACAAATTTCTATGCACTGCCTTATCTTAGTCCTCTTCTCCTGGCAGCTGAAATAGAAATTTGTAATAGAGGCCAGTACAGAAAAAAAGGCTAGTATAATGGAAATTCCATGTTTGAACCCTATCTTAGGGGGCAGCTGCAGAGGAAAGGCTGGGGCTGCCTTTCTCAGAGCTTGGCTATAAGGATCCGACTGAGATTTTCTCTTATTATAATAATGACTCTCGGTTGTATAAGGAAATACAGTTTACAGATAATTTTTATATCTCTTATTGTATTTGAAACTTAGAACTTCATTTGATGGGTGAAGAAACAGGCTCAAAGATACCGTGTCGCTTGGTTAAGGTAACACAAAACTGGGATTTATAGGTTTCTCAACTCTAAAAAAGACTACACAAATAGAAGGACTTAATTTTATTGGGCTTATAATAATTTGCTGGGAAGAGAGGCTGGGCTGTTTCTCACAGCTATATGTGTGTTAGAAGACAAGTAGTGGAAGAGTCAGGCTGTAGACTGCTTGTAAACCAAGCATGAGTTTTTTACTTTCTTTGCTGTGTGAGGTATAGTCTGCTACCTGCTCAATATTAGTTCATCTATTCTGTAGTAATGAAAATTTTAACTGAATGCAAGGCAGCCCAGCTCAGGACTGTGTTTCCAAGCCTCTGTTGCAGCTAGGTGTTACCATTTGACTATGTTCTGGCCAGTGCCAGTGATGTTTACAACTTTTGCATTGCCTTTCTTTACTTCCTCTTTTTTTAAAAAATAAATTTGTTGTTTTTATTTAAGATATACAACAAGATGTAATAAGATATATGGTTACTATAGTGGAACAAATTAACCTATCCATCATCTAACGTAGTTACTCATTTCCCCCTCTACCCCTGGTAAGAACAGCTATAATCTATTCATTTAGCTAAAGTACTGAATAAAATACACTATTATTAATTATAGTCCTCATGTTGTACATTAGATCTTTCAAATTATTCATCCTACATATTTGCTACTTTGTATCCTTTGATCTACATCTCCCTATTTCCTACTTCTTTCTCACCCTGGTAACCACTGTTTTATTCTATATCTCTATATACTTGACCTATTTTTTTAATCACACATATAAATGAGATTATGCAATATTCTTCTTTCTGTGTCTGGCTTATTTTACTTAGCATAATGTCCTCCAGGTCCATCCATGTTGTGGGAAATGGCAGGATCTTCTCCTTTATTAAGGCTGAATGATACTCCATTGTATATGTACAGCCATGTATTACTTAATGATGGGAATACATTCTGATAAATGTGTTGTTAGGTGATTTCATCATTGTGGGGACAACATAGAGTGTACTTTCACAAACCTAGATGGTGTAATCTACTATACACTTAAGCTATATTGTATAACTTATTGTTCCTAGGCCATACACATGTACAGCCTGGAAGTGTACTGAGTACTGTAGGCAATTGTTACACAATAGTGTTTGTGTATCTAAACATAGAAAAGTACAGTAAAAGTAAGGTATTAAAGTCTTATGGGACCACCATTGTATATACAGTTCATTGTTGATCAAAAGTCCATTATGCAATGCATAACTGTATACCACAGTTTCTTTATTCATTTGTCCGCTGATGGATACCTAGGTTGTTTTTATATCTTGGCTATTGTGAATAATGCTGCAATGAACATGAAAGCGCAGACATCTTTATGAAGTTGTGATTTCACTTCCTTTTGGTATGTACCCAGAATAAGGATTGCTGGGTCATATGGCAGTTCTAATTTTATTTATTTAGGAACCTCCATACTATTTTCCTTAATAGCTGCACCAATTTACATTCCCACCAGTGGTATACAAGAGTTCCCGTTTCTCCATATCCTCACCAACACTTGTTATTGCTTGTCTTTTTGAAAATAGCTATCCTTATGGGTGTGTGGATTTGATTTGCATTTCCTTGATAATGAATAATAGTGAGCATCTTTTCATGTACCTGTTGACCATTTCTATGTCGTCTTTGGAAAAATGTCTATTTAAGTTCTTTGCCCATTTTAAAATTTGGTTATATATTGTCTATTGAGTTGCATGTGTTCTTTATAAATCATGACTATTAACCTCATTTTACTTATGGTTTACAAATATTTCTCTTCAAATATATAGGTTGCCCTTTCATTTTTTTGGCTGTTTTTGATGCTATGCAGAAGGTTAGTTTGATATAGACCTATTTATTTATTTTTGTTTTGTAGCTTCAGATTTTGGTGTGATATCCAAGAAATTGTTGCCAAGACCAATGTCAAGGAGATTTTCTCCTATGTTTTCTTCTAAGAATTTTATGGTTTCAGGTCTCACATTTAGGTCTCTTATCCATTTTGAATTAACTTTTGTATATGGTGAGTGATAAAGGTTTAATTTCATTTTTTTTGTGTATGGAAATCCAGTTTTCTCAGCACCATTTATTGTAGAGACTATCCTTTTCTCATTGTGTCTTTTGGGTGCCCTTGTTGAAATTAGTTGATGATTTTTTAAAATTTATTTCTGGTCTCTCTATTTTATTCCACTGATCTATGTGTCTGTTTTTATACAAGTACCACATTGTTTTGATTATTACAATTTTGTAATATAACTTGAAATCAGGAAGTGTGATGCCTCCAACTTCGTTTTTTCTTCTTAAAATTATTTTGGCTATTTGAAGTCTTTTGTGTTGTGGCTCCATTTGAATTTTAGGATTGCTTTTCCTATTTCTGTGAGGAATGCCATTGGAATGTTGATACAGATTGCATTGAATTTTTATATTGCTTTAGGTAGTATAAACATTTTAACAATATTTCTTCTTTTGATCATTGAGTATGGAATATAATTACATCTAATTGCATCCTCTTCAATTTATTTTATTAATGTTTGTTTTTCTTTATTTTATTTATTATTATTATACTTTAAGTTTTAGGGTACACGTGCACTATGTGCAGGTTAGTTACATATGTATACATGTGCCATGCTGGTGTGCTGCACCCACTAAGCCGTCATCTAGCATTAGGTATCTCTCCCAATGCTATCCCTCCCCCTCCCCCCACCCCACAACAGTCCCCAGAGTGTGATGTTCCCCTTCTGTGTCCATGTGTTCTCATTTTTCAATTCCCACCTATGAGTGAGAATATGCAGTGTTTGGTTTTTTGTTCTTGTGATAGTTTACTGAGAATGATGATTTCCAGTTTCATCCATGTCCCTTCAAAGGACATGAACTCATCATTTCTTATGGCTGCATAGTATTCCATGGTGTATATGTGCCACATTTTCTTAATCCAGTCTATCATTGTTGGACATTTGGGTTGGTTCCAAGTCTTTGCTATTGTGAATAATGCCACAATAAACATAAGTGTGCATGTGTCTTTATAGCAGCATGATTTATAGTCCTTTGGGTATATACCCAGTAATGGGATGGCTGGGTCAAACGGTATTTCTAGTTCTAGATCCCTGAGGAATGGCCACACTGACTTCCACAATGGTTGAACTAGTTTACAGGCCCACCAACAGTGTAAAACTGTTCCTATTTCTCCACATCCTCTCCAGCACCTGTTGTTTCCTGACTTTTTAATGATTGCCATTCTAATTGGTGTGAGACAGTATCTCATTGTGGTTTTGATTTGCATTTCTCTGATGGCCAGTGATGATGAGCATCTTTTCATGTGTTTTCTGGCTGCATAAATGTCTCCTTTTGAGAAGTGTCTGTTCGTGTCCTTCACCCACTTTTTGACGGGGTTGTTTGTTTTTTTTCTTGTAAATTTGTTTGAGTTCATTGTAGATTCTGAATATTAGCCCTTTGTCAGATGAGTAGGTTGCGAAAATTTTCTCCCATTTTGTAGGTTGCCTGTTCACTCTGATGGTAGTTTCTTTTGCTGTGCAGAAGCTCTTTAGTTTAATTAGATCCCATGTGTCAATTTTGGCTTTTGTTGCCATTGCTTTTGGTGTTTTAGACATGAAGTCCTTGCCCATGCCTATGTCCTGAATGGTAATGCCTAGGTTTTCTTCTAGGGTTTTTATGATTTCAGGTCTAACGTTTAAGTCTTTAATCCAACTTGAATTGATTTTTGTATAAGGTGTAAGGAAGGGATCCAGTTTCAGCTTTGTACCTATGGCTAGCCAGTTTTCCCAGCATCATTTATTAAATAGGGAATCCCTTCCCCTTTGCTTGCTTTTCTCAGGTTTGTCAAAGATCAGGTAGTTGTAGATATGCAGCGTTATTTCTGAGGGCTCTGTTCTGTTCCATTGATCTATATCTCTGTTTTGGTACCAGTACCATGCTGTTTTGGTTACTGTAGCCTTGTAGTATAGTTTGAAGTCGGGTAGTGTGATGCCTCCAGCTTGTTTCTTTTGGCTTAGGATTGACTTGGTGATGTGGGCTCTTTTATGGTTCCATATGAACTTTAAAGTAGTTTTTTCCAATTCTGTAGAAAGTCATTGGTAGCTTGATGGGGATGGCATTGAATCTATAAATTCCCTTGGGCAGTATGGCCATTTTCACAATATTGATTCTTCCTACCCATGAGCATGGAATATTCTTCCATTTGTTTGTATCCTCTTTTATTTCCTTGAGCAGTGGTTTGTAGTTCTCCTTGAAGAGGTCCTTCACATCCTTGTAAGTTGGATTCCAAGGTATTTTATTCTCTTTGAAGCAATTGTGAATGGGAGTTCCCTCATGATTTGGCTCTCTGTTTGTCTGTTGTTCGTGTATAAGAATGCTTGTGATTTTTGTACATTGATTTTGTATCCTGAGACTTTGCTGAAGTTGCTTATCAGCTTAAGGAGATTTTGGGTTGAGACAATGGAGTTTTCTAGATATACAATCATGTCATCTGCAAACAGGGACAATTTGACTTCCTCTTTTCCTAATTGAATAACTTTTATTTCCTTCTCCTGCCTAATTGCCCTGGCCAGAACTTCCAACACTATGTTGAATAGGAGTGGTGAGAGAGGGCATCCCTGTCTTGTGCCAGTTTTCAAAGGGAATGCTTCCAGTTTCTGCCCATTCAGTATGATATTGGCTGTGCATTTGCCATAGCTAGCTCTTATTATTTTGAGATACATCCCATCAATTCCTAATTTATTGAGAGTTTTTAACATGAAGCGTGTTGAATTTTGTCAAAGGCCTTTTCTGCATCTATTGAGATAATCACGTGGTTTTTGTCTTTGGCTCTGTTTATATGCTGGATTACATTTATTGATTTGTGTATATTGAACCAGCCTTGCATCCCAGGGATGAAGCCCACTTGATCATGTTGGATAAGCTTTTTGATGTGCTGCTGAATTCAGTTTGCCAGTATTTTATTGAGGATTTTTGCATCAATGTTCATCAAGGATATTGGTCTAACATTCTCTTTTTTGGTTGTGTCTCTGCCTGGCTTTGGTATCAGGATGATGCTGGCCTCATAAAATGAGTTAGGGAGGATTCCCTCCTTTTCTATTGACTGGAATAGTTTCAGAAGGAATGGTACCAGTTCCTCCTTGTACCTCTGGTAGAATTCAGCTGTGAATCCATCTGGTCCTGGACTCTTTTTGGTTGGTAAGCTATTGATTATTGCCATAATTTCAGATCCTGTTATTGGTTTATTCAGAGATTCAACTTCTTCCTGGTTTAGTCTTGGGAGAGTGTATTTGTCCAGGAATTTATCCATTTCTTCTAGATTTTCTAGTTTATTTGCATAGAGGTGTTTGTAGTATTCTCTGATGGTAGTTTGTATTTCTGTAGGATTGGTGGTGATATCCCCTTTATCATTTTTTATTGCGTCTATTTGATTCTTCTCTCTTTTTTTCTTTATTTGTCTTGCTAGCGGTCTATCAATTTTGTTGATCCTTTCAAAAAACCAGCTCCTGGATTCGTTAATTTTTTGAAGGGTTTTTTTGTGTCTCTATTTCCTTCAGTTCTGCTCTGATTTTAGTTATTTCTTGCCTTCTGCTAGCTTTTGAATGTGTTTGCTCTTGCTTTTCTAGTTCTTTTAATTGTGTTGCTAGGTTGTCAATTTTGGATCTTTCCTGCTTTCTCTTGTGGGCATTTAGTGCTATAAATTTCCCTCTACACACTGCTTTGAATGTGTCCCAGAGATTCTGGTATGTTGTGTCTTTGTTCTCGTTGGTTTCAAAGAACATCTTTATTTCTGCCTTCATTTTGTTATGTACCCAGTAGTCATTCAGGAGCAGGTTGTTCAGTTTCCATGTAGTTGAGCGGTTTTGAGTGAGATTCTTAATCCTGAGTTCTAGTTTGATTGCACTGTGGTCTGAGAGATAGTTTGTTATAATTTCTGTTGTTTTACATTTGGTGAAGAGAGCTTTACTTCCAAGTATGTGGTCAGTTTTGGAATAGGTGTGGTGTGGTGCTGAAAAAAATGTATATTCTGTTGATTTGGGGTGGAGAGTTCTGTAGATGTCTTTTAGGTCCTCTTGGTGCAGAGCTGATTTCAATTCCTGGGTATCCTTGTTGACTTTCTGTCTCATTGATCTGTCTAATGTTGACAGTGGGGTGTTAAAGTCTCCCATTATTAATGTGTGGGAGTCTAAGTCTCTTTGTAGGTCACTCAGGACTTGCTTTATGAATCTGGGTGCTCCTGTATTGGGTGCATATATATTTAGGATAGTTAGCTCTTCTTGTTGAATTGGTCCCTTTACCGTTAAGTAATGGCTTTCTTTGTCTCTTTTGATCTTTGTTGGTTTAAAGTCTGTTTTATCAGAGACTAGGATTGCAACCCCTGCCTTTTTTTGTTTTCCATTTGCTTGGTAGATCTTCCTCCATCCTTTTATTTTGAGCCTATGTGTGTCTCTGCACGTGAGATGGGTTTCCTGAATACAGCACACTTATGGGTCTTGACTCTTTATCCAATTTGCCAGTCTGTGTCTTTTAATTGGAGCATTTAGTCCATTTACATTTAAATTTAATATTGTTATGTATGAATTTGATCCTGTCATTGTGATGTTAGCTTGTTAGTTTGCTCATTAGTTGATGCAGTTTCTTCCTAGTCTCAATGGTCTTTCCATTTTGGCATGATTTTGCAGTGGCTGGTACCGGTTGTTCCTTTCCTTGTTTAGGGCTTCCTTCAGGAGCTCTTGTCAGTCAGGCCTGGTGGTGACAAAATCAGCATTTGCTTTTCTGTAAAGGATTTTATTTCTCCTTCACTTATGAAGCTTAGTTTGGTTGGATATGAAATTCTGGGTTGAAAATTCTTTTCTTTAAGAATGTTGAATACAGGCCCCCACTCTCTTCTGGCTTGTAGAGTTTCTGCAGAGAGATCTGCTGTTAGTCTGATGGGCTTCCCTTTGAGGGTAACCCGACCTTACTCTCTGGCTGCCCTTAACATTTTTTCCTTCATTTCAACTTTGGTGAATCTGACAATTATGTGTCTTGGAGTTGCTCTTCTCGAGGAGTATCTTTGTGGCGTTCTCTGTATTTCCTGAATCTGAATGTTGGCCTGCCTTGCTAGATTGGGGAAGTTCTCCTGGATAATATCCTGCAGAGTGTTTTCCAACTTGGTTCCATTCTCCCCGTCACTTTCAGATACACCAATCAGAGGTAGATTTGGTCTTTTCACATAGTCCGATATTTCTTGGAGGCTTTGATCATTTCTTTTTATTCTTTTTTCTCTAAACTTCCCTTCTCACTTCATTTAATTCATTTCATCTTCCATCGCTGAAACCGTTTCTTCCAGTTGATCACATCGGCTCCTGAGGCATCTGCATTCTTCATGTAGTTCTCGAGCCTTGGTTTTCAGCTCCATCAGCTCCTTTAAGCACTCCTCTGTTTTGGTTATTCTAGTTATACATTCTTCTAAACTTTTTTCAGAATTTTCAACTTCTTTGCCTTTGTTTTGAATGTCCTCCCATAGCTCGGAGTAATTTGATCGTCTGAAGCCTTCTTCTCTCAGCTCGTCAAGGTCATTCTCGGTCCACCTTTGTTCTGTTGCTAGTGAGGAGCTGCGTTCCTTTGGAGGAGGAGAGGGGCTCTGCTTTTTAGAGTTTCCAGTTTTTCCTGCTCTGTTTTTTCCCCATCTTTGTGGTTTTATCTACTTTTGGTCTTTGATGATGGTGATGTACAGATAGGTTTTTGGTGTGGATGTCCTTTCTGTTTGTTAGTTTTCCTTCTAACACACAGGACCCTTAGCTGCAGGTCTGTTGGAGTACTGTGCCGTGTGAGGTGTCAGTCTGCCCTTGCTGTGGGGTGCCTCCCAGTTAGGCTGCTCGGGGGTCAGGGGTCAGGGACCCACTTGAGGAGGCAGTCTGCTCATTCTCAGATTTCCAGCTGCGTGCTGGAAGAACCACTGCTTTCTTCAAAGCTGTCAGACAGGGACATTTAAGTCTGCAGAGGTTACTGCTGTCTTTTTGTTTGTCTGTACCCTGCCCCCAGAGGTGGAGCCTACCGAGGCAGGCAGGCCTCCTTGAGCTGTGGTGGGCTCCACCCAGTTGGAGCTTCCCGGCTGCTTTGTTTACCTAAGCAAGCCTGGGCATTGGCGGGCGCCCCTCCCCCAGCCTGGCTGCCGCCTTGCAGTTTGATCTCAGACTGCTGTGCTAGTAATTAGCGAGACTGCGAGGGCGTAGGACCCTCTGAGCCAGGTGCCAGATATAATCTCGTGGTGCGCCGTGTTTTAAGCCGGTCGGAAAAGCGCAGTATTCGGGTGGGAGTGACCCGATTTTCCAGGTGCCATCTGTCACCACTTTCTTTGACTAGGAAAGGGAACTCCCTGACCCCTTGGGCTTCCCGAGAGAGGGAATGCCTCGCCCTGCTTCGGCTGGCGCACGGTGCGCGCATTCACTGACCTGCGCCCACTGTCTGGCACTCCCTAGTGAGATGAACCCGGTACTTCAGATGGAAATGCAGAAATCACCGGTCTTCTGCGTTGCTCACGCTGGGAGCTGTAGACCGGAGCTGTTCCTATTTGGCCATCTTGGCTCCTCCCCCTATTTTATTAATGTTTTGTAGTTTTCAGTGTACAGGTTTTTTACCTCCTTGGATAAATTTACTTGTAAGTATTCTATTTTCTTTGATGTTATTGTAAATGGGATTGGTTTCTTGGTTTTCTTTTCAGTTAATTCCTTATGTGTATACAAATGCCACAGATTTTTGTATGTTGATTTTATATCCTGCAACTTTGCTGAATTTGTTTATTAGATCTAATAGTTTTTTGGTGGCGTCTTTGGGGGTTTCTACATATATGATCATGTCATCTTCAAATGGAGATAATTTTCCTTCTTTCTTTCTGATTTGTTTTTTTAGGTCTTATTTTTGTCTATTTGCTCTTGATAGCACTCCCACTAGTATGCTGAATAGAAGTGGCAAAAGTGGCCATCCTTGTTTTGCATCAGGTAGCAGAGGAAAGAAAGGCTTTTAGTTTCTCCTCATTGATTATGATGTTAGCTGTGGGTTTTTCATAAATGGCCTTTATTATGCTGAGGAATTTTCCTTCCATATCTAAACTGTTAAGGGTCTTTGTCAGTAAAGAATATTAAACTTTGTTGAACACTTTTTATGTCAATTGATGATCATGCTGTTTTTGTCTTTCAGTCTGTTGATGTGATGCAACACATTGATTGATTTGCATGTATTAAACCAGCTGTGCATACCAGGGTAAATCCCACTTGATCACGATGTATAATCTTTTTGATGTGCTGTTTAATTCAGTATGCTAACATGGTATTAAGGATTTCTGCATCGACGTTTATAAGAAATATTGGCCTTTAGTGTTCTTTCATTGTGTTGTCTTTGTCTGGCTTAGGTTTCAATGTTATGCTGGCCTTATAAGATGTGTTGGGAAGCATTCTCTCCAACAATACTTTTTTGAGGAGTTTAAGAAATATTAGTATTAATTCTTCTCTGAATTGTTGGTGGATTTCAGCTGTAAAACCATCTGGTCCAGGGCTTCTCTTTGAGGGGAGGTTTACAATTAATATTACAATCTCTTTGCTAGTGGTTTATTCAGGCTTTCTGTTTCTTCCTGATTCAACCTTGATAGGTTGTATTTTTTCTAGAAATTTATACATTTTCTGTAGGTTATCAGATTTTTTGGCATATAATTGTTTATGACAGCTTCATATAACCCTTTTTCATTTGCCCAGCTGAGATCAGAAGGACCATATGACCCTTTATATTTCTAATTTGTTTGTTGTAATTTATCCACTTTCTGTTAGTTTGTTCTTGTTTTTCTATTTCCATGAGACGTAAGGTTTGGCTATTTAGTTGAGATCTTCTCTTTTTAAATGAAGACACTTATCACTATAAATTTCCCTCCTAGAACTGCTTTTGCTGCATCTATAGGTTTTGGCATGTTATGTTTCCATTGTCATTTTTCTCAAGGTTTTAAAAATTTCCCTTTTGATTTCCTTCTTGACACATTTGTTAATCAGGAGCATTTTTTTAATTTTTACGCATTAGTGAATTTTCCAAAATTGTTACTGATTTCTAGTTTTCTGTCATTGTGGTGGGAAACAGTATGTGATACAATTTTGATCTTCTTAAATTTGTTAAGACTTGTTTTGTGACATACTATACGGTCTTTCAAGGGGAATGTAACATATACACTAGAGAAGAATATGTATTCTGCTGCATTTGGATAGAAGGTTTTGTATATATCCTTTAGGTCCATTTTGTCTAAAGCGCAGTTTACTTTCAGCAGTTCCTTATTAATTTTATGTCTGGTTAATCTGTTCATTGTTGAAAGTGGGGTATTAATGCCCCCCAATATTATTGTATTGATATCTATTTTTTCTTTATGTTCATTAATGTTTGCTTTATATACTTAGGTGTTCTAATGTTGAGTGGATCTACATGTACAGTTGTTATATTTTCTTGATGAATTGAGCCCTGTATCATTAAATAATGACCATGTTTTTTTTGACAGTTTTTGAATTGAAGTCTATTTTACTATAGCCACTTCTACCCTCATTTGATTATCATTGTCATGGAATATCTTTTTCCATCCCTTCACTTTCAGCCTATGTCCTTAAGGCTAACGTAGATCTCTTGTGGGCAGCATATAGTTAGTTGCGTCTTGTTTCTTTAAGTCCATTCAGCCACTCTATATCTTTTGATTGGAGAATTTAACTCATTGACATTCAGAGTAATTGACATGTAAGGACTTACTACTGTCATTTTGTTAACTATTTTCTGCTTGTTTTGTAGAACCTTTGTTTCTTCTCCTGTTGTTTATCTTTGTGATTTGGTTATTTTCTGTAGTGCTGTTTTGATTCCTTTCATTAAATTTTTTGTGTATATGCTATAGTTTTTGCTTTATGGTTACCACGAGGCTTACATAAAATATCTTATAGTTATAATAGAATATTTTGCAGCAATAACAACTTAACTTCAGTAGCATACAAAAATTCTAGAATGTTACCTTCCGCCTGATAATTTGTCATTTTGGTGCCAGAGTTTATATGTTTTTGTATTATATATTTCTTTTTTAAAATTTTATCTTATTATTTTAATTTTTAAATTTCTATTTTAGGCTCAGGGCTACATACGCAGGTTTGTTATATCACTAAATTGTATGTCATAAAGGTTTGGTGTGCAGATTATTTCATCACCCAGGTATTAAGTATAGTACCCAATAGGTAGCTTTTCAATCCACTTCCTCCCCCCACATTCCAGCCTCAAGTAAACCCTGGTGTCTGTTTTTTCCTTCTTTGTGTCCATGTGTACTCAATGTTTAGCTCCCACTTAAAAGTGAGAACATGTGATATTTGGTTTTCTGTTTCTGCATAGGTTTGCTTAGGGCAATAGCCTTTAGCTCCATCTATGTTGCTGCAAAGGACATGATCTCATTATTCTTTCTTATGGCTGGATAAAGAAATATAGCACATTTTCTTTATCCAGACCACCGGTAATGGGCAGTTAGGTTGATTCCACGACTTTGTTATTGTGAATAGTGCTGCAATGAACATGTGTCTTTATGGCAGAAGGATTTTTATGGTAGAAAGATTTTTATTCCTTTGGATATATACCCAATAATGGGATTGCTGGGTCAATGGTACTTCTGTTTTTACGTCTCTGAGAAACCAACATCCTGCTATCCACAATGGTTGAATTAATTTACATTCTCACCAGCACTGTATAAGCCTACCTATGTTTCTACAGCCTCACCAGCATCTGCTATTTTTTGACTTTTAATAGTAGTCGTTCTGACTGGTATGAGATACCATCTAATTGTGGTTTTGAATTGCACTTCCCTAATGATTAGTGATGTTAAGCATTTTTTCATATGCTTGTTGGCCACATGTATGTCTTCTTTTGAAAAGTGTCTGCTCACATCCTTTGCCCACTTTTTAGTGGGATTGTTTGTTTTTTGCTTGTTAATTCATTTAAGTATCTTATAGATTCTGGATGTCAGATCTTTGTCAGACTTGTAGTTTGCAAATATTTTCTCCCATTCCGTATGTTGTCTACTTACTCTGTTGATAGCTTATTTTGTTGTGAGGAAATTTTTTTTAGTTTAGTTAGATCCCTTTTATCAATTTTTGTTTTGTTGAAATTACTTTTGGCAACCCATCATAAAATCTTTGCCAGGTCCTATGTCTAGAATGGTATTGCCTAGGTTAGCTTTCAGGGTTTCTATATTTGTAGGTTTTACATTTAAGTCTTAAACCCATTTGAGTTGATTTTTATATATGATGTAATGAAGGAGACCAGCTTTAATATTCTGCCTGTGGCTAGCCAGTTATCCCAGTACAATTCATTGAATAGTGAGCCCTTTCCCCATTGCTTGTTTATATAAACTTTATGAAAGTTCAGCTGGTTTTATGTGTGTAGCTTTATTTCTGGGATATCTATTCTGTTCCATTGTTCTGTGTGTCTGTTTGTGCACTGGTACTATGCTATTTTGGTTACTTTAGCCTTGTAATATAGTTTGAAGTCAGGTAATGTTATACTTTCAGCTTTGTTCTTTTTGCTTAGGATTTCTTCGGCTATTCAGGCTCTTTTTTTAGTTCCATATGAATTTTAAAATAGTTTTTTCAATTGCTAAAAATGACATTGGTAGTTTGATAGGAACAGTGTCAAATCCATAGATTGCTCTGGTCAGTATGGCCATTTTAACAATATTGATTCTTCCAATCCATAAATATAGAATGTTTTTCCATTTGTTTGTGTCATCTCTGATTTCTTTGAGCACTGTTTTGTAATTCTCATTGTAGAGATCTTTCACCTCCCTGGTTAGCTATATTTCTAGGTATTTTATTCATTTTATCATGATTATTAGTTGGATTGCATTTTTGATTTTGCTGTCAGCTTAGAGATTGTTCGTTGAAAGAAATGCTATGGAGTTTTGTATATTCATTTTGTAGCCTGGAACTTTGCTGGAATTGGTTATCAGATCTAGGAGCTTTTGAGTGAAGACTGTGAGATTTACCTGGTGTAGAATCATGTTGTCTGCAAAAAGAGATAGTTTGACTTCCTCTCTTCCTATTTGGGTGCCTTTTATTTCTTTCCTTTGTGTGATCGCTCTGGCAAGGGCTTCCAGTACTATGTTGAATAACAGTTGTGAGAATGGGCATCCTTGTTTTATTACAGGTCTCAAGGGGAATGCTTCCAGTGTTTTGCTCATTCAGTATGATGTTGACTATGGGTTTGTCATACATGGCTCTTATTATTTTGAGATATGTTTCTTCAATGCCTAGTTTGTTGATGGCTTTTAAAATGAATACATGTTGAATTTCATTGAAATCCTTTTCTATATCTATTGAGATAATCATGTTTATATTTTTAGTTCAGTTTATGTGGTGAGTTACATCTATTTATTTGTGTATGTTGAACGAAACTTACACCCCAAGGATAAAGCCTTCCTGATCTTGGAGGCTTAGATTTTTTCATGTTTTGCTGGAGTTGTTTTGCTAATATTTTATTGAGTATTTCTGCACCTATGTTCATCAATAATATTGGCCTAAACTTGTTTTGTTGTGCCTCTGCCAGGTTTTGGTATCAGGATTCTGCTGGCCTCATAGAATGAGTAAGGGAGGAGTCCCTCCTCAATTTTATGAAAGAGTTTCGGTAGGAATTGTTTCAGTTTTTCTCTACATGTCTGGTAGGATTTGGCTGTGAACCCATCTGGTATTGAGCTTTTCCTGGTTGGTAGGCTTTTTATTATTGATTCAGTTTTGGACCTTGATATTGGTCTGTCTGGGGATTCAATTTCCCCTTGGTTTTATTATGGAAAATTATATGTTTTAAGAAATGTGTCCATTTTAAGGTTTTCTAGTTTGTGTGCATAAAGCTATTCACACTACTTCTTAGGAGTTTTTTTTTTGTATTTCTGTGTGATCAGAAACACTTTGTCATTTGTGATTGTGTTTATTTGGATCTTCTTTTGTTTTTCCTTATTATTCTAGCTAACAATCTATCAATCTTATGTATTCTTTCAGAATACTAGTTCTTGGATTTGTTGACCCTTTTTTCATTATACTTTAAGTTTTAGGGTACATGTGCACAATGTGCAGGTTTCTTACATATATATACATGTGCCATGTTAGTGTGCTGCACCCATTAACTCGTCATTTAACATTAGGTATATCTCCTAATGCTATCCCTCCCCCCTCCCCCCACCTCACAACAGGCCCCTGTGTGTGATGTTCCCGTTCCTGTGTCCATGTGTTCTCATTGTTCAATTCCCACCTATGAGTGAGAACATGTGGTGTCTGGCTTTTTGTCCTTGTGATAGTTTGCTGAGAATGATGGTTTCCAGCTTCATCCATGTCCCTACAAAGGACATGAACTCATCATTTTTTATGGCTGCATAGTATTCCATGGTGTATATGTGCCACATTTTCTTAATCCAGTCTATCATTGATGGACATTTGGGTTAGTTCCAAGTCTTTGCTATTGTAAATAGTGCCATAATAAACATACGTGTGCATGTGTCTTTATAGCAGCATGATTTATAATCTTTTGGGCATATACCCAGTAATGGGATGGCTGGGTCAAATGGTATTTCTAGTTCTAGATCCCTGAGGAATCGCCACACTGACTTCCACAATGGTTGAACTAGTTTACAGTCCCACCAACAGTGTAAAAGTGTTCCTACTTCTCCACATCTTCTCCAGCACCTGTTGTTTCCTGACTTTTTAATGATCGCCATTCTAACTGGTGTGAGATGGTATCTCATTGTGGTTTTGATTTGCATTTGTCTGATGGCCAGTGATGATGAGCAGTTTTTCATGTGTCTTTTGGCTGCATAAATGTCTTCTTTTGAGAAGTGTCTGTTCATATCCTTCACCCACTTTTTGATGGGGTTTTTTGTTTTTTTCTTGTAAATTTGTTGGAGTTCATTGCAGATTCTGGATATTAGCCCTTTGTCAGATGAGTAGATTGCAAAAATTTTCTCCCATTCTGTAGGTTGCCTGTTCACTCTGCTGGTAGTTTCTTTTGCTGTGCAGATGCTCTTTAGTTTAATTAGATCCCATTTGTCAATTTTGTCTTTTGTTGTCATTGCTTTTGGTGTTTTAGACATGAAGTCCTTGCACATGCCTATGTCCTGAATGGTATTGACTACGTTTTCTTCTAGGGTTTTCATGGTTTTAGGTCTAACATTTAAGTCTTTAATCCATCTTGAATTAATTTTTGTATAAGGTGTGAGGAAGGGATCCAGTTTCAGCTTTCTACATCTGGCTAGCGAGTTTTCCCAGCAACATTTATTAAATAGGGTATCCTTTCCCCATTTCTTGTTTTTGTCAGGTTTGTCAAAGATCAGATGGTTGTAGACATGCGGCATTATTTCTGAGGGCTCTGTTCTGTTCCATTGGTCTATATCTCTGTTTTGGTATCAATACCATGCTGTTTTGGTTACTGTAGCCTTGTAGCATACTTTGAAGTCAGGTGGCGTGATGCCTCCAGCTTTGTTCTTTTGGCTTAGGATTGACTTGGCAATGCGGGCTCTTTTTTGGTTCCATATGAACTTTAAAGTAGTTTTTTCCTATTCTGTGAAGAAAGTCGTTGGTAGCTTGATGCGGATGGCATTGAATCTATAAATTACCTTCGACTGTATCACCATTTTCACGATATTGATTCTTCCTACCCAGGAGCATGGAATGGTTTTCTATTTGTTTGTATCCTCTTTTATTTCATTGAGCAGTGGTTTGTAGTTCTTGAAGAGGTCCTTCATATCCCTTGTAAGTTGGATTCCTAGGTATTTTATTCCCTTTGAAGCAATTGTGAATAGGAGTTCAATCATGATTTGGCTCTCTGTTTGTCTGTTATTGGTGTATAAGAATGCTTGTGATTTTTGCATATTGATTTTTTATCCTGAAACTTTGCTGAAGTTGCCTATCAGCTTAAGGAGATTTGGGGCTGAGACGATGGGGTTTTCTAGATATACAATCATGTCATCTGCAAACAGGGACAATTTGACTGCCTTTTTTCCTAATTGAATACCCTTTATTTCCTTCTCCTGCCTGATTGCCCTGGCCAGAACTTCCAACACTATGTTGAATAGGAGTGGTGAGAGAGGGCATCCCTCTCTTGTGCCTGTTTTCAAAGTGAATGCTTCCAGTTTTTGCCCATTCAGTATGATAATGGCTGTGGTTTTGTCATAGATAGCTCTTATTATTTTGAGATACGTCCCATCAATACCTAATTTATTCAGAGTTTTTAGCATGAAGCGTTGGATTTGTTGAACTTCTGTATTTTTTTTGTTTTTGTTTTTGTTTTTTTTGCCTCTCAGTTTCTTTTAGTTGTGCTCTGAGTTTGGATATTTCTTGTCTTCTGCTAGCTTTGGGATTAGTTTGCACTTGCTTCTCTAGTTCCTTTTAGTGTGAAGTTAGGTTTCTAATTTGTGATCTTTCTAAGTTTTTGATGTTGGCGCTTAGTGCTATAAATTTCCCTCTTCACACTGCTTTAGTTGAGTTGCAGAGATTCTGGTATGTTGAATCGTTGTTCTTGTCAGTTTCAAAGAATTTCTTGATTTCTGCTCTAATTTCATTTCTTATCCAAAAATCACTCAGGAGCAGATTGTTTAATTCCCATGTAATTGTATGCTTCTGAGTGATTTTCTTAGTATTAATTTCTATTTTTATTGTGCTGTACTCTGTGTGTGAGTGCCATATAATTTTTCTATTTTTGAATTTGCTGAAGGTTGTTTTATGGCTTATTATGTGGTCAATTTTAGAGTTTGTGCCATGTGCAGATGCAAAGAATGTAATTTCTGTTATGTTTGCATGTATAGTTCTGTAGATGTCTGTTAAGCCCATTTGGTCTAATGTTGATTTCTGGCCCCGAATATTTTTGTTGGATTTCTCCTCGATTATCTTTCTAATAATGTTAGTGAGGAGTTGAAGTCCCCCACTATTACTGTGTGATTATCTAAGTCTGTTTGTATGTCTATAATAACTTGCTTTATGAATATGGGTGCTCCTGTGTTGGGTGCATACATATTTAGGATAGTTAGGTTTTCTTGTTGAATTGAAATTTTTACCATTATGTAATGCCCTTCCTTGTCTTTTTTGATCATTGTTGGTTTAAAGTCTATTTTTCCTGAAATTAGAATAGCAACACCTGCCTTTTCCTGCTTTCTGCTTTCTGTTTACTTGGTAGATTTTTCTCTGTTCCTTTAATTTAAACCTATGCATGTCATTACATACAAGATGGGTCTTTTCTAAACAGTTGGATCTTGATTCTTTAACCAACTTGCACTCTGTGGCTTTTAATTTAAAGTATCTAGCCCATTTACATTCAAGGTTCATATTAATATGTGCAGGTTTGATTCTGTCATCATGTTGTTAGCTGGTTATTATGCAGACTTGTTTGTATGGTTGCTTAAGATGTGCACTGCAAAAACACATTTAGGTACATAGAACATTGTCAATATACCATAGACAATTACCTATGTACCTAAGTGTGATTTCTAGTGACCAGTAATGGCCTTTCCTTTCCATATTTAGCACTCCCTTCAGGACCTCTTGTAAGACGGGTCTGGTGGTAACAAATTATCTTAGCATTTGCTTATCTGAAAAGGATTTTATTTCTCTTTTGCTTATGAAGCTTAGCTTGGCTGGATATGAAATTCTTAGTTGAAATTTTTTTTCTTCAAGAATGCTGAATATAGGACCCCTGTCTCTTCTGGCTTTTCACATTTCTGCTAAAAGTTCTGCTGTTAGCCTGATGAAGCACCCTTTGTACATAACCTGCGCCTTCTTGCTAGCTGCATTTAACATTTTTCCTTTTATTTCTTCGTTGGAGAATCTGAGGACTATGTGTCTTCAGTGTTGCAGGAAGTCAGGGACCCTGATTGGAGAGACTGGCTGGAGCCATGGCAGAATAACATAAATTGTGAAGATTTCATCTTAAATGGACATTAATGAGTTCCCAAATAATACTTTTATAATTTCTTATGTCTATCTTTACTTTAGTCTCTTAATCCTGTTATCTTTGTAAGCTTAGGATGTACATCACCTCAAGACCATTGTGATAATTGTGTTAACTGTACAAATAAATTGATTGCAAAACGTGTGTTTGAACAATATGAAATCAGTGCACCTTGAAAAAGAACAGAATAACAGCGATTTTTAGGGAACAAGGGAAGACAACCATAAGCTCTGACTGACTTCGAGGTTGGGTAAAAAAGCCATATTTTTATTCTTTCAGAGAGCCTATAAACGTATGTGCAAGTAGGAAAAAATCACTAAATTATTTTCCTAGCAAGGAATATTAATATTAATATCCTGGGAAAGGAATGCATTCTTGGGGGAGGTCTATAAACGGCCACTCTGGGAATGTCTGTCTTATGCAGTTGAGATAAGGACTGAGATATGCCCTGGTCTCCTGCAGAACCCTCAGACTTACTAGGGTGGGGAAAAACTCCACCCTGGTAAATTTGTGGTCAGACCAGTTCTCTGCTCTTGAATCCTGTTTTCTGTTGTTTAAGATGTTTATCAAGACAATACATGCACCGCTGAACATAGACCCTTATCAGTGGCTCTGCTTTTGCCCAGCCCAGCTGTAAATTTCTTCTCTTTGTACTGTCTCTCTTTATTTCTCAGCCAGCCGACACTTATGGAAAATAGAAAGAACCTACATTGAAATATTGGGGGTGGGTTCCCCTAATATTGGGGATGCTAATACTGGTCTTGTATAGTATTTCATGGCAGTTATCTGCATTTCCTGAATTTCCATGTTGGCCTCTAGTGAGGTTGGGGAAGTTTTCATACATTATATCCCAAAATATGTTTTCCAAGTTGCTTGCTTTCTCTCTGTCTCTTTCTGGGATGTCAATGAGTCGTAGATTTGGTCTCTTTACATAATCCCAAACTTCTCAGAAGTTTTCTTCATTCTTATTTATTTTTACTTTTTTCTCTTTCTTTCTTTCTTTCTTTCTTTCTTTCTCTCTTCTTCTTTTTTTTTTTTTTGACAGAGTCTTGCTCTGTCACACAGGCTAGAGTGCAGTGGCACGATCTCAGCTCTCTGCAAGCTCCACCTCCCGGATTCAAGCAATTCACCTGCCTCAGCCTCCTGAGTAGCTGGGATTACAGGTGCACACTACAATGCCTGGCTAATCTTTGTATTTTCAGTAGAGACAGCATTTCACCATGTTGGTCAGGATGATCTCAAACTCCTGACCTTGTGTTCTGCCCACCTCAGCCTCCCAAAGTGCTGGGATTACAGGCTTGAACCACCAGGCTTGGCCTGTTTTTCTCTTTATTTTTGTCTGGCTGATTTATTTTGGAGAATCAGTCTTTGACCTCTGAGATTCTTTCCTCAACTTGGTTGAAATGAGATTTTCAGCTCTTTCAGATCAGTTTGGTTCTCTCTTATAATGGTCCTTTTGTCTTTTATCTCCATCTTTTTATTGAATTCCTTAGAATTTTTGGAATTTGTTTTGACTTTCTCCTGAAGTTTGATGATCTTCATTCGTATTCATGTTGTGAATTCTATCTCTGATATTTCAGCCATGCCATCCTTAAGAACTATTGCTGGGGAACTAGTGCTGTCATTTGCAGATAAGGCCAGCTTTTTGAGTTGCTGCAGTTCTTGCACTGGTTTTTCCTCATCTGTGTGGGCTGATGTTTTTTTAATCATTGCAGTTGGTATTCTTTTGGTGAATTTTTTTTTGCTTTTATAATCTTTGATATCCTTTGGATTTTGATCATGGTATAAGGTGGATTCGTTCAACAGGCTTTGATTTTAATTTGGTACTGGGTCTTGGAGGAAACCCTTCCTATTAGTGTCTTTCTATTAATGTCTCCATGCCCATTTTTCTTTTTTTGGATACTTTGGGCCACAGAGCTCCCTCAGGCAGTGGTTACAATTGGCAAACAGGCCATATATATTTGATGATTCAGCTCTAATCTGCTGTCTACATGCTTCCCAAAAGAACATGGGGTTGCACCTGCCTGCAGAATTTAGACAGAAGTGGTACACTTGGGTTGGATGCTCTAGTGCTTTGGGCCCATTGGGCTACCAGAGGCAGGGGTGAGTGGAGTTACCTGCCCTGCCTCCTGGGTGTTTTCATGACAATATAAATCTGCACTCCTCATCAAATTCAGGAAGAAGAGTGACCACTGGCCTGGAACCTCTAGCAGGAATGGCTTATCTTTTTATGATAGATGGGGGTGATAGGGGTCACCCACCCTACCATTTGGGTGCTTCTTGGGACAACAGTAGGCTGCACCTTCTGGCTGAGTTTACACAGAAATAGGACCACTGAGCCAGAAGCTTTAGCAGGCTTTGCCCACTTGGCTAGCGGTGATGAGGATCAGTTTCCTGGGACAACAGGAGGCTGTGCTTCGGGCTCAGTTGACACAGAACTGGAACCACTGGGCCAGAAGCTCTACCAGGCATTGCTCACCTGGCTACCAGTGTTGACAGTGGGTGGGGTCACCTGCCCTGCCATCCAGGTGTTTCCCTGGACAACAGGAGGCCGTGCTGTCTGCCTGAGTTCACATGGAGATGGGACCACCGGTCTGGAAGCTCTAGCAGGCATTGCTCACCTGGCTACCAGTGGCAGGGGTGGGTGGGGTCAACCACCCTGCCATCTAGGTATTTCCTGGGACAACAAGAGTCTCCACCGTCTGGCTGAGTTCACACAGAAGCAGGCCCACTGGGCTGGAAGCTCTAGTAGTTGTTGTTTGCCTGGCTACCTGGGGCAGGGATCAGTGGGGACTCCTGCTCTGCTGTCTGGGTGTTTCCTGGGAAAGCAGGAGGCTGAGCTCTCTGGCTGAGTTTACACAGAAGTGGGATTGCTGGGCTGGAAGCTGTAGCAGATATTGTCTTACTGGCTACCAGGGGCATGGGTAGGTGGGGTTTCCTGTCCTGACATCTAAGTGCTTCCCAGGAAAACAGGAGACTGTGACCACCAACTGAGTCTACACAGAAGTGGGTCCACTGGAATGGAAAATCTAGAAGGCATCATTGCCTTGTTATCAGTGGTGGGGGTGGATAATGTTGCCCACCCTGCCTTCTTGGTGTTTCCTGGTACAATATGAGGCTGAACCCTCTCGCTGAGTTCACAAAGAAGCTCAATCGCTGGGCTGGAAGCTCTAACAGGTGTTGCCCACTTAGCTACCAGTTGTGGCAATGGGGGGGGGGGTCACCTGCTTTGCTGTCCAAGTGCTTCCTGGTATCACAAGAGGCTGCATCTGCTGACTGAGTCCACACAGAAGTGAGACTGTTGGACTGGAAGCTCTAGCAGGTATTGCTGCCTGGCTAGCAGTGCTAAGGATGGGTGGGGTCACTCATCTTGCCATCAGGGTGTTTTCTGGGACAACAGGAGGCTGTGCCCTCCTGCTTAGTTCACACGGAAGTGGAAACACTGGGCTGTAACTTCTAGCAGGTGTTACTCACCTGACTACCAGTGATGCAGGTGGGTAGAGTTGCTTTTCCTGTTGTCTGTGTACTTCTCAGGACAACAGGAGGCTGTGACTGCCAGCTGAATTCAGGCAGAAGCTGGACCACTGGGCTGGAAGTTGGTGCTGAAGGCCTGACTGGCAGGGGTGGAGGGGTGGGTGGAGCAATCTTACTACTCCCAGTACTGTGATTGCAGCCTCTATTGGGACTATGGTGCTGGTACTGGTCTGCTCTGGGGCCCAAGACTTATAGAGATTCCCTTGCACTTGAAAGTTGCCTCTGCAAAACATCCAGGTGGCTCTCTGCCTCAGTCTAGAAATGCAGTGGGGAGTGTGCAGGGGTCCAGAGGGATTCTCCCATTCCTAGTCTTGTACTGGTCCCTCTGAAGAGTGTGACTCCTCTAGGGGACTCTCATTCACTCACCCTTTCCCATGCTGGAGAGGTTCTCCTGGCTCCGTGCTGAGCCCAGAGAGGCTGGAGACCAGCTTCACTCCTCTCTGCTCTCTTTGTCCTATTGCTGCCTTGATGGATTCTGATGTGGTTTCTCAGATGATTGGCTGGCAGGATCAGTGTTATTTAGCCATTTTGTTTCCTCTCTGTGAGAGTGGCATACATGAGCTGCTATAGTCTGCCATCTTGGCCTCTCCTCCTTGTATTATGTATTTCTTAAGAAGTTATTGTAGCTATCATATTTGACTGTTTTGACTTTTAACCTTTATACTAGAGATTTATCTGATGTACAGAGCACTCTAACAGTATTGGAGTATTCCAGATTTGACTATATATTTACCTTTATCAGTGAATGTTATAGTTTTGTGCTTTCATGTTAGTAATTAGCGTCCTTTGGTTTCCAGTTTAAGAACTTCCTGCTGCATTTCTTGTAAAGAAGGTCTAGTGGTGGTGAATTCTCTCAACTTTTGCTTGTCTGGGAAAGAATATTTCTCCTTTATTTTGGAATAACAGCTTTGCTGGGTATAGTATTTTTGGCTGTCAGTTTATCTTTCATGACTTTGAGTTTATCATTTTATTCTCTCTTGGCCTATAAGGATTTCTGCTGAGAAATTTGCTTAGAATCTAATAAGGATTTCCCTATATGTCGCTTGACACTTTCCTCTTGCTGCTTTTAAAATTCTGTCTTTAAGATGGTGAATAGGAACAGCTCTGGTCTGTAGCTTCCAGTGAGATGAACACAGAAGGTAGATGATTTCTGCATTTCTAACTGAAATACCTGGTTCATCTCACTGGGATTGGTTAGACAGTGGGTGCAGCCCATGGAGGGTGAGCAGAAGCAGGATGGGGTGTCACCTCACCTGGGAAGTGCAAGGGGTTGGGGAACTCCCACCCCTAGCCAAGGGAAGCCATGAGGGACTCTGCCATGAGGGACAGTGCTATCCAGCCCAGATACTACACTTTTCCCAGTTTTTGCAACCAGCAGACCAGGAGATTCCCTTGGGTGGCTACACCACCAGGGCACTGGTGGAGGGAGGGGCGTCTGCCATTACTGAAGCATGAGTAGGCAGTTTTCCTTTCACAGTGTAAACAAAGCCACCTGGAAGTTCAGACTGTGCAGAGCCCACTGCAGGGTGGCATAGTCACTGTAGCCAGACTGCCTCTCTAGATTCCTCCTCTCTGGGCAGGGCATCTCTGAAAGAAAAGCAGCAACCCGGTCAGGCACTTGTAGATAAAACTCCCATCTCCCTGGGACAGAGCACCTGAGGGAAGGGATGGCTGTGAGCGCAGCTTCCAGACTCAAGCATCCCTGCCTGCTGAATCTGAAAAGAGCAGTGGATCTCCCAGAACAGCACTTCAGCTCTGCTAAGGGATGTAGTGTCTCCTCAGGTGGGTCCCTGACTCCCATGCCTCCTGACTGGGAGACACCTCCCAGCAGGTGTGGACAGACACCTCATACAGAAGAGCTCCAGCTGGCATCTGGTGGGTGCCCCTGTGGGACAAATCTTCCAGAGGAAGAAGCAGGCAGGAATCTTTGCTGTTCTGCAGCATCTGCTGGTGATACCCAGGAAAACGGGGTCTGGAGTGGACCTCCAGCAAACTCCAGCTGACCTGCAGAAGAGAGGCCTGACTGTTGGAAGAAAAACTAACAAACAGAAAGCAATAATATCAACATCAACAATGAGTATGCCCACACAAAAACTCCATCCAAAGGTCACCAGCATCAAAGATCAAAGTGAGATAAATCCATGAAGATGAGAAAAAAAAAGCACAAAAATGTTGAAAATTCCAAAAACCAGAATGCCTCTTCTCCCCCTAAGGATCACAACTCCTCACCAGCAATGGAACAAAACTGGATGGAGAATGTGTTTGATGAATTGAAATAAGTAGGCTTCAGAAGGTGAGTAACAAAAAACTCCGAGCTAAAGAAGCATGTTCTAACCCGATACAAGGAAGCTAAGAACTTTGATAAAAGGTTACAGGAACTGGCAACTAGAATAAGCAGTTTAAAAAGAATATAAATGACCTGATGTGGCAAAAACAGAGCACAAGAACTTTGTGAAGCATACACAAGTATCAATAGCCAAATTGATCAAGCAGAAGAAAGAATATCAGATATTGAAGATCAACTTAATGAAATAAAGCATGAAGACAAGATTAGAGAAAAAAGAATGAAAAGGAACAAACAAAGCCTCCAAGAAATATGAGATTACATGAAAAGACCAAACCTATGATTGACTGGTGTACCTGAAAGTGACAGGGAGAATGGAACCAAGTTGGAAAACACAGTTCAAAATATTATCCAGGAGAACTTCCCCAACCTAGCAAGGCAGGCCAACATTCAAATTCAGGAAATAGAGAACACAACTAATATACTCCTCAAAAAGATCAACCCTAAGGCACATAATTGTCAGATTCATCAAAGTTGAAGTGAAGGAAAAAATGTTGAGGGAAGCCAGAGAAAAGTTCAGGTTACCCACAAAGGGAAGCCCATTGGACTAATAGTGAATGTCTCTGCTGAAACCCTACAAATCAGAAGTTAGTGGGGGCCAATATTCAACATTCTTAAAGAAAAGAATTTTCAACACAGAATTTCATATCCAGCCAAACTAAGCTTCATAAGTGAAGGAGAAATAAAATCGTTTACAGACAAGCAAATACTGAGGGATTTTGTCTCCACCAGGCCTGCCCTAAAAGAGCTCCTGAGGGAAACATTAAATATAAAAACAAACAAACAAACAAACCAAAAACCAGTACCAGCAACTGCAAAAAACACACCAAAATATAAAGACCAATGACACTATGAAACAACTGCATCAACTAATGTGCAAAATAATCAGCTAGCATCATGATGACAAGATCAAATTCACCCATAACAATATTAACTTTAAATGTAAATGGGCTAAATGCCCCAATTAAAGACAGAGACTGGTTAATTGGATAAAGAGTCAAGACCCATTGGTGTGCTGTATTCAGGAGACCCATCTCACGTGCAAAGACACACATAGGCTCAAAACAAAGGGATGGAGGAATATTTACCAAGCAAATAGAAAGAAAAAAAAGCAGGGGTTGCAATCCTAGTCTCTGATAAAACATACTTTAAACAAGCAAAGGTCAAAAAGGACAAAGAAGGGCATTACATAATGGTAAAGGGATCAATGTAACAAGAAGAGCTAACTATCCTAAATATATATGCACCCAATACAACAGCACCAAGATTCATAAAGCAAGTTCTTAGAAACCTACAAAGATACTTAAGACTCCCAGACAATAATAGTGGGAGAATTTAACACCTCACTGTTAATATTAGACAGATCAACGAGACAGAATTTTTTTTTTTTTTGAGATGCAGTCTTGCTCTGTCACCCATGTTGGAGTGCAGTGGTGCGATCTCAGCTCACTGCAACATTTGCCTCCTGGGTTCAAGTGATTCTCCTGCTTCAGCCTCCTGAGTAGCTTGGATTACAGGTGTGTACCACCACACCAGGCTAATTTTTGTATTTTCAGTAGAGACAAGGTTTCACCATGTTGGTCAGGCTGGCCTCGAACACCTGACCTCATGATCCACCAGCCTCAGCCTTCCAAAGTGCTGGGTTTACAGGCATGAGCCACTGCACCCAGCCTAGAAAATTAACAGCAATATTCAGGACTTGAACTCAGCTCTGGACCAAGTGGACCTAATAGACATCTACAACACTCTCCATCCCAAAGCAACAGAATATGCTTTCTTGTCAGCACCATGTAGCACTTATTCTAAAATTGACCACATAATTGGAAGTAAAACTCTCCCCAGCAAATGCAAAATAATGGAAATCAAAAGAGACAGTGTCTCAGACCACAGTGCAATCAAATTAGAACTCAGGATTAAGAAACTCCATCAAAACCACACAACACACACACCACACAACAATTAAGGCAGAAATAAATAAGTTCTTTGAAACCAATGAGAACAAAGACATAATGTACCAGAATCTCTGCAACATAGCTAAAGCAGTGTTTAGAGGGAAATTTAGGGCACTAAATGCCCACATGAGAAAGTGGGAAAGATCTAAAATCAACAACTTAATATCACAAAAGAACTAGAGAAGCAAGAGCAAACACATTCAAAAGCTGGCAGAGGACAAAATATAACTAAGATCAAAGTAAACTGAAAGTGCTAGAGTCACGAAAAACTATTCGAAACTTCAATGAATATTTGTTTTTTTTTGAAAAGATTAACAAAATACGTAGACTGCTAGCCAGACTAATAAAAAAGAAAAGAGAGAAGAATCAAATAGACAAAATAAAAAATGATAAAAATAAAAACTGATCCCATGTAAATAAAATCTTCTATCAGAGAATATTATAAACACCTCTACATAAATAAACTAGAAAATCTCAAAGAAATGGATAAATTCCTGGACACATACAACCTCCCAAGACTAATCCAGGAGGAATTCGAATCCCCGAATAGACCAATTACAAGTTCTGCAACTGAGGCAGTAATTGATAGCCTACCAACCAAAAACGCCCAGGACCAGATGGAGTCACAGACGAATTCTACCAGAGGTACAAAGAGGAGCTGGTACCATTCTTTCTGAAACTATTCCAAACAATAGAAAAAGAGAGACTCCTCCTTAACTCAATTTATGAGGCCAGCATTATCCTGATACTAAAACCTGGAAGAGACACAACAAAAAAAGAAAATTTCAGGCCAATACCGCCTGATGAACATCGAAGTGAATATCCTCAATAAAATACTGGCAAACCACATCTAGCA
Organism: Homo sapiens; assembly: GCF_000001405.40. Classification (NCBI taxonomy): domain Eukaryota; kingdom Metazoa; phylum Chordata; class Mammalia; order Primates; family Hominidae; genus Homo; species Homo sapiens. Next base: position 77,028,156 of record NC_000023.11, on the reverse strand, counting down.
GCATATCAAAAACGTATCCCCCAAGATCAAGTCAGCTTCATCCGTGGGATGCAAGGTTGGTTTAATATATGCAAATCAATAAACATAATCCATCATATACACAGAACCAATGACAAAAATCACTTGATTATCTCAATAGATGCAGAAAAAACCTTCCATAAAATTCAACACCCTTCATGCTAAAAACACTCAATAAACTAGGTATTGATGCACATATCTCAAAATAATAAGAGGTTCAGGATGTTGAAGCTGCAGTGAGCCATGGTTGCACCACTGTAATTCAGCTTGAGTGACAGAGGGGATCCTGTCTCAAAAAAAGGAAGAGGCAGAAAAAACTTCAGGGTTTTGAGCCTGGCAAATTGGTGATTCATCTACCAAAGATAATAAAGTAACTTGGGTGTTTTAGACCACATCTCCTCCTAGCATACAAACCGTCTTTTAAATGTGTCCAAGGCTAAAAAATGATGACATGATACAAATGATGTCTTTGAGCTGTGGAAATATATAGGATCCATAGGTGAAAATGATGAACCTATGAGAGAAATGAGTGTGCAAACCTAGATGAAACAAGGCAGCTTGATTACAGCAGAAAAGGATGGAGAGGATAATTAGGACACCTGGATTTGGACCACAAACTTGGTTTGTTACTGGGCAACTTTTTCTCTCTCTTTGTCCCAGTATTCTTATCTAAGAATGAGAATACTCATTTGGACAACTAATACTTGGTTGAGTAGATGCTCTGTGGCACACTGAGCTATGGAAAACGCTGTCAGGGGCTATTGAGGTAGAGATGCAGGGAGGAAAAGCAGCCAGGTCTATTGACTACTCCTCTGTTTTATCTAAATCAATCAGAAAACTACCTGGTATTTGGGTGTCTGCCAGTTCAGATCCTTTGTGACTCTGCTTGCCTGGCGACAGCACTGGGGAACTCTGCTCACCTTTCTTTATAGTCTATTGAAGAATTTTTGGTGGTTCCTTGAGTGATATGGGTGTCACAAGGATGAGTAAAAATTAAAGGGAGAGAGTTGTAGCCTGTGGCATTGGGAGTTTTCTCTTAGTGACAATACAGAGTGCGAATGATGACTCCTCAGGCTTGGAGGTTGGGTTGGAGGAACTTCTGCTGTGCTGATTATTGAACATTGGTCCTTTCCAATTGGGCCAATCTCAAATATTGCTAATATTTTCCACTTGTTTAGTCTTGGCTTGCAGGCTTAAATGTTGCAGAACTATCAGGCTTTAGTTAGCATGTCAGGGCTGCCCTATCTATCCATAGGAATAGAGCAACACATATGGGCTACCACATATAATGGTCTTTTGAGTTGACAGTCAATTCATCAGTGTGATTTTATCATGCCAGGCTGTCTTAAACTGTTACCAGTTCCTTTTCTCTAGTTGCTTGTGAAAAATAGGGGATAGGTAGGTCAAGAATCAGGAATAATAATTCCTTACCTCTGTATTCTACATTGTGTCTTACATAGTGTTCTTTAATCCAGGCTCTCAGCTGAGTTTCACAAGAATCCTGTGGAGTTTATAGGGCTTGGATTGTTACTCTCATGTGAGAGATAAAGACTCTATCTCTTTATCCTGTAACGTTTGTTTCAAGCTTCACCTCCTTTATGATAATTTCATCCACATACTTGATCCTGTCACTGCTCACCAACCACAGTACTTAAACTCTATATTCTGTGTGTAGCCACTTATTATTTTTTTATACTCTATTGTAGATATTTGTGTACCCTAAAAAAGCCATCATCATCTCTAACATAGCTCCGTAACTAGTTTCCTTGCTCCAACTCTTATTGCCCTCCCTACTACAGTCTATTTTGAAGACAGAAACTAGTTTGCTTCTTTGAGAAACAAGTCAGATGATGTCACTTCCTGTGAGCTAAACCTTGTAATAGTTCCCAATCTCACTCAGAATAAAATCTGAAGTCTTAACAGTGGCTTACAGGGCCTTTTCATGTTCTTTAGCCTGACTGGTATCTGTCTGACTTCCTCTCTTATTACTCCCCTTGCTAGCTCTGCTCCAACTACATTAGCCTCTTTGTTTTTTCTGGAATACATCTAGTACATTCTTTCTCAAGGCTTCTGTACTTTCTGTTCCTTCTGCTTAAATTATCTTTTCCCAATATCTACAGGGCTGGCTCTCTCACTTCTCTTATGTCTCTAATCAATGTAACTTTATAAAAGGTGTCTTTTTTTATTACTGTATGTAAGATAGTTAGATATACCTTAGCACTCCCTTTTCTTCTTGCTCTGTGATATGGTTTGGCTGTGTCTCCACCAAAATTTCATCATGGATTGTAGTTCCGATAATCCCCATGTATCAAGGGATTTACCTGGTTAGAAGTAATTGAATCATGAGGGCAGTTATCCCCATGCTGCTGTTCTCATGATAGTGAGTTCTCTAATATCTGACGGTTTTATAAGGGGCTTTCCCCCCTTTTGCTGGGCACTTCTCCTAGCTGCTGCCATGTGAAGAAGGACCTGTTTGCTTATCCTTTGACCATGATTGCAGGTTTCCTGAGGCCTCCCCAGCCATGCTGAACTATGAGTCAATTAAACATCTTTTCTGTGTCAATTACCCAGTCTCAGATATGTCTTTACTAGTAGCACGAGGATGGAATAATACATTAAATTGGCACCAGGAGTGGGGTGCTGCTGTAAAGATACCTGAAAATGTGAAAGTGACTTTGGAACTGAGTAGCAGGCAGAGATTGGAATAATTTGGAGGGCTCATAAGAAGATAGAAAAATGTGGGAAAGTTTGGAACTTCGTAGAGACTTGGGGGGCTCAGAAGACAGGAAGATGTGGGAAAGTTTGGAACTTCCTAGAGACTTAAATGGCTTTAACCAAAATGCTGATAGTGATATGGATAATAAGATACAGGCTGAGGTGGTTCAGATGGAGATGAGGAATTTGTTGGGAACTGGAGTAAAGATCACTCTTGCTATGCAAACAGATTGGTGGCATTTTCCCCCTGCCTCAGAGATCTGTGAAACTTGGAACTTGAGAGAGATGATTTAGGGTATCTGGCAGAAGAAATTTCTAAGTGGCAAAGCATTCAAGAGCAAGAAGAGAAGAAAAGTTTGGAAAATTTGCAGCCTGGTGATACAATAGAAAAGAAAAACCCATTTTCTGGGTAGAAATTCAAGCCAGTTGCAGAAATTTGCATAAGTAATGAGGAGCCAAATGTTAATCACCAAGACAATGGGGAAAATGTCTCCAGGGCATGTCAGAGACCTTCATGTCAGCTCCTCCCGTCACAGGCCCTGTGGCCTAGGAGGAAAAAATGGTTTAATGGGCCAGGCCCAGGACATCCCTGCTCTATACAGCCTTAGGACATGATGTTCTGCATACCAGCTGCTTCAGCTCCAGCTGTGGCTAAAAGGGGCCAATGTACAGCTCAGGCTGTTGCTTCAGAGGGTGCAAGCCACAAGCCTTGGTGGCTTACATGTGGTGTTGGGCCTGTGAGTGCACAGAAGTCAAGAATTGAGGTTTGGGAACCTCTGCCCCAGTTTCAGAGGATGTACAGAAATGCCTGGATCTCCAAGCAGAAGTTTGCTACAGGGTGAAGTCCTTATGGAGGACGTATGCTAGGGCAGTGCAGAAGGGAAATGTGGGATTGGAGACCCCACACAGAGTCCCCACTGGGGCACTGCCTAGTAGAGCTATGAGAAGAGGGCCACCATCCTCCAGACTCCAGAATGGTAAATCCACTGACAACTTGCATTGTGCATCCAGAAAGGCCAAAGACACTCAATGCCAGCCTGTGAAGGCAGCTAGGAGGGGGGATTTACTCTGCAAAGCCACAGGGGTGGTATGGCCCAAGGCTGTGGGAGCCCACCTCTCACATCAGCATGACCTGGATGTGAGACATGGATTCAAGGGAAATCATTTGAGAGCTTCAAGATTTGACTTCCCTGCTGGATTTTGGACTTGCATGAGGCCTTTATCTCCTTTGTTTTGGCCAATTTTATTCCATTTAGAATGGGCGTATTTGCCCAATGTTTGTACTCCCACTCTATCTAGGAAGTCACTAACTTGCTTTTGATTTTACATCTTTGATTTTAACTTGCTTTTGATCTCATCAGCCCTAGGCTCATAGGCAGAAGAGACTTGCCTTGTCTCAGGTGGGACTTTGGAGTCTGGCTTTTGAGTTAATGCCAGAATGAGTTAAGGCCTTGGGGGACTGTTGGGAAGGCATGATTGTGTTTTGAAATATGAGGACATGAGATTTGGGAGGGGCTGGGGTGGAATGATATAGTTTGGCTGTGTCCACACCCAAATGTCATCATGAATTGTAGTTCCCATAATTCCCATGTGTCGTGGGAGGGACCCAGTGGGAGGTAATTGAATCATGTGGCCATTATCCCCATGCTGCTGTTCTCATGATAGTGAGTGAGTTCTCATGAGATCTGATGGTTAAATAAAGGGCTTTTCCCCCTTTAGCTTGGTTCTTCTCCTTGCTGCCACCATGTGAAGGACATGTTTGCTTCCCCTTCCACTACAATTGTAAGTTTCCTGAAGCCTCCATAGCCATGCTGAACTGTGAGTCAATTAAACCTCTTTCCTTTATAAATTACCCAGTCTCAAGCATGTCTTTATTAGCAATGTGAGAACGGACTAATTCACTCTGCTTTTTTTGTTTTCCATTGCATTCACTGACATATTATGATTTTGCTTGTTTATTTGATTATAGTCTACCTTTCCTTACTAGAACATAAGCACTTGAGAATAAGGACTTTGTTTTGTTCAAGGTTACATTTTGAGTCTCCAGAACAGTGTTTGACATATAGTAGACATTCAGAAATTCTGTTGGAAAAATAAACAACTCCATAAAATACTTGAGGACAAGCACTGTTCAATGTCCCCTATTCATGTTCCTCATGCTAAACACACTTGCCTTAATCAAACAATGGAACTTAAAACAGAAAGACCCCTTAGAGACCTTGGAGTCTGCCTTCCTCAGTTAATAGATAGTAAAGCTGGATGGAAGCGTATTGCCCAGGGTCATACAGAAAGTTGTTGGCAGAGTCAGAATAAGAATCCAAATCATCTAACTCTAGCTCCACAACTTTTTCTATGCCATGCTAGACTCACAAATTAGTCTTATTTCCCAACTACAGGGCACAGGTAAGGCATTGTTAATCTGGAGAAGTAAGCGCTGGGAAAATTAATGTGGAGGTGGGAGGTTTTTGCTTTCCCACAAACAAGAGTTTCTCTGAACATTTTCTCTGGTTTTGGAGTGCAATAACAACTGTAATAAATATCACACAAACACTTGACCTCTTAAATCATAAAAAACATCATCACTCAATAAATCAATTAACAAGTCTTTTTAAGTACCTAACATGTGCCTAAACCTGTGCTACTTGCCTAGGAAGCTCTGAAGATGTTCAGCCCTGTTTCTTGGTCTGTAGGAGCAATCTAACAATGGAGGTAAGGCTCACCAGCCTGAAACAAGCATATACCAAATTGTGAGATACAGACAATAAACACTGTTGAGAAGAGTGGGAAACCATAAGAGGCTGACAAAGAAGTACCAGAAGACATTATGTGGGAAAGGAGACATCTTTGCACCTATTTCACAGGGTATTCCTGTCAGTGCTTTTTGTCTTCTTTCATTCAGAAGTGTTCATTTGCATCCATGGACCTGACCCTATCTCCATGTTTCTCTAGGGAAGGGTGATGCATTTGATGCAGTTACCAGGTCTCTTCCTTTCTCTTCCCCACACCCCACAATGAGATCTACGCTCAGTTCAATACATGTTTACTGAGCACCCCGTGGATACTAGGAACTGAGCAAGGGGCTTGGAATTTAAAGAAAACAAGATGAATAAGGTATGGTCATTTATTTCGAGTAGGTCAGAGTCTAATAGGACAGATATACACAGAGGTTTACAACATAATTTAGTATTTTTAGGAAAATTAGTTTATTTATATTCATCTTTATTTAAAAATGGATTTAAAGTGTCAAATACAGCAAGTTCTGCTTATGAGAAAAAATTGTTATCAGAACCCAGATGAGAGATGGAATGATGCAGAGAGTCAACGAAAACTTCTCAGACTAGGTGATATTTAAATTGAACTTAGATGATAATTAGAAATTTTCTAGAAACTCAGGAGTTGAGGGTGTGGGCAGAGGGAGGCATTCTAGATGAATGAAACAGTACACAAAGGTGGGAATTGCCTACCTGCCTGGGAAATTGCTAGTTGTTCTGTGCCTGAAGCCGGAATAAAAAATGCCTGCATGATCACCACTATAAGTTCCTCCCATGCCCATCAGAAATTGCTAATCAGGCATAATCTTTCTTCCCAATAAGCCTGGATATGACTTAGAATCATTCAAAACAGAGAACCGCAAATGGCTATTTGTAGTCAATTTGAATTGATCCATAAGATGAAACATATTTACCATCCTTGGCTGATCTGTAATGCCTTTAAAGTTACAGATTTTCAGGAAATAGAATCTGGTTGAGAATCTATGTCTTTAACAAACTATCCCCACCCCCTTGACCATGATTCTGATGTAGTGAGTTCATGGGCCTGTATTTTGTAGCTACTATGGTGTATCATGTTGCTGAATTTAGATTTTTCTCCTATGACCAGAAATGTTAAATCAGGGTAGGGTAAGTATTTTAGAAAGCTGTACTTGGCAATAACGTGGAGTATAGGCTGGAGGAATGAAAGACCGGTGGCAGAGAAACTGCTTAGTATGTAACTATAATGTTTCAGGCAAGAGATGACAGGTACCTAGGAGGAGAAGATAAATTGGAGAGACATTAACTGAGAGAGATGATAGAAAAGTAGTAATTGCCAGAAGCCAAGTGCTTTCAGAAGAACATGAAAGAAGGAGAAACAATTTGTAGGTGAAAGAAGGAATTTGGTATATAAGGAAAAATTTATAAAGGTAGAATTTGAGCCAGGCCTTGAAAGATAGTTAGCACTTGACATTAGGAAAAGTGTAGAAGGCCATTTAAGACCTCTGTACCAGCAAGAGGAATGATCTAAAGGTAGAAAAGTCATAAGGCATGTATGAAGAGCAATGAGTAGTTCGATTTGGCAGGCTTGGTTTGGCATTCAAAGGTGACATTTTTGCTATCATCATCTCTGTTCCTAGATGACTTCTTTCACTATCCAGCTTGCAGGTGCTCAGGAAACATAAATTGGTGTTAATATTAACTAAAGTGTGGCTCTCATCTGCAAGAACACCGTTCTAGAGTTGATTCTAAGAGGCTTTTGGTTTCTGTGCAGTTCTGGGTTGTTCCTACTGCCATTTGCCCACCTTGAACACTGCTGAAGGAGGTGGACTAAGGAAGGATAAAAGTTGTTTATTATTTAATGGAGGAAGCAGAATAGGTTTATTGCCACAAAAAAACTCCACAGGGAACATCCAGTATGTGAAATGGCAATCTCTGCAAAGCTCTGAAGGAATCCCCACTTATCCCTAGGCAAAAATAATTATGGAAAAAAACCCTCCTTCAATTAAGTTATGTTATAAATACACTTTTTCACAAGACATTACATTCACAAAGTACATTTATAATTGTCTTTATTGTGAGGGTGAAGAAACTAAGGTTCAAAGAGCTTACAGGCTTTGAGAAAGGACAATTGGCAAGTAATTCACTAAGATAGGCTCAAATCAACGTATTCTACCACCATCTCCAAATCCCACATGTTTCTATGGCAGGAGGAGGTATCAAGTACCAATTGGCATCAAATCTACCTCACTATTTTAAGGGAGACTTGACAATAATTAATTTCAAGAAACACTTTCTGAGCATTTATTCTGTTTTCGGTATATGGTAGGCCCACAGAATGCAGAGACTGAGACAACAAAATTCTTGTCCTCAAGGGCTCACAGTCTAGCGGGCAACACAGACACATATAGAAATAATCACAAGCCAATATGAGAAATGCTAATAGAAGAATGTGCTAAGTACTGTGAAAGTTCAGAAGAAGAGGAAATTATTGTACAGAAAGAAACTTGCTTTGAAGAAGGCCAAAGCCCTCTGTTAACACAATTAAATTCCTGTGATAGAATTGTAGGCTTGCAGATGGGACACAAAGGAGAGAATGGAATGGGTATGTTTTTGGGGCCTTCCTTAAAATACCATTGTACTACTCTGATTGGTTGCCAGCTTTGTGGTGGCCATGATTGTACTGCTACTCTCTGTCTGGGCTGGGTTCAGTGGGGCCCATGGTTTGTCTCAGCAACCTCTGCATTGATTTCTGCCAGGTCTGGTACAGGGTGTTGGATGCTGGAACAGCAGACTGGGTATTGCCATTTGTAGTTGTTCTGCCCATGCCTAGGGCTAAAATGGGACAAGTCTCTGGGCTGTCAGAATTTATAGTAAGAATGGGACCTATCTAGCATCATTCTGCCTGCCAGAGGAAAGAGAACTGAACTAACGTTGATTGAATGCTTAATGTTTCATTTTAGTTCAGAGCAACACACACTTATGGATGGTCTCCTGTGTGTTAGGCATTTTATAAGGCACCACAGTTTTACCTTATAGTGGGAAAAACATTAGGTAAAGAAGTATCTGTAAATAAATAACCCACAGTGATATACCATACAGTAAAGTTATATATAATGAGCTATGATACCCAAATAATGGAGCAATAAATTGTGTTTGGGGTTTAGAACATGCTTCAGTGGGGAATCAGCATTGGAACAGGGCTCTTATGGCTGAGTATACCAAGCATGGTGCTAGGTGCTTTAGGAAAGTAGCTTATTCAGGTTGCTTTGGTTGCAAATTACAGAAAACTCAAACTGATCAGAACAAAACAGAGGAATATTGGCTCATGTAACAGAAAAGTCCAGCGGTTGGACAGGTTTCAAGTATGGTTCAGTCATGACTCTGGCACCTTTCCTCTGTGATTCTCTTGATTCTGCCCTGCTTTGTATGTTGTCCTTGTTCTCAGGCTGAATTCCCTCAGGGTAATAAGAGAGAAACCAGTGGCAATTGGGGCTGATACTTTCTCTTTTATATTCAGTGAGATAAAAGACACTGCTTATCACACCAGAAAATAAAAGTGAACCTTGGGGATACAGAAAAACTAAAATTTAGAGTAAAATTATACTAACCATGGGGGATCTCCCAGGAATTAGTTCAAAAGCAGTTGAACGGTTGAAATAGCTTGGTGGGAATCCCAATTTCAGCTTCTGTTTCATATTTATTTAATTCTTAGTTTTAAATGGCATCCCTTTTATATACATTTTATAGTATATGTATTGATTAAGAGACAAATAAATTTTGGATTTCTAGACTAGTAATACTATTTCCGTAACACAAACATCACTTGTCCTATCAAGGCATTCTTTACAGCCTGCATATTCAATGAGCATGGTGTGCAAAGCTAATTATGGGAAAGCAGTATTATGAATGTTTTAGGAGTACAGTCCCTGGAGTCTACCATATCTATGTTTTCATCTCTGCTTTGCCATCATTTAGATGTGTACATTGGACAAATTACTTTATCTTTTGGAGCTTTAGTTTCTTTATCTACAAAATGCAAACAATATTAAGACCTACCTCATAATGTTGGAGAATTACATGAGTAATCCATGTAATCCATATAGCAAATATTCCCAAAGTTTCTTGGTTCACTGTGCCCTTAGTGTTTTCGTATTTTTTTCACAGCATCCCTAAGCCAAAAGAAATATAGAAATATACAACAGCTCTGTTTATTGAGTAATTAGGTGGAAAAAGCTTAATAGTAGTAGTTCACAGGCATCCAACAGATGTTAATATGTTTCCCTCAAAAATTTAAAATATCTTGCAGTACCTCTGCAAATTGCTTATGGCACGCTGGGGTGCCTTGGTGACAAGTTTGGGAATAGAACATTGCCAGGCATGTAGGTGGGGTTAATTATGGGGTATTTATTACTATTATTGTGAAATGTCTATGATTATTATTAGAGGGGACCTGTGTACTGAAGAGATAGCTTATAGTTTGAATCAGATGTTGACTATCTCTGATGAAGGATGTCTTTCTGTTTGATAGTAATCCTTTCTAGTCCCAGGTATCTTCTAAGTCAGTAACAACTCGTCCCAGTTTGGGAGAGGGGAATATTTTCTATGGATACAGACAAGACAATTTCATTCCCAAGGCAGTACCATTTTCTAGCTTTGCCACCATCAAAATTTTCCCACCTTCCTAATTGCACTCATTAGCCTAAAGTTGCTCTTTCAGAAGAAACTTCGGTATGTTCAATAAAAAATTCTTCCCTTTGTCTCTGCCTGGCCTTTCCCACTGTGCTTTTCTTTACCCATCCTTCTCTTCCTCTCTCCATGTTCCTCTCAGTCAGTTTCTGAAACCTGGCCCCTGACCTCTCATGATGAAGGGAGGCTGGCTACTTAATTCAAGAAGAATAATTCATTGGACTCTGTTTTGAGTCTTACCTTGGCCTGTGAACCAGCAAGAACAGTGGGTACTGATAGTTCATTCCTGCACACCTCCTTCCTTTCTCCTAAGGAAACAGAGAGAAGCAATTTCAACAGTGACTCCAGAAGGTGGCCTGTTGTCTTTGGCACCCTTGAGAGGCTGAGGGGATTGGAGGTGGGGGATGTGCTGAATCTCTAACTCTTAGCAATTGAGGCCAAAAGATCTTTGACTTTTTCCTAGAGGCTAGAGGTGACTTCAGTTCTTTTTGGTTGTTTAGACTCACCAAAGGGAAATCTGATGTCTGAGGAATGAGAAGGAATAAAATAGCAAACCTGTCCATGCACTGTTGACTCTGGGCCTCCTTGGTGCTGCCCGGCAAAGGTTGGGAGCAGCTGGCTGGCTTTCAGCTCTGGCCGGCGACATTTGCTTTGGCCATTGTGGGGAAAGAGCACTTTGTGGAAAGCCAGCCTTCCCAGCCAAGGGCCTATTTTCATCCTGAGTCTGTTGAGTCCAGCCTGAAGGCTGGGTCCAACATCAACAGAGGCCATGGAAAATGGGACTGGATACCTGGCAATCAGAACTGTGGGCTTTGTCTTTCTGACCATGACATTCATCCCTGAGCCTATGAAAGCAGGAATGATGGGGAGCCAGAGACTTTGTGGCATTAGGGCCAGAAAGAGCTATATGCTCTTTGTGTAGTCATTGTAGCCCAGGCCTGGCTGGGATACATCACTAGACCTCACCTCTTCACAGCCTACTTAGTTGAGAAAGGTGAGTGTGTAACGAGAGCAGACACAGCTCCCAAAGTGCCTGAGGTTCCCTAAGTGGGGCCTCCCTACACTGAGAGACCACTAAATCATTGGATCAATATCCTTCCCAACTAGCCAGATCCCATGGGAACACGGAAAAGTCTCAGTTATAATTCTTTTCCTCTGGGGTCTCAAGGTTTTTCTGGGGAAACAGGCCATTTTCACAAAGAGATACTTTCAATATTAGTAAGGGTATAAGTTAGGACCATGTGAGTGGTACAAAGAAGTCCTGAAGGAGTTCAGAGGAGGGCAAGAACCCTGCGGGAGGTATGGTTGAATTGGGTCCTGAAAATGAGTAGGAATCAGAGAAAGATGTGACAAGATGTTCTTATCACATCTCTTATGCCTTCTAAAGCAGAAATCCTTTGAAATTGACCCAATATACATCTTTCATTTACTGTAGGAGCCTGACCTCCAACCAGATTGCGTTCAGACTAGGGTAGCTGTATTGAGATGGTTTTGAACCTGAGTGACCAGAATGACCTGAACTTCTCAAACCAGTGCAACTTGTGTAGAACCAAGATAGAACTAGAATGATATCTAGAAGCATGAATCATCCTCATCAGGTCCTGCTTTTACCCTGTCAATCGACCCTATCACAACCTGAAACTCAATAGTGGCTCTTCTCTTGCTTTCAGGATGGCCAAGAAAATGTATTTTGTGCTCAAGGTCTTTAACAGTCTGACCCAAACCTTCACTTCCAGCTGTTCTTTATTCTTAGAGACTCCCTCTCTCCACACAAGCTAAATCTCTTCCTTATCCCTTGGAGACCATGGGAAATGACTTGAAGTTATTCAAGGTCTTGGAGGACCTTGGCACACATCTCCTTCCTCCCTTTGAGGATTTGGGATTCTCTGTGAGGTCTCTTAACTCTCTGTCATATATCTACTATCCCCATTACATTCTTACTTAAGCAGAGTCCTGTTGAAAACTGCTATTTTGTTGCTTTAGATCTGTGGTCAGCAAACTTACTCTGGAAAGGGCCACATAGTAAAATACTTTGGGCTTTGAGAGCCATAATGTCTACTACCACTCAACTACTACTACTAAACTCTGCTGTGGTAGCAAGAAAGCAGCCATAGATAATATGTAAATGAATGAGCATGGCTGTATTCCAACAAAACTTTATTCATGGACTGAAATTTCAATTTCATAAAATTTTTTATGTCACAAAATGTTATTCTTTTTTTATTTTTTCAACTATTTAAAAATGTAAAAACCATTCTTAGCTCATGTTCTCTACAAAAATAGGCAGTGAGTTGGGTATGGCCTGTAAGCCCTAGTTTGCCAACCCCTGCTCTAGAAGACAGGATTCAGACTTCTGGGTGAAATCCATAGGGAAGAAATTTGGGGCTCACAATTTTTAAAAATGACTAGAGTTATAGGAAAATGGAATAGGTTGTCCAGGAACTACTACTTTTTTCCAACTACTACTTTTTCACGTAAAGTATTCAAGCACCACTGGTTAGGGATGTCATAGGAGGACTCAGAAGTCTTATGTAGAACTGGGCTTGATGTTTTCTAAGTTTATAGGACTGTACTTTTGTCAAAGTGTTGCTTCTTCCACATAGCCATCATTCGCCAATTACTTTACTGTCTCCCTTTTATTTTCGAAGGTCTGTGAATTTGTCTTCCACTTCTCCCCACCTAGCATTTGATGTCATCATCTCACTTTGTTCCCCACTTTTTTCATTTATGTACATCTTATTTCCCTTCCAGTAACCCAGGGGTTAATGTCAAAAGGGCAAGGTTCATCCAGCAGCTGCCGCACTGTTGCCTAGCAACCATTAGGGGCAGCTGAGAATTACTGCACAAGCCTTTGTGGGAACATGGTCTGACCCAACCATCAGAGGGGAGAGTAAAGAACAAATGATAATAATAATATATATAAACACGCTTTATTAAATATAAAAGCAGGATTTGATTCTGTCTTACAGAACACCATATTCTTGTTTACTTCTCCTATAAAGAATTTATGTTTGCTTTAAGAAATTTCAGCTTCTTTTTGCTCCCCTCTCTTTCACAGTGGTTTAGTCCTGCTACTTAGAACAGCATCCCTTAGTCATCAATCCTCCACAGGGGTCTGACTCTGTCTTACACACTACTAGACCCTTTACGATCTCACTCTTCCTCTTCTTTTCCTTCCCTCTCCCAGAGTGGTTTGATGGCTCCTTATCGACAAGCATCCCCATTCAGCTCCATATGCATCTCAGTGGTTTGATCCTGTCTGGCGAGCATCAGCATCTTTCCTCCTCCTGTCTCACACCAGTGATTTGATCCTGCGTTATTGAGCATCAGTTTATTTTAGTCCTTCCCCCGGGGTCCACAGTAGTTTGATCCTACCTCTCGGACTATTAGGTCCTTTCTTATCCCCCCTCCAGCACCACCACCACAAATGGTATGATCCTTAGCATCAGGTCCTTTTTGTCCCCTCCTTGCTGGTCTTCTAAGCAGATTGAAGCAGCTTCATCTCATTCCTGGTTCATCCTGATTCCCTCAGTGGCTTGCTCCTGCATTAGTAATGTAAAACTGGCCCAAAAGGGTTTAAAATTGTCAGAAGTTGATCTTGATCAGTTCAAATATTTTTTGACAAAGAAAATCAGTTCTGGTCAGTTCAAATCTATTTTGACCAGTTTAAACCAATTCTGCAGAACTCGAGCCTGTGGTCGGTAAACCCAGGAAGATGGCTGAAGACTATGCTGATTCAAGCCAAAGCAAGGAATCAGGTACTTAACAGAAGTTGATACTCAGCTGAGAACCAGGATAGAAAACAGATCAAATAAGAAGACAGGAAAATACAGGGGCCAGGGTTTGTTGAGGGGAGATTCAAAAGAGGCTAGTTGCTAGTTGCACCCAAAGTTGGGCTTTTTTTTTTTTTGTGTGAGATATGAGAGGCCATTTTGAGGAGGTAATGCAGAGTTTTGGGCTCTGCCTTGGTTTGTCTGGGAAGCAGTATGTGACCTCACAGCATCCAGTAATTTCATCTGGCTGGAGCTGAGACTAGGTTGTATGTGGCCCCAGTGATTCCTGGCTCTGCATGCCAGCTCCTGAAGGCATTCTTTGTGTCTGGTCTCACTTCAGGCCAAAGTTAACGGAATACCAAACCGTGAATGAAAACTTTTCCATCTTTTTAACTGTAGACGGTCATAATGCTGTGTAGCTGTTTAGGGATGCTATTTAGGGTAGAAGGAGGGATTGGTAAATCTTGAAGAAAAGAGCTAATTATAATAGGTAAGGCAGGAAGTGAATGAGTCAGCTAATTAGAATTGAGTTGAGGAGTATACCTTGCGATGTTTTAGAGAGCTGTGTAAGAGAAAATGGTAGGCTTAGAACAGTATCTAATCTCTCATGTGCAAGACTGGCTACCTAGTTCCTTGTCGTTTGTGGGCTGAGGTAGAAATTGGCCTGCGTTATCTGGATTTCTCCCATGTGGTTGCCTTTCTGTCCTTTGTTGGGACTGCAATGTGAAGGGTAGGGGCTGACAAACATGGAGAATGAAGAATGAATTTTCATAGATTGCAGCATTTCTAATTTGTGCACAATCTCTGCAGTGAGACACTGGGCCAGATGCTTTGATAACGACTGACATAATGCTGCAAGATTGAAGGTGGGGTTGGAGCTCTGTTTGGTGCAATATATGTCAGCATCTTTTCTGCAGATGGATGAGGCTCTATGGCTGTATACCTGAAAGGTTAAAAAGAAAGGTTCTTCAGCATGGCATAGAAACTTGGTTGCCTGGAAAGGAAACTTACTCTTTTGTGAGATAACTTGGCTTAGGAACTTGTGAGTTGAAAGATGTCTTTTAGGAAGATGGCTTCAGTTAGCCACTGCCTGTTTCTTGACAGGGAGGATGTCAGGCATTTTAATCAAGGCAGTTGAATGGCACTTCGAAATGCTGAGGTAGAAAACAGAGCAGATGATTTGGAGTCAGAGTAGAGAGACTTTGACTCCTAGTTCTACTATTTGATATGTGGACTTTGAGCAAATTAACCTCACAGAGACTTGCTTTCCTTACCTGTAAAATAAAGTTAATATTATCTGTCCTAAAAGATAAGAAGCCTAGCGTTTCATGCCTTGTGGTGCAAAATAGCTGTTATTTAACTTTTTTTGATCAAACTAGATTGTGTGACAGAGATAATTATTGTATACGTGTGGAGGAATAATACATAATTAAGTTTGATGAAGATAATTAATTTTTAATTTTCCAGCAGTGTTTCCCTCAAATGAAGCTACTTAACTGTTCTGATAAACAAAGGAGAAAGTGCTCATTGAAGTATTTATTACTATTATTATTATTTTTTAATTTTATTATTATTATAACACCGCATGTTCTCACTCATAGGTGGGAATTGAACAATGAGAACACATGGACACAGGAAGGGGAACATCACACACTGGGGATCATTGAAGTATTTTATAAACCACAAAGCACAATATAGATGTGGGAAATTTTTGTTTTTATAATAATATGTCGATTACTATTAACGTGTCACTTAGAAAAGCCATAGCATACAATGTTTTCCAATGTTACAGACTTATAGATTTCTCTGGTTCCAGATTCAGTTCTTGTCCTACTTCAGCTTCCACTTTTGGCCACCAGAAGTCCTGAGATATGACATGCAAACCACAGTGACCCAAGGTGGGGGTTGGGAGATAGGGATATCATGATATGAGTGTGAACAGAGAGCTATGGGTATGAACAGGGTGGAGTATCACAATCTGTCCTGCAGCCATAGACATCTTGGAATTATCTTATTGCAAGGCAAATCTGGATTACCTTACCTGGATTCTGTCACCATTACTGAAAACAGCAGGATCAGGTAACGTTGCAACAGGAAGGGAAATGATGTGGGCCTTCAAAAATGTGGAGGTCTTGATTCTGCCATTCATAGTTGGGGCGGTAGGGGGTGAATGGGAGTCAGACAATACAGTAGAGCCTCAGCTTGAAAAAATTAAATTTTAATATATTTGTGGCTATAACAGCCCCTCAGGGGCTGTGTCCTGTACTCAGATTTGTGGGCTGGGAAACGTGGCCTTTTTGGATATGGTCTTTTAACGAATAGTTGCAGGTAGGTAATGACTATAGTTTACTTACGTTGCAGAAAGGAACATGACAAAAATGTTTATTTTTGTGACACCCTGGTGAACAAGATGGAGGAAACATAAGCTAGAACATTATTCCTTTAGTTGGAGTCTGAAAGGTTTTTTTTAAGTACTACTTATATTGAGCACTTATTACATACCAGGCATTGTGCTAAGTACTTTATATGTATTAGTCATTTAGTCCTCATAACAGCCCTAGGAGTTGTATATTATTAGCTCCAACACACAGATGAAGAAACCATTTACAAAAGTTGCTAATTATTTATTCTATGTTTCCCTGGGGTAGGAATTCTTAAAAAGGGCAAGAGATGAGGGCACATTCTCTGAGAGATTTATCAGAGTCACTTGGATAAAGGTTTCTCCAAGCCACACAGGCTTTTCCCCTAATTTTAGTTTTCCTCTAAGGAGTCCTGCCCCTCCTTGGGTATTGCTGGTGTTTTGTGAGCTATTGTGATTAATGTAAATCGATGGTGGAAAGGTCTATCAGGTATACTGAGGTAGGAGAAAATTGTGCTTCACTGTTGCAAAGAGAAGTCCTTGGTGGTGAGCTGTAGGGCTCTGTACCTGACTTTGTCTTGGTTTCAACATTTTAATTAATGGCTTGGATGGAGATGCAAGAACAGTATACTCATTGAGTGTTAAGAGAGAACTGTAAAAGGGAGGGTAAATATATACGATGGGTGATAGAACCAGGAATCCAAGAATGTACTAAATTGCAAAGATGGTCCAAAAATAACAAAATAAATTTGATAAGAAAAAATGTGGTATCTTGCACCAGTTTCATAAAACAAATTAAAAATTAAAAAAATAGCAACTCTACAGGATGGGTCTATGTTTAATATGGCTGCCGAAAAAGTTAACGGAAATTGAGGCTGCATTAATAGTAGTATAGTATCTAGAATGCAGGAGGTGATTATTTCCTTTGTTGCTGAGTTTGTAGAACCATACCTCAAGTATTTTGCTCAGATATGGCAGTTATCTTTTAAAAAGGAACACAGACAAAATAGAGATTAAGAAGAGAAGCCTTGAGGGTGGAGTGGGGGCAGGGTTACTGTCTTCCAGTTTCTACAGGGTTGTCATGAGAAAGAGAATTTTATTTGTAAAGTTTGACTCCAAGAGACAGAATTAAGATTATTGGGTGGAAGTTACAACAGAGCTGATTGAAGATGAAATGGGCTGTGTTAAAAGGGACTGAGTTCCCTGTCACAGGAAGCATTTAAGCAGATGCTTGCTGACTACATGTTATGACTTTAAGTTTGCTATAAGAACTCAAATGCAGCCTGAATTGCTACAGTTAAGTAAATTAAGAATCACCATGAGTGGCATTTCTTCAGATTTTTTTTTTTTTTTGATCTTGCTCCATTGTCCAGGCTGGAGTGCAGTGGTGGCGTAATTATAGCTCAGTGCAGCCTTGAACTCCTGGGCTCGAGCTATCATCCTGCCTCAGCCTCCTGAGTAGCTGGGACTACAGGCACATGCCACCACACCTGGCTAAATGTTCTTTGGTTGATACGGGGGGCGATGATCAAAAAATGTATAGATTAGACCTTGATAATAACTAGTGAATCCAAGGAAACACTGGCATGGTCCATTGAAGGATGACAATGAAGGAAGAAAACATTTATTAAGTACCTAGTATATGCCTGGTGCTCTTCCACACATTATTTCTTAATTTTTGCAATAATCAGGTGAATTACGTTTTATTAATCTCTCTTTTGCAGATGAGAAAACTAAGGGTCAGAGAGATTAAGTGACATGTCCAAGGTCATGCAGCTAGTAAGTGACTTTGTGGGGCACATATCAGAACCCTCTGTGGGGAAATATGTCATAGAATTTTCACTTTTACCTGATTACTTCTCCAGTTGAATAAAGAGCTGGTATTGCCAGAGGTGAGTCAGGGCTGTGTGGACAAGTGCGTCATGCTGGGCTGGGTGCCTGGAGTAGATGAGAATATCATGAAGATATATGATCAGCCTTTAGTCCAGCGGGTCCTGGAGAATGGTGTTGGAATGCAGCTGAGCTATTACACAGGCTGAATGGCATGAGCATTTATTCATAATGTCTGTACCTTATACAGAACTCTGTCTTCCATAGACTCTCATAATGGCACAGCTGTAAGAGAATGTAGAGATCTTTTTTAAATATCAGGGAAAATGTGATCCAAAGAGTGGAAGGGACTTCTCCAGCTTCTTCCACTTCATAATTTTGCCCCTGATTTTCCAGGGATTTATTTTTTAAAAAGTAATCCAGAAAATTTAGAATTCAAGCTTCTTAGAGCAGGAAGGATCAATTCCCCAGTGAAACTTGTTACTCTGTTTCAGAGCTACAAGATATATATGTAATGTTCTGGGTTTTTTTTCTCCCTAATATTATAAAAGGCAGTATAACAAAAATGGAAAGAACATAAGCTTCAGAGTCAGACAGATTTGGTTTAATTTCTTTACTGGGACCCAGGGGAAATTCTTCAACTTCGTTGAGCCTCAGATTCTTCATTTGTGAAAATAGGAAGAATAGTTTTATTTCAGTCAAGTAGAGTTTGAGGTTCCTGTGGAAAATCCACTTGGAGAGATCTAGGGAAGGCTGAAACTCCAGAGAATGATCCCATCTGGATACATAGATTTGAGAATCAATAGCCAAGGAGGAATTATATAAAACCATGAGCATAAATTACATAATAGTTGTACATATTTATGGGGTACATGTGATGTTTTTATACAAGCATATGATATATAATGATCAAATCAGGGTAATTAGGGAATCCATATCCTCAATAATTTATTATTTATTTGTGTTAGGAACATTCCAATTTCACTGTTTTAGTTATTTTGAAATATACAATAAATTATTGTTAACCATAGGCACCCTATTGTGCTACTGAACACTAGCTCTTATTCCTTCTATCTAACTATATCTTTGTATCCATTAACCAACCCATCTCTATCCCCTGACTTCCTACTACTCTTTCCAGCCTCTGGTAACTGTCATTCTACTCTGTATCTCCATGAGTTCTTTTTTTTAGCTTCCACATATGAGTGAGAACATGTAATATTTGTGTTTTTGTGTGGCTTAAATAAGGTGTCTTTAAACAGAAACACACATAAACAAAGATTGTGTTTTGATGGGTTGATGGAAATGTGACCAGAGGCTCACAGGAGCCTAACTATGTATTTCTCCAGGAGCAGTGGTTCAGTATTCATTAATTCAGTGTTTGTAGTGGCTTTATAAAACATAGCAACTGTGAATAATAAGAATCAACTGCATATAATAATTATAATCTAACATGTTGATTATATCAAAATACATATAACTAGTAAGAAAAACAGAAGATCTCAATAAAAATGGGCAAAGGAGATGTATAAGTAATTAACAGAACAGGAAAAACAAACCATGTATATTAACATTATTGAAAAACTCTTGTCCGGGCGTGGCGTCTCATGCCTGTAATCCCAGCACTTTGGGAGGCCGAGGCGGGCGGATCTCCTGAGGTCAGAGGTTCCAGACCACCCTGGCCAACATGGTGAAAACCTGCCTCTACTAAAAATAAAAAAAATTAACTGGACATGGTGGTGGGCTCCTGTAATCCCAGCTCCTCAGAAGGCTGAGGCAGGAGAATAGCTTGGACCCAGGAGGCGGGGGTTGCAGTGAGCCGAGATCGTGCCATTGCACTCCAGCCTGGGTGACAGAGTGAGACTCCATCTCAAAAAAAAAAAAAAAAAAAAAAAAAAGGAAAAGGAAAAGAAAAACTAATAATGGCATGTCATTTTTGTCACCTATCAAATTAGAAAAAAATAGAAAAGATAATAGTCTATGCTGGTGAGAGTGCAATGAGGTGGTCATTCTTGTACAGTGCCAG